>NC_000018.10:10010000-10310049 GCF_000001405.40 Homo sapiens
AAACTCCACCTTCCTCTCTTTTGGTGCTCTTCACCTTTCCACCTGTGATGGAAGCCGCTTCTGCGCAGGGCTCCTCTCCCCCTCTCTCCCATCTTCTCCTGGTCAGCGGGGGCTGTGGGGGAGAATTTTGCCTCCTGGAGAGCTTGGCACATACTGGACACCCAACCGAGGACAGCGGCGCCTTCCTGCTAACCTCTCCTGTCAAGGACTGCTTATTACCAAGGGGCAAGGACGACTCCTTTATATGTCACCTCAGGGCAGCATTTAAGTCAAGATTTAAAATTCTCGATGCTGCACAGGAGAAGTCACTGGGACAAACAATTTCCTTTGGAAGTTACAGTTTGATGCCTTTCAGCGAGTTAAGCAGACACTGAGCCCACCCTGAACTCTAACTGTAGGCCCCCCCTTTTTTAAAACAAACAAACAAATAAAAACCTAGCATTATGGGCACATAGATCATGGCTATAAAGAGCCACAATGGAAACCCCCCAAAAGCCAGCTCAATTATCAGCATCAAAACTGCTGAGCATTTAAAGGAGCATCTCGACGAAGGTAATTATGGGACCAGCATCATTCTGCTCATTCTCAGTCCTTCAGCCTATACAGCGCACTCTGAGATGATGTTTTCCTCTTGTTTATTTAGTTGATCTCCAAGAGCAGGGAGGATTTATCCCCACTAATCCGTGGACCATAAATCCAGCTCAGGCGGGCTGCAGCCCCGTCCTGCTTGGCCCCAAGCTCAGATGCCCAGTGGAAAACATCACAGTGATTGGGTGAGGGCAGCACATCACGCTCACTGTTCTCATTCTGGCCGGGAGATTCCTTGGCACAACTTGTCCCAAATTCCATTACAGCAACGTGATGGAAATTTCCTGGCATCAAGGATTTGTGCAGCCCAGTGTGCACACAGTGAGCATTTGACTCTGCATAGCAAAAATGACACAATCTGTATAGAGCTGTGTGGTTAGTAAAATGCTTTCACATCCCATCCCAGGTCTTTTTGATTCTCAGAACTATCTGTGAGGTAGCCAGGGCAACTGTCAAATGCAGTATAATTAGAGTTCTTTGGTGGCAAGTAACAGCAACTGATTTTTGCTAACTTTAGCAAAAAAGGAATTTATTGGGGGAGGGAGGATATAGAGGGACTCATATAGTTGAAGGATCAGCTAAAGAACCAGGCTGAGATAAATCGGCTTATATTGTCCATCCTTGGGACCCTATGCTCATGAGTCAAATGAGCTGGGAGAAATTCCAAGAGGCCCAGCATGGGTCAGCACCTGTCCCCTGTGTAGGGTGGGGTCTCTTTGCTGATAGAGGCCTGCCAGGAGGATCAACAGTGGAGGGTTATTGGGGCCAGAGCTGAGGGAGTTTATTCTCAAAATGAATCTGAGATTCTCTTATCAGGTTAAGGAGGTCGATAGGTCGAAACCGACCATGTGTATCATCACCTCCACTTTGCAGATAAGGAAATCAAGATGCCAAGAAGTTCAGTGATTTATCCAGAAAGCCACAAATGTGAAGCTAAGGCTTTAATTCAAGCCATCTGACTGAAGTCCAGTGAGCTCCCAGCCTGCGTTCTGAATTTATTGTGGAAACAATGCAAGATCAGCAAAGACCACTTTGAAGATACCCATCAAGCCACCGGTGTAACATTTGCCCATTTCTTCCCAGACTTGCCCTCAGTTCATTTTCTTTGTCATCCAGTTTCAGTCCCAGTGTCCCTGTGCCCTGCCCACTCATCCGCATTCTCCTCGGACTGGTATCTTCGGCAGGCTTTGGTTTTATGGTGCAAATGGCAAACCACCAACAGCAGAAGGAAGTTTTGTTTGGAGTCAGGGGATGCCTTGTAAGTTACAGAAATTTACAAGGGCAAAGGCAGCCATGTGCTCAAGATTTAAACTTCCTCTAGATGCTTCTTGACAGAAACCATTGGGACAAGTCTTCAACTTCTGAAATTATATTTTGAAGGCAGTGCCACACTTTTGCTGAGGGTGAGTGGGTGGATTACTACATGAAGGGACAGTAGGAGATGCCTCTGTTAATGGATTATTCTTTCATGGGGTTATCCACACAAAAACAACACAACTCAATGTCAAGTGCCTTTTAGGCCTCCCTTTAATTTTAAG
Organism: Homo sapiens; assembly: GCF_000001405.40. Lineage (NCBI taxonomy): Eukaryota > Metazoa > Chordata > Mammalia > Primates > Hominidae > Homo > Homo sapiens. The sequence continues at coordinate 10,012,127 of NC_000018.10, forward strand.
GATCTGAAGAAGGAGGTAGCAGATGGAGACACTGAGCCACAGAGCCACACACCTACAGCCATATGATAAATCAGCCATGAGTCCAGAGAACCAAGTCTACTTTTCCTGATTCCAGAGGCTCTGGATGAAGTCAAAGCAATTGTGTTCCAGGTGCTTGTTGCTGTTTTCAAGATGAGTGCACAGCCAACATTGGTGCCTCGATGGGCCTATCTCCTTCCTGGAATGGTAAGCCACAGTACCCGTCCCAAAAGGATGAGCTCTGAGAGGAGCTGAGCGTACAGGGACTCTGAGACAGAGCCCCAGCATTGTGGAAAATGTGATGGCTAGAATCTGAGGACACCTGGGACTGTTATGTTTAAACTGCCAACAGCTCTTCTGTTTTTCTAGGTGGAAGTTTGGGTTATTCTTTCCAATTACTTCTTTGGGGGAAAAGACTTCAAAGGGCCTTTGGTTGCATCCTACAGTACATCGGGGAGCAGCCACAGTCACATGGAGGTGAAGAACCCTTTCCTTATGTTCTGTTCAGTTCTTGCCTATGGCCAAGCTAAGCCCTGTTGGATCTGGGCCAGAGCCAGGTGATATTTACTGCCCTACACACACTTTTGGCTCCCATGCACCTCGGTCAAGGGTCCCTGCCCTCTTGACCAGGGCGGTGATGGGGCTCATGGAGTGGTGCAGTGCCCTGGTCAGCTGGTATCTCAATGGCCTGGACTCTGGAGGGAAGGTCCTGGGTGCCTCCTTTCTTTCTTGCCCATTGTTGGGGAACAGACCTTGCGGGATGGGCTCTCTTGGCTCCTAGCTTGGGATTTTGGATGAAAGGCTTGGACCTCTGCTCCACGAGTGGTGAATTGTAATTCTGATTTAAATATGATCAGATATTTTAGAGCCGTATGAAGGGAAGAAAGAAGTGCATTTATGATCCAGTTCTTAAAATAAGAAACTTGAACTTACTAGTCTGATAGCATGGACTGACATAATTGCATTCTGCAGATCATCATGCAGAGCTGGTTTAGATAAGGTATCTTTTCTCCCCCTTGCTGATTTTTGGAGAGGGAGAGGCCCTGGACACTGGTAGAGGCACCATTATAAAAGCACTCAGAGGCGGGTCGCAGTGTCACATGCCTGTAATCCGAGCATTTTGGGAGGCTGAGGTGAGAGGATTGCTTGAGCCCAGGAGTTCGAAGCTACAGTGAGCTATGATTGTGCCACTTCACTCCAGCCTGGGAGACAGAGCAAATGAGACCCTGTCTCAAAAAATTTTTTTTTAAATAATAAAAGCATTCTGAAAGAGTGGTGGTGGGTAAATCACACAATTCGTCTTTCTAATTGGGAAACTCATTGGGTGAAAGGGGCAGCTGGAAACAACCAGTCCAGGATATATCGGATGATAGCTGGACTGTAACTGCCATGCAAGCTGAGATACTGGAGGGCTGGGGACCCTATGGACACTGTTTGCAGCTGTATCTGGCATTCATTTTTAATATATTTCTTTTCTCCTCTTTTTTGTCATTCCCCCTGTTATCCACAAGTCCTCAATATATTTTTGTAGAAGTTACAGCCCGATCTTAGTGCTGGGAAAATCGAGGGAGGGGCTTGTGTCCATGGTAGCAGGAAAGGATACAGGAACAGGGACAGAGCCTGGGGAAACCGCTGTGATAGCAGGCAGTGGGGTGCACGTCCTCCTTGTGATGAGGCAGCCAGCCGAGGAGACCAATGACAGCAGCCTGGACCCACGGGCTCTGCAGATCTTCTATGGGCGTCCCAGAGCCCTTTTGGAGGGAACTTGGTGAAGGATGGGGTTCCCTGCATGTAAGTGTGGAGTGGGGGCTGGACTGTCGTTATCTGGGCATTGAGGGCCATATGGATAGCACAGAACCAAAGGGACAAATGGCCACTAGACTACCCTATGACTTGGCTCTGATGACTCCCAGACACCGTGCCATTCTCCTTGCTCCGCCTTATCTTCTGAGAGTCCTGGCATGGCTCCCTGACCCTCCACCTCGTCCGTGTTACTCTACAATGACAGGCCACAATGAGGACACAGAGTCAGCAGAGGGCCAGGCAGCTGTTCACCTCTCCCATCACACCCAGGTAAAACTCCAGCTCATGTTGGCCCACCTCCTGGAAAAGTCTCTCTGTCAACAGCATTTCAGGATCTCGTATTCAGAAGACAACAGCTTTAGCGAGGAGGGCACTGTGACTGCAGGTGGGCATCTGTGCTTCCGCCCGTGTGGGACCCCTGGGACACTTACGCTGGGGGAGGATGTGGTTAGTGGCCACACAAATGCCTAAATCCAAAGACATTGGAAAGTGAATTAATTCACTAAAAAATAGGTTGTTTCTTTAGTGAATAAAATAACTTAGATACTCCTGGATACTTCATTGAGTCATATTTTGGATGTTTATTTTTATTTATTGATGTTCCTATACCACAGGGATGGACACGGTGGCTCACACCTGTAATTCCAGCACTTTGGGAGGCCAAGGCAGGTAGATTGCTTAAGTCCAGGAGTTCAACACCTGTCTGGGCAACATGGTGAAACTTTGTCTCTACAAAAAATAAAAAAATTAGCTGGGTGTGGCAGCTTGCGCCTGTAGTTCCAGCTACTTGGGAGGATGAGGTGGGAGGATCACCTGAACCCGGGGAAGTCAAGGCTGCAGTAAGCCATGATCGTGCCACTGCATTCCAGCCTGGGCGGCAGAGCAAGACCGTGTATCAAAAAAATAAAAAATAAAACTGAATTCACTCAAAAATAGGTTGCTTCTTCTTTAGTAGATAAAATAACTTAGAGACTTCATTGAATCATATTTTAGATCTTTATTTTTATTTATTGATGTTCTTATGCCACAAATTATTGTGAGTCCATTTACCAAAATCTCACAACACAAAAGGAAAAAACAGTTGGAGTTAGAGTGACCATAAAATAAGAGATAAAATAAAGGACACCAAGACCAAGAATGGGGAACTGCTCATCTTCCAAATGGAAAAGCGCCCAGACAGCAAGCCCTTGGTGGCAACGCAGTGCATTGAAGGGTTTGTTCTTGGCTCTCTGGTGAGGCTTCCTAAACATCTCCATCAGGGATGAGGGTCTCAACGTTTGCCTCCAAAAGTTTTTCAGAACTAGACAAGTCCTCCTGCCTCCATAGTGACTGCCCCAAGTTGCCTCCGTTCCTCCTGCCTGGGCAGTTAAAGTCGATATTCCCTGACTCAGTCTTTTATCTCTCGTAACCTAAGTACTCCCGGGTTGAGTTCAGCTATTCTGGTCATGATCTGACTCTTATTTTGTCCTCTTTCCTGAGCTCTAGGCTCCAATTTCAAACTTCTTGCAGCTAGTTCCGCCTCTGGGCCCTGCAGACATCTACTTATCAAATGGAACTGAACTGTGTTTCTGCATGTCTATTTTTTCATGTTGGTGAATGACATTTTCTGTCTGGAATGCCTCACGCCCTTGCTTTTCTGCCTAGGAAATCACTATCGATCTTTTAAGCCCTTCTTAAATGTCACCATGTCTCTGCTGCCCTCTGAGTCATCAGGATGAAGTATCCACACTCTCCTCTGTTCCCGTGGCACGGGGGCTCTCCTGCCATCATCGGCCTTTAGGGGCTGCCATCATTTGTCTGCCTTCCTTTATTTTTTTTGAGACAGAGTCTCACTCTGTCACCCAGGCTGGAGTGCAATGGCCCAATCTCGGCTCACTGCAACCTCTGCCTCCCGGGTTCAAGTGATTCTCCTGCCTCAGCCTTCCGAGTAGCTGGAATTACAGGTGTGCACCACCATGACCAGCTAATTTTTTTTTATTATTAGTAGAGACGGGGTTTCATCATGTTGGCCAGGCTGGTCTGAAACTCTTGACCTCAGGTGATCTGCCCGCTTCGGCCTCCCAAAGTGCTGGGATTACAAGCGTGAGCTACTGTGCCTGGCCTGTCTGCCTGTCTTATTCTAGAGCAAGGGCAGGCTTGCTTTGATGGAATACACACACAGACTGGGAGCTGGCACTGTGCTTACTAGCTTACTAGCACTCCAGACATGCTTGTGGATGAATGCATGAGCAGTCAAGGCAAACTCTTTCCTGACTGGCAGGAAAACAGTCACTGTGAAGTACAGTGTGCCCCACCTGGGGAGGCAGAGCAGAGATGGCTTCTCATCCTAGTGGGCAGGAGCATCTGCAGGAAGCAGGAACAGAGCATCCTGCAGAGGCCACTGTAAGAACAGGCAGAGCAGAGTATGTTGTTTGTGTCTGACCTCAGGGAAGAACTACAGAGAATGAATGCTGTGCTCCAAAACTTGGCGGTCGAAATTATTTGCCTCAACTATGATAAAAAGTTTGCCTGCAGCTGGTCAGTGCCCTGCTGTCTTCACCTCTGAAACATCCCAGGAGCACTTGAAACTGGTTGTGTTCTGGGAGATTACTCAAGGCAATTTCTCCCTAAGCCTGGGAAAACACGAGGGCTCAATTAAGCAAAACACTGATAGATAAGTTAAGAATGTAAAGGAAAAACTAAGAGCTTTATGTCAATGATTAAGTATTTCTGTTTCTTTAAAGCTTGCCCCGTATTATGCAAATACATTACAGTTAAGTGTTGGCTACATAACATTGGAAGAGGATGTGGTTAATGGCAAAACAAATCCCCAAAGAAAAAAAAAGTTGAAAAGCTGATTCATCTTAAAAATATTTCAGATGACTTAAAATATTTAAGGTTCATTTTGGACTTTTTGACAAGTAAAGACCCAAATATGAGCAAATTAAACCATTAAGGCTCTTTCAGTATGGAATGACAAAAAGTGAAAAAGGGTAAGACCACCAGGTTGTTAAAATCATGAGAAGCTTAGATTGGGCAAAGGTTCAGTCTGGAGGCCACAGTAAAGGAATATACCCGAAGACAAGAAGGTAGTTAGTGTCAGGGCCTATAAAAATGTTTAAAAGTGTTGAGTAAAATAATGTTTTATAGAGTACATTACTATAAATACATATAAGAAGGCCAAGTAGGGGATTCCAAGTTATGTCTGGGTGGCATTACTGAATTTTGTAAGAAGTGACAGAATACCGTACTGGGTGAACCATCCCTTCCATAGCTTGCCTGGCATTTCTCAAGTGTGAATGCAGTTCACTCAAGTTCCTGGGGTGTCCCAGAAAGATGCGTATGTTTTGAAATTTATTAGGAGATTGAAAAACTCCTGATGAGTGGTCATTGTAAATCAGAAGTGCTTTCAGCATGGATGGGTGAGGAGCATGGGATTAAGTAGGGACCTCTGTCCTAGTATTATTTTCTCTGTTGAATTCATCCTACCAGTTGCTGAGCTCTTTATTTGCACACATCAGCCTTTTAGGAAGGATCTCCAGGAATCCTGTGGGGAGAGGCTGGTGCTGGGGGAAGACAGAGGAATGCCTGGAGAGGACAGAAGTGAGGTAGGTCAAGGTAGAGGGGGTTGCAGGAAGAAGATGGGGTGTCCAGGGTGAAGGAGAGCTAGCAACGAGAGCAGAAGCCACGGCCCACTGACGGTCGCTCCGGGCCAGGCTTCTGTTCTGTGGGTACACGGTTTATTTCAGGGGCTGATTCTCTTTAGACTCAGTTTTTTTTCTCTCCTTCTTCTGATTGGAAGAAGTTTAATTCCGTGTTCATTTCCAATTCTTGCATTCAAGCTTATAATTTATCATTAAAAAACAACGACAACAATAAAAAAGGCAAGGCATACAGAAGGGACTCCAGGCAGACATTGCAGCAGGGCAGGGCAGTGAAGGGACGCCACGTTTGGCGAGGCCTTCTGTGTGCCCAGCTGCACATGGCCACCTGGCCAGTGTGCATCGTGTGCAGTAAATGTGTCAAGTGCACTGCTGCACGAACCATCAGATGCTGAAAAATCTTGTCAAGTAGAACTTTCTCTATCCCCATTGTATAGATGAATGAACAGAGCTAGGAGGAGTTGAGTAACTTGCTCATGGTCACAAAACTGAGAAGGGCAGAGCTGGCCGGCACCTGTGTTAACTACTGCACTCAGGCTAGAAAAGGCATTCTAATCAATTAGGACCTGGGGACTAATCTGAAATCTCTAATTCATAGTGAAATCCCTGGTGAAATTTAGAAGGAGATTGGACATAGGCCTGAAGGAACATTGGCTCAACCGCCTTCAGGAAGGTCAGTCTATGTAAGCCAGTTAAAGAATATGTTATGAACCACACACCAGTCCAACAAAGGCCATGGTGTGATTGTGAAGGGATGCTGGCTCCAGCCTCAGCAGCTCAGTTTGGACTTGGCTTTGTGGCTGGGTGTGCTCTGTGATCAGGGAAGTCTGCAGCCAGGGAATCCTCTGGGCCTTTCTAGACATCTCAGCAACCTTTTAGATAAATGGGGCATTGGCTTTGTTTGATGCTAAACATTTACTTTGATTGCTTTCATTGATAGCATAGGGCTTCTCCTATTTTATCTTGGCTGTTCTAAGAATGTCTGGAATGGGGCCGGGCGCGGTGGCTTACGCCTGTAATCCCAGCACTTTGGGAGGCCGAGGTAGGTGGATCATGAGGTCAGGAGATTGAGACCATCCTGGCTAACATAGTGAAACCCTGTCTCTACTAAAAATACAAAAAATTAGCCGGGCGCAGTGGCGGGCACCTGTAGTCCCAGCTACTCGGGAGGGTGAGGCAGGAGAATGGCGTGAACCCGGGAGGCAGAGCTTGCAGTGAGCCGAGATCGCACCACTGCACTCCAGCCTGGGCGACAGAGTGAGACTCCGTCTCGAAAAAAAAAAAAAAAGAATGTCTGGAATGTTCAGTAGAATTCAATTATTTGAATAATGTTTATGTGTGTCCTCTGTGTGCCAAGCGCTGGGTTAGAGTCAAATGTGAGCAGTGCGTACTCCAGCACTGTCCCGTAGAACCACCTATGATGACAGAAAAGCTCTGTATCTGCACTGTCCAATACAGTAGTTACTAGCCGCATGCAGCTAGGATGACCAAGGGGCTGCACTTTAGTAAACTTTAATGAATATAAATGCAAATCGCCACATGTGTCTGGGGCTACCCTATTGGACAGCACAGGGCTGGATTAATCTTGGGTTGTATTTTGAAAAATTGCAAACTCAAAAAATATTACATATACTGGAAATATAATGTACAATTGTTAAAATTTTAGTAAAATTATATATTATACACTGATATATTGTTGTAATAAAGGTAAATAGAATTTCTATGTATTGATTTATTCAGACATTTAGGTGGTGTCTTCTATGTGACAGGCACTGTGCTAGATTCTGTGAGAATGCAAAAATGACTTGTAAGACAGTTCATGTTTTTAAGAAACTCACAGCTTTGTAGATAAGTGTCTACACTCACACATGTACACTTACACACCCACACATATGAATACCAGGTAACAAACTGCCTAATGCCCTTAGGTAAGCATGCCTCACAACCATCAGATCACTGACAATAGCCGTCATCAGATCCAGAGGACACATGTGCATTTCTTTTTAAGAACAAAAAGTTGATCTCATGGAAGTAAAAAGTAGAACAGAGGACACTAGAGGCTGGGAGGAGTAGAAGGATAGGTAAGGTAGGGAGACATTTGTTAAAGGATATAAAATTATATCTACATAAAAGGAATAAGTTCTGGTGTTCTGTAGCACTATAGGATGACTGTATTTAACCATAATATATTATATCATTTCAAATAGCTAGAAGGATACTGAATGTTCCCAACACAAAGAAATGATAAGTATTTGAGACGATGGATATGCTAATTACCCTGACCTGAGCACTATAGCTTCTATGTATCCAAACATCCCTATATACCCCATAAATAGGTACAATTATTATATGTCAAATTAAAAAATACTTAAAAAATCAAGAGGGGGATAAAAAAGAACTAGGAAACCTTTCCTAGAAGTCCCCCAGCTGACTTCCTTTCATATTTCTTTGGTAGAATTTCTACGCATGTCCATGCCTAAACCTATCCCAGACAAGAGGAATGGAATTGTCATGATTGGCTTAGGCCAGTCAGGATTTAGCTCCTCTTTTATGGATGGATACCTGAACAAAAATCAGGGTTCTGTTAGCAAGGAACAGGGGCGGTGGAATAGAATTGCACAGGCAGTCACTGTCCCTCTGAAAATTTACCCATCCTCCAAATCAGAAGGAGCCTCTCCATTCATGACACCCCACTCATTCCTCTATGACAGCACTCACAGAAGAGAGTGTGTTAATGTGTTTGCTCAAGGGCCTGATTTCCTGTTAAGGATTGTGTAACCACAACGCACTCTTCTCTATTAAACTGAGAGCTCGTTGATGGGGTAGGGCAAGTCTCATTCATCTTTGAAAACGTGGCACTCAGCGTAGTAGTTCCTGGCATATCCACAGCTCAATAAATATTTGTTAGATCGAATATACATTTGTTCAAGAGCAACTCAATTAATATCTTCTTTCTTCATTTGTTTTTCAAAGACTACACCTGTTGGTCTGGATTGCAGCTGGAATTGGAAGGGAAATGCATTTCCATTGAAGGAAGAAGTGTAACAGTGAGCAGGCAGGTGTCAGCGGATCTCAAGAGAATAATGTCAACTGGACAATGGCTTAGAGGCAGGAGGAGGCAGATCAGCTAGGCAGATGTGCAGAAGTTAAGTGTGGTTTCATGCAGAAACTTCCAAATGGATTCAAGAGCCAAAGCCTTCAAGAAGTTGGTGTCATTGTCACTTGGAATATGTTTGTATTAATACAGGTAGAATATGTTAATAAACCATATTCTTATCAAGAATCTTCCATTTACAGCCCTTATTTTCTCCCTTTATTTTTGCCCTTTCTTTTCTGCCTGGCTGTTTAACTCCTGGATATCTGATTTAACTACATCTGCAGCTTCTCACTGATATGTTTATGGGTATCAGATGCCTATATTGCGATTGCTTTTCCTGTCTCTGGGAATTAGATGTGATCCATGTACACCTTTGCTCTGAGTTAGATCTTAGAAAGCAATGGACCTGGGCCTCATTATCTCAGCTCTCCACAGAAAAGCATCTAACAAATTGAGACTTAATGTTACATCTTCAGCTTTGTGGAGGGAAGCTGACATAGAAATGTGCTTTTGAAGAACAAACCTGGGTATTTTGCAAAAGCATAGTGGAAGACTTTATCCATCATATTACTCGAAGTCCTTTTCACAATAACCTGCAGGACAGAAAAAAATGTTTGTTTCTCCAAATTAACCTTCAATTGGCCTATCGATGTCAAGCATATCCCACCCCTACTGTCACCAGGGACTTAGGACTGGGTTTTGCCCCAGTGGTGGCATTTATCCGATCCTGGTGCTTGGTGGCATCCATTTATTTGCTCCTTTCAACTGATTTTGATTCTGTTTTTATTATTTAATTTTCTGTTTTATATTGTGGTTAATTTTCTGAGTTGCCTCAAATGTTTATGTTTGAGTGTATTTTTTTTCTTACTTACCTATACCCATCTACCTCCCACCTACCCACCCACTTACCTACCTATGTTCCTGGCTATTTATATGGTGCATAATCTCTATCAGCCCAGGCTTCTTTAAAGTACCTGCATGTTCTTTTCCTTTTTCTTCTTTGACCAGATCATACCTACAAATAATACAGAGGATTCAGAGATGGGAGTTCCAGAGACGTGGGTCTGATTCCAGCTTTGCCTCCTGCTAAATATCTAATCCTGGGCAAGTCATGTAGTCTCTAGGTGTTCCAGTTTGGCCAACTTTAAAATGGGAATAATTCTGTCTACTTCACTTATCTCATACAGCCAGAGTGAGGACATTCATATTTTGGCATATAATATAATAAGGTTGTAGATAAAGCGTTTATTAGGATAAAGTCTTTGGCTAATAGGTTGGACAGACCAGTTGACCTCCTAAGGGTATCATCATAAGAACTCGAAGGTCTTATTCAAGTGTTTCCCTCCAATAATTCTCACATTTCCACCTTTAGATCTTTTATTAAGGATCCTGTGGGAAATGTGTATTTCATAGGTTATTAACCCAACGAAGTCAGATTTCTATTTCAATCTACTTATTTCACATTTTTGTTAAAACTTTTGAAGAAAATGAATTTCTTATTGAATTCATTTTAGACTGCTGTTAGCTCAGATTCACTTTGTGAGTTAGAATGCCTCTTAGAAATATATAACACACAGGGAAAAACTTTTGGGTGAGTCTTTCTTTTTTGATAGTACCACATGAGTCCGCAGTTTGCTGATCCCCATGAACATGGACTTAATCTTCTTTAGATGCTTTAGGACATGTGGTTATGCAGTCAGGGAGCTGAGATCTGGGGCAGGAGGGTGTAGGAAAAATAAGTGATCGTGGGGAGTGGAATCAGAAGACAGAGTGGGGGAAGGATGTTTCTGGAGCACTTTGTGTTCAGTCGCAGACCGGTGAGGCCCAGGAGAACTTTCTCCAGCTGAGGAGGCCCAGGTGAACTTTCTCCATGTGGGGAGCTGTTGAGAACTTGAGCTTCCAGCATAAACACAGGCTGAACCTGGCTTTGGCGAATGTGGGCCTCCAGCCCATTTACAAAATGTCACACTTTTTGTATGGCTTGGAGGAGACTCAGAAGTGACTTAGGAATTCCATGGAGCCCTGATGTAGCCATTGGCAGTTCCCAAGCAGGAAGCCAGTCCCTCCATTTCTTCCCAAAATTCTCCCAACCACACCCTGCCTCACCTCCTGGCTGGGACATCTATTACTATGATCATTTTACTGGTGAGAAAAATGGGGTGCTAGAAAGGTTACCTGACTTGCTGAAATTCACACACGAGTTAATGGTGGGGCTGGTGCTGGAGCCAATGTTGGGCCTCATAAACTCCTACAAAGTGTGCTAAGACTGGCCACTCTTTCCTGCAGGCCGTCCTCAGGGTAGTTCATGTAGCTGATGACCTTGAGAAATGAGGTAATGTCTTCCTTCATCCCCAAAGAGCAGACTTTCTTACTGTTTGCTATAAAAGCAGTGGATTCCCCAAACTCAGTGTTCCTCGGCTGTGACACAAACCGCCTTCATGTGTGTATTAGTTAATCTGAGCCTGTTGGGTCACTTCTGTGGAACTCAAGGGCAAGGGTAACTGATGAAATATGCTTGTGTTCATCTTGCTTGCTACGTTACCAGTCCTGTATTTCAGATCCAGAAGTCTCATGTCTTCTGCCAGCATCTGTGAAACAGGCTAATACTGTCTTATAAGTTGGATAAAATAAAATTTAAGACCTGACCCCCAGCTTCCTGAGTCCTGGCTGGAGCTTTCCCACCATAGCACTCAGCTTACGTAACCCAATCCAAGAGGAAGAAATGATGGTGGCATTGCTAGCTTTGATCCAAGTTTTTCTTTCTTTCTTTCTTTCTTTTTTTTTTAACACTTCTCTGGGCCCGGGCTGCTGTTACCAGGCCTTCAGTAGATGTGGATAACAGGTAGGTGACTGGCTTGCTGGTAAGCAGAGATCCCTGGAAACCAACCCAGGCCAGGCCAGGGCAGGAGCAAAAAGGAAGAGCAAGAGTGGAGAGGAGTGAAGAGTCTTTGCACTTTGCAAAGACATTTTGATGCCTCATCACCATCTTATGTAGCTGTCACATCACAAAAAAAGGAATAAGGGTGGAGAAAGTGTTCTGCTAAATGCATCTGTGTCCTAGGGACACAGATCTATGAAATGGGGTAGGATGATGAAGCAGGAGGGAAGGCTGGGCAAGTGGGGAGCAGGGCGGCACCCTGTGAGAGGGGAGGGCCACTGGGAGGGCAGAAATGGGAAAGATGGTGCCATGTCAGGATGTCGTTGCGATCTTGCCCTCATGATATTCAAGTTGCTTTTAACCTGCTGACCAATTTCTGGCAAGAATCCTAAAGAAATCTTAGACAGTGAAGTGAGATCTAACCATGAGTGAGTGTCACAGCCTCTTCACACTGGACAATCTCCTCCCACATTCGGCCCATAGAGGGGGAGGCCCACTCCAGCCAAGACTTGTCAACCAGAAACCTGAAACGATAGCAGGTGCTTCTAAAATAACCTTCCCTTCAGCAGATAGGCCTCTGTCATACGACTTTTAATTGCTTGTCAAATATTTGACTAAAATTGAGTAGTTTTCCTTCAGGGAAAGTTGGTACTCTTAAGTCACTAGCAAATGAGAAGTTGGTAAAAAAAATTGGCCAGAGCACTCTGTGTGTGTACACAGCGGCGAACGGTCAATACATAACAATTTTCTGCACTGCTAGAGATTCTGTTTAATGTTTAATTTAAAAAATGACCACTTATATGAGGTATCTAAAGTAGTCAAATTCATAGAGACAGAAAATAGAATATGGTTGCCGGGGCAGCGGGGACAGGGAAGGGGTGAGCTGCTGTTTGATGGGTGTAGAGTTTCAGTTCTGTGAGATGAAAAGGTTCCAGAGATCTGTTGCATAACAACATGAATATACTTAACACTACTGAACTGTACACTTAAAAATGGTTACAATAGTAAATTTTATGTTATGTGTATTTTAGTCACAAGTAAAAAAAATTGTAGAGGAATCCATGTGGAAAGTGAACACAGTATTGATTTTTATAGTTTTAACTTCCCTGACTGATCTAAATTAAAATGTCCCTGCTATGGGAAAGGGTAAAAGTCAGAAAGGAAATAACTTCCCTTTTACTGAATTTTAGTCAACTCCTTAGACAAAGAATTGGAGAGAGATATATATATGTATATATATATATTTGCTCACACATGTAAATAATTTGTTTTTGTTTTTGTTTTTTTGAGACAGAGTCTCGCTCTGTTGCCCAGGCTGGAGTGCAGTGGTGCGATCTCAGCTCACTGCAATCTCTGCCTCCAGGGTTCAATTGATTCTCCTGCCTCAGCCTCCTGAGTGGCTGAGATTACAGATACCTGCCACCACATCTGGCTAATTTTTGTATTTTTAGTAGAGATGGGATTTCGCTATGTTGGCCAGACTGGTCTCGAACTCCTGACCTCAGGTGATCTGCCCACCTTGGCCTCCCCAAAGTGCTGAGATTATAGTCATAAGCCACCACACTGGGCCATGTAAAGAATTTGAATACACTTCTTCACATTTCAGTAAAGCTCTTTGCATGTTTTTTTGTACAAAAGAAAATCATTTCAATACTTGTTAACTTCGCAGCCATTGTAAAAGATCACTAGTGAAAGATGCTTCTGGGTATACATCCAAAAGATTTGAAATCAGTGTCCTAAAGAGATAGTTGAACACCTGTTTGCATAGCAGAATTATTTACAATAGCCAAAAGGTAGAAGCGATCCAAGTGTCCACTGACAGATGACTGGATCTACTACTCACACAACGGTGAATTACATATTCACACAATGGAATATTATTCAGCCTTAAAAGAGGGGAAATTTTGACCCATGCTACAACATGAATGGACCTTGATGACATTATGCTAAGTGAAAGAAGCTGGCTGCAAAGCAAAAGACAAATGCTGTATGATTCCACCCATATGAGGTACCTAGAGCAATCAAATTCATAGAACAGAAAGTTGAAGGGTGGTTGCTGGGGCTTCCAGGGGGCGTGGTGGGGGTGAGATTTCGTGTTTAATGGATACTGAAGTTTTGTTTTGCAAGATGAAAAGAGTTCTGGGGGTGGATGGTGGCAGTGGTTGTACAGCAATGCTAATGTACTTGATGTCACTGCACTGCCCACTTAAAAATGGTTACATTTTTTGTCATGTGTATGTAACCACGATTAATACAGGCTATAAAAATACTGTTAAAGAAAAGAGCGCTAGTTAAGGAAGCAACTCATCATTTCGCCATCTGGGTCATTCATTTTAGGAGCCGCTGGCCAAGCCATGAGCTGGGCTCACAAGACTGATAAGAGCAGTCTGCATAACTCACTCTGGTGCTCCGCATCCAAAACCAACAGGGCCTAAATCTGGTTGAAACCCATAAGTCCTGCCTCACTCTCACTCTCTTCTTTCTGACACAGAGGTCCTCTTGTCTGGATCTGGAAAGCAGTTGAAATACATAGGACCTGCCCCTGCCCGTTTGGTGTTCTTCCCACATTCTGCAGCATTTGCAGTCCCCTTCATGCATTTCCATGTGTATGAGGAAGATTTTCCAACATCAAAGTAATTTTTGCCTTTCATCATTAAAGAAAGCCTTTGATTCAACCACAATCATCTCTGAATGAGGTAATTCCTCTGAATGTTTCACTTGTAAGAATTGGCAATTCCTAAGCAAGACCACCGCCATATTGATTAAAGACGTCCACTTGGTTGGCCCTTCCAGCCTCGCCAGGTCAAACGTAACTGGAGGCCGGCCTTCTCCCACCCCAGCAAGCTGCGTGGACAGGCGACTGTGTAATGGGAAAGCTGTGCCATGAGAACGTGTACTTCCTCCACAACCACACGCTCATGTGTTGTTTTGTAAGCAACATTTCTGCTGAGGAAAGAGCAGCTGGGCACTTAAGACTCCTGGCAAAACCATAATGGTGGAAAACAAAACTTAACCTATATTTCAAGAAAAGCTGTGTTCTGTTCCCCTGATCAGCATTAGCCTGTAGGTATTTAGTTGAATTAAATGAAGGGAATGATGAAATTAATCCACATTAAAAAGCAATGAATAGTGGATTCATTAACCCAGAGAAGAGGTGGAGGGCTGCATCGTAAAAACAAAGCTCAAAGCCAAGGCTCTCGCAGCCACACCCCTGGGGTGGCTAAAACTGCAGCCGCTTTGTTAATTCTCAATGAATAATTAACCGGAGGTAGAAATATTTTTGAGTTTTAGGAGCTCTGTGTCTGTCGGTGCATCGACTGTTTAATCGGAGGCCTCTACAGTCGGTAGTTTTGGTTCACCCTGATTTTAGACCTCTCTTCTGTTCTTCCTGTTTCAAGCTCCAAGGTGGCTCAGTCCTTTTCTTCCTCCTGCTGAATCTTAGGGGGAAATTCTAGAATTATCATCATCATCCCCTTTTACAGATAAGAAAGTAGAAAGTTAAACAAGTAATTTTCTCAAAGTCACATACTGAGAAAGAGGTTGGATCCGGGAAGGTGAAAGAGGTTGGATCTGGGAAGGTGGATTCAGTGGATTAAGTGAATTAAGTGGATTAACAGCCTGGCCCTTACCCCACCTGCTGGATTGCCTTATGTTACTGGGGTATTTGCTCCCCGTTTCTTCCGGCTTCAGTCAACAGGGGCCCTGCCACTGTCAGCTCCCACCATAGGAGGCCTTCTGCTGCCGGTCCTGAACTCAGAGCCCTGTGGGCACAGTGAGACCTGCTGGGCCCTGAAAGGAGAGCAGAGAGCAGAGTGGCCACTGGCCTTGGAGGATCAGAGTGGTGATCTGGATGTGCTGGGATGATGTTCTGGTTGGGTTTTCTAGTCCATTCTGCCTGGGGTATGACAGAATTCCTGCTGGCAGAATCCCAATCCTCCCCTTATTGACATACATGGTTGCTCCCTAGGAGGCAAACTGGTTCTGGGATGGGGAGGCTGGATGGCCTCAGCTGTCTGCCTCCAGCAGGACCTGGAACCCTGACCACCCATCTCCCTGGCCTCCCCATCTGTCCTTGTGGGTTTGATATGAAGGGGCATGGGCACTATCTGCCCACCTTAAGAATGAGGGCAGTAGGGAAGTCCATGATTTTCTTCAGGGGGTCTGGAACCCTCCCTGAAGGGTAATATTCTAGCATTTCCCTTACTAAAGCAGAACATCCTCCACTGCATTCAACACTTACCATGCACACGACACAAGGCTGGACGAGAGCTATGTGGCTGGGTCCCGAGACTGGCAGGCAGCTTGCATGCTTGATGGAAGCAAATCCTTGCTAAGATGTTTCTGTTTCATTCGACACCTAGATTTCATATGTCCCAAAATTACTTACTTAAACTTTTCTTTTTTCATTTTATACTTTGAGGCCCAATAACCATGTAAACCTTGGCTTATAGTTTCCTGACTACTCTCAGAGGGCGTCATTTGCAGTGATGTTTCTTCTAGACCTTTTTTTTGGGTACATTCTCCGGGTTCTATTGTATACTTCACTCTTTTCTCTGAAATATGTGATTATTGTTTAAAAGCACTGAGTGACAATCTACATAAGGTGGTGTGTGAAGTACTACGGTATTCCTGTTATTGCTACTAGGTTTGAGTCCATGACATCTAGTATCTTCTTGCCTCTCTTCCTTTTGACCTGACAGTTACCAGCCATCCACTCCCCTCTGGAAACTGAAATCTGCACAGGCACATTTCCTTCACAAAGAGTTCACTTGACCCTGACCCAAACGTCCTCAACCTTGCATTTGACCCAGATCTGGCCCTCCTCACTAAAGCCTCCTGCACTGGCCTCCATCTGCCCTGGGGCCCTTTTCTTCTCCCAGGGCAGTTGTTTTGGAGTCTGTTTATGGCCTGTGCAGACACTTGGCTGAAATTTACCTCAGTCTCTTTCCTTTTTTCATTGAAGTTCTTATCCATTTTCTAATCGTGTCCTGCCTCCAAAAGAAATTTCTCTGTTATGGTCTTCTTCAAGCATAGTTCTCTAAATTTCAAATGGTTTAGACAGAATAAGCTGTGACTGTAGAATTCTTGCCAGAATAAGCTATGACTGTAGAATGTGACAGGATAGGATGCCACCTCCTCCCCGGACTCACATTTGACTTGGACTTTGCCTCCCAAATCCTCCTGGACATCCATGTGGGACAATGACTGCAGACCTCATTGCTTCTCTGCCCACTCCTTCCCCTCATTTGATGTGCTTGTCACGTTACTGGGGTATCTGCTCCCTGTTTCTTCTGGCTTCAGTCAACAGGGGCCCGGTCACTGTCAGTTCCCACGATAGGAGGCCTTCTGCTGTCCGTGCTGAACTCAGAGCCCTGTGGGCACAGTGAGACCTGCTGGGCCATGAAAGGAGAGCAGAGGCCTAATGAAGGCTTGTGGCTAAGCGCCAGCATCTTTCACAAGAGGGATGACAGGTGAACCAAGTGAGGAAGAGGAGGAGAGTGAAGAAGGAAGGTGAGCTGGTTTATGCCCACAGAATTCCTGCAGAGTTAGGGCTGAACCTCACTCACACACGGCTGGTGGTACCTGGGCAGGACATTCTGCCATTCCCATGTACAGCACGGTGGGTTCCTGACACATATCTGAGGTGTTTTAGTGGGGATAAAGCTTTTCATTCCACTGGTTGAAAATGCTCAGGAGAAGTATGTCCACCTTGATGCTAGCCACGCTAAGGTGTGACCGCACCTGTGTAAATCCTTCAGAGAATGAGAGATCGGCTCAGAAGGGAAGAAGAGAAAACCTTGGGTTTGGGTCACAGAGGGAAAAAGAAGACACTGGGGAGGGGCCAGGGTGTTACCCTGTGTCTGTCTCTCAGTTCTGGACAATCTGGGCTCAAGTGCACACAGGTACAGGGACATCAGCTGGGCCATGGGGTCTGGGAGGAGATTGCCTGCTTCAGGAAAGAGGTGAGACCCTGGCGATGCCTACCATAGGTGTTATTATTTATTATGAGTCCCAGGGTTGGGGGATGTTCTAAGTGGTTTTCCCTCAGTTGAAGTGGGAAGAGAAAAATGACTGGGTGTGATTTTATGCCGCTAATACACAGAGATGATCCGCACTCTGGGGCACTTTAAAGTCAGCATTTTAAGAAGCGTTGTGAGTGATGTCGCAGCTGTGAATGGGTCTTGTCCTTCGCAGTGAGGTGAGGACTGGCTTTAAGCTCCTCCAGTCTGCCCCACAACATGTGAAATTCCCTTTGTGCTTGGTGTTTGTGAAAGAAGTGTCCACTCTTGGGACGAGAGCATCCTTATCACAAGTCCGGGCTCTGGAGCCAGCTCCCAGGGTTTTCATCAGGCCTCGCCACTGGCCAGCTGGGCGGCTTCGTGTGAGTTACTAAATCTCTCTAAACAGGGTCAGTGACACGATTTGTGAGGCCCAGCACAAAATGAAAATGTGAGACCCCTTTCCAAAAATTAGAAGAGGGCATGCAGCTGAGCACTTGGCACTGTGTTACTGCCTAGGTTGCTGCCCGTGGAGCTGGCCTGGTCTTCATTTCAAGTGGATTGAAATTGTGTGGATTCAACGCGTTATTACTAAAAAGGAGCTTAGAATGGGCATTCGTGTTACTCAGAGGTGCGACACACAGGTTCAGAGAAGAGCCTTCACTGGGGTCAGGCAACTAGGGTTTAGCCTTGCTGTCCCACAAATGTACAGGGCCTCAGATAAGTCCCTTCAAGCCTTTAGGGTCTCTACTTACCGAAAGGACAGGAAAGGCTTCCCTACATCCCTCAAGGGCAGAGAGAACTCGCATTCTCTGATAGGACGAGCAACTCATCCCAGTACGATGGGACTCCCAGGGTCTCCCTCTGTCAGGAGCAAACCAGGATGGCTGGTCACTACATTTACTGGGATTTTGTCAGGCTTTTCCTGTGCAACCTATGTGCCTCGTCTCATCTCACTTAATCTCCACCACAGTGCTATGTATGAGACAGATAACATCACCCTCCTGTGACAGATGTGAAATCTGAGTTTTGAGAGGCTACGTGTGGCTGGGGTTAGTTAGAATTGGGGCTGGACTGCTCTCATCTCCAAAGCCTGTGCTTTCATCTGCATCAGTGATCCTCAAATGTTCACATCAAAAAAATGGAGTGATCCTCAATTTGTTCACATCAAAATTAGTGGGAGAGGTTAGAACCCAGAGGTTCTGATTCAGCAGTTTGGAGAAGGGGCCTGAGAACGTGCATTTCTACAGTTCCCAGGTGATGCTCATGCTGTGGTGCCTGGACCCCACTTTGAGAACCACTGTTCTGGGCCAGCGTCCTCCGTCTTGGGCTTTGGAGATGCTCGGAGAGCAGCTGGAGAGCTTTGACAATGACAACCAGGACGGGGGTCCACCGCAGAGGCTCTGCTGTGATTGGTCTGGGGCATGGCGTAGGGGGAAGGGTTCTGGAAGCTCTCCCATCATGCAATGTCCGGGTACAGCCAGGGTTGGGGTTCCTGCTCTGTACCTTGCTGTGTCCCAATGTGTGAAGACGAAATGAGGCAGTGGGTGTCAAACGGCTCTGCCACAAATGCAGGTGTTAGGTCTCCTGGCCAGAACGCTGCCGGCGCAGAACCCAAATCAGATAGTCGAGTGCATGCCTGGGCCCTTACAAACGATTAAGACCAAATCAAGGCCAAAGAAAATGAATAACAGATGTCTGGGAGATGCTGAGGCCTTAAAAGTGTTTATCACGTCTGACTTTGAGAAAATATTGGCTGGGATCAGATAAGAGGCAACTCCCGGGGCCAGCGGTGCCTTGTCCTAAGGTGCCCGCTGAGCTCAGGAGGTGCGGGCTGCAGGGCCCCAAGCAGGCGCAGGCGTCCTCCAGCCCCGGCTTCGACAGCTGACTGCTTTCCTTCTACTTGGAAAATGCTTGCTCCACTTTAGCCCACTTGTGATGGTGTCGCGGAGTAGCAGCTGTGGGAAGGGGCTTCAGGAGTTGTGGTCCTGCTCAGACAGGATGCTTGGCATTTGGGGATGGGTTGGTGAAGTTAGAAACAAAACCAAAACCCACAAACACAACAAAACATCAAAATAACAATCTCCCCCTCAACACCCAGTTAAACTTGAATTTCAGATACGCAATGAAAAATTTTGGGATAAGTATGTCCTATGCAACACTCGAGATGTATTAATACTTATACTAAGAAATTACTGTCCGGTCGTGGTGGCTCACGCCTGTAATCCCAGCACGTTGGGAGGCCGAGGCAGGTGGATCACTTAAGGTCAGGAGTTCGAGACCAGCCTGGCAAACACAGTGAAACCCCCGTCTTTACTAAAAATATAAAAAATTAGCTGGGCGTGGTGGCGGGCGCCTGTAATCCCAGTTACTCAGGGGCTAAGGCAGGAGAATCGCTTGAACCCGGAAGGCGGAGGTTGCAGCAAGCTGAGATCACACCACTGCACTCCAGCCTGGGCAACTAGAGCGAAACTCCGTTTCAAAAAAAAAATTACTCGTGGGTTCTCTGCATTCCAATTTTAGCGGGCATCTTGCGTGTTCTCTGTACCCCTATCTGGGGAGGGCTTTATTTTCTTCAATGGCGTCCCCGCGTCAGAGCCTGTGTCTTGCACTCTCCCCCTGAGTGGGTAGCAGAGGTGTTATCACAAGAAGGAAGGTTCTGGGGAGTCGAATGACAGGCTTATGCCGCTAGCAGGGCGGGCGTGCCAGGGACTAGGCCGCTTCGCAGGTTCGCTTTTCTCCTTTCCATTGCGCTGAACTCAAGGAGGAGAAGGGAAAGTGGAAGCTGCTCCACACACAGCTGAGTGTGCATGGCTGCTATGTGACAGCCTGAGGTCTGTTCGGTGACCCCCGGCCCCTCAAAGGGCCCGCAAAGACTCAGAATTAGCTCCACTTACCACGGTGCCCGCGGATGGGGGTGCGGATCAACACCCCAGCGGAAGGCCGCTCCTGGGCCCCCAGGGCCTCGCTGGCGGCCACTTGGGGGCAGCAGGCGGCAGCAGACGCCCACCCTGCCGGGGAGGTGGGGCCCGCAGGCCCCAGGACCGCTCTAGGAGCCCGGAAGGCCTGCGCAGGTGGGGGGCACCGTGTTCCGGAAGCCTGGCCCCGAGCGCTGTGCGGGGCGCCCGGGGACGCTCAGCGAGTGTCTGTCCCAGCCCTGAGCTCAGTGAAAGATTGCAGAGTCCTGGGCCCACGAGGGGGTCTCCGCTGTGTCCAGACGCCCTTCAGAGCAAAGGAGCCACAGGCGGGCGCTCTCCCAGTGTCTCTCGGGAAGCGTGA
Source organism: Homo sapiens (assembly GCF_000001405.40). NCBI lineage: Eukaryota > Metazoa > Chordata > Mammalia > Primates > Hominidae > Homo > Homo sapiens. Next base: position 10,032,842 of record NC_000018.10, read on the forward strand.
CCTCGACTTCATGCCCGGGAGAAGCGGCCAAGGCCGGGCCGCGCCTGTCCAGGGAAGCCTGAACGGCCGCCCTGGGGTGTGAAGGGTGCGGGTGGGGGTGAAGTTCCTGAAGGTGAGGAGGGACTCACGCTCGGTCAGATCTGACGGGGGTTAGGAAGGCAAAGAGTTATTTTTAAAGCTCAAGAAAAAGAGAAATGAACTTCATTTCCTTTTTGTTTGGCTCCAATTCCGTGCCTGACTATTCTTTTATGCTCAGGGTTGCTCAGCAGACACTGAGGCTGTGTTTTGTTCCAAGGGACTGAGATCAAATATTAGTTTAGCGAGGGTGAGAAACATGCTCTGAGTAACGTTCATTCCTGCTGCAGTAAATCTATGAGTGCCCGATGTGGGAAAATCAGACCCCGAGCCCAGCTGCCCAGACGAGCCTCTAGCGTTTTGCCTGTTTATGGACCTGCTGATACATTTAATGTCGGGAAGCCCGGGGAGGGCAAGGCTAACACCCATGCAGCCTTTCTAACCTCTTGTGGAACTAGGAAAACAGTGTGAGCTTCCAGGAGTGTGTATTTGGGAGGGGACACATATGCCTCCACACATAACAAAATCCGTGTGCATGCTTGTGTGTACCGTTTACATGTAGTGTGTGTGTGCACCTGCATGTGTGGGTTGGTGTGCATTTCTAGACGGCAAGAAATTCCAGTAGAACTTTTGACTTTCGTACTATTCTACAGACATTCTTTTCCATCCGTCCCCTGTAATGATGACTTCAATGGGTCAGATACTCTTGAGCCTTTTCATGAACGATCTTTGCTCCAAGTCTTCCCTCAGCTTCTCACTGCCTGCATCCTTCCGCGATTAGACTGGGATCTCAGTCTATTCCCAGAGGTCTGAGACTCTCGGCAGCCCAGCAGTCGTCAGAGAGACCATGGCGGGAGGGCATCTTAGCCTTCACTCCTTCTACTGCAGGTTTGAAACTCAGGCTCCCTTAAAGGTAAACCAGGATATCACACAGATAATAATAGTATGATAATAAACTCACATTTGTATGGTGAGTTAGGATTTACAGTTTCCCTACATTTTTTTCATTTAATCCCAGAGCCAGAGCCACCAGAACGTATGTGGTCCTCACATGTTCCTCCACAAAGAGACTGATGGAGAGACAATGAGGTTAGGTAGACAGCAAGAACAATTTTGGCCGCCTCATTTTCTCAACTAATTTGAGATTTCTCTTCCAGGCTGCTGGTGCCAAGAGATGGGTGGATCGACAGGTCTTGTTAGCAAGGACAAAGGAAATTGTTTTGTTATTGGCTTAGCTGTTATTTAAAATAAAAACATAAACATAATTAAAAATAAGCACTTTGGCCAGGGGCAGTGGCTCACGCCTGTATTCCCAGCACTTTGGAAGGCCGAGACCGAGGCAGGCAGGTCACTTGACCTCAGGAGTTTGGGACCAACCTGGCCAACATGGTGAAACCTCGTCTCTACTAAAAATACAAAAATTAGCCTGGTGTGGTGGCGCGTGCCTGTAATCCCAGCTACTGGGGAGGCTGAAGCAGGAGAATCGCTCGAGCCTGGGAAGCAGAGGTTGCAGTGAGCCAAGATCATGCCACTGTACTCCAGTCTCAGGGAAAGAATGAGGCTCTGGCAAAAAAAAAAAAAAAAAAAAAAAAAAAAAATTAGCCCTTTTGGTATGGCTGTGTTTTCTCTACACACATGAACAGTTTCTTTGAAAGGACAGCTTCCTTTTCCTGACTGTGCATCATCTGACCAAATTCCAAACTTCTGTAATTCAAGGAAATAATATACTTTGTGGAAAAATTAGAAAATATATATTAGCAAAGAAAGAATAAAGGCAAGCCGTGTGCAGCCCCATTACTCTGAGATGGCCGCTGTTGCTGCCATGGTGGGCCTCATCCCAGACTTTTCTCTATGCAAGCACAAACACACATGCTCAACTCAGTTTATTTTATTTTTACAAAACGGAAGTCATTCTGTACATACTGTTTTGTAATCAAAATTTTTCTTTTTGATATATCATGAACATTTTGCCCATCATGAAATATCCTTTTAAATTGTATGCAATTCCACTGTAAACATGTGGGTTTATTTGACATCTTTATTGTTGGGCATTTTATCTTGAGTGCTTAGAATGGAAACTAATTAACCCAGGATAGGAAGGTGCTCTATCTTTTATTCTGAAGATGTTATTAACATAGATTTCCATGGATGGTGTAATGGGCCTCTAGAGGGTGGGGCCAGGTGTGGCGATGGCCCAGGAGATTCTCAGGGGAGCCTCTTCCCTCAGGAGCCCCAGGAGGCACCTTTCTCTGTCTCCGTGGCATTTAGATCCGTGGAGTATGTTCACCTGAGTGTGACCTACAAGCTTAAGGTATTAATCCATGTTCCTCCCACATGGATTAATATCCGATGTGAAATTAGTAGGGAAAAAAAGACGTGCTCCGTGGCCACTGAGCCCTTCCCAGCGGGAGGATGCAGAAGTTGGAGGAAGAGATACTGTTACATCCCGCGGGCATTAGCTGCTTGTGGTTGGGAGGCATGCCTTTGATAATCAGCATCAGTATCTCTTTCATGTCACTGAACACAAAATGAGGCTGCATCAAAGAGCCTGTTTTAGAGAAGAAATTGTTGAACAGGCTTGACTGGGTTGAACGATACCAGAGGGGCAGGATCAGAGCACAGGCCGGTCTTCCCGGCCCAGCCAGGGGCACTCACTGGCCTGACTGCAGTTCCGGCAGCTCAGAGGTTGTCACAGTGCACGCGAGTGCCTCCCCACTCGACCCTTCCATGTGCTTGGCAGCAAGGGGCATGAGTCACCTGGTGGCCAGGTGTTTGTTACTCTGAGCTTTTGAGGTGCTGCAGAACTCCAATTACATAGCCTCCCTGATTTTTTTTCCCTCCTCTCTAATACTGACTTTTTGTTAATGCCAACCTACTAGTAGATACTTGTTCTTCTTCTGACACACTTGGGCATCCAACAAAAGCTTGCAAAAGAACAGCTTTTTGTTTGCTTGCCTTCAGGAATCTGGTTCAGTGAGCACTCCAGATATGGAAGGGCTTTATAATGATTCACAGCTTTCTTTGCTGGCCTTCAGGGGAACGTGACCTGCTTAGGTTCAATTTTGTGCATGTGTGACATAATTTTCCCTTCAATAATACAGACAAACCCTGATTCTAACTCCCAGTCGAACCCACTGGTCTTCTGATCTTTTTGCATTGCTAGCATTATTTAGTCTTAAATGAATTACTTTTTTAAAAAATGTTAGCACTATCTAAAGTGAGGAAAACTCTCACAAAGAGTTTTGTATGAGAATGAAAACACATGATGTGTTTTAAACATTGGAATCCCAGAAGGAAGAAACAAGGTAGTGTTTTCAGTTATTTCCACTGAGGAGGTTTAAACAGGATAGATAGTCATGTATTAAAATCCCCAACCACTGTTTAGGACCAAGCCAAAACTTTTAAAATAGCTTTTGAATGGAGAAATGAAAGGCTCAAAACCACTGGGTAAAGTTGGAGGAGGATCGCCTCTTCTCCCTGGAATGCTTTTGCTGGTTTTTGTCCTCTTTGGTTAGATCTCACTGGTCTCGTTCCTTCTTTCACTTTTAATTGGACTGCAACACCCAGGCAGAAAACTCAGTCCCAGAAAGGATCGGAGTGGCATGGCAAATGTGAGATCAGAGGCAGGAAACCATGATGACCTCTTAGCATGGGAATGAGCTTTAAAGAACAGTGCTGCCTATCCTGATCCGGGTACCAGGAGACAGACAGCCCCAAAGGAGTGATGTGCATTGGTGAATCCAGATGTAGACTTTTTTTTTTTTTTTGAGAGACAGGGACTCACTCTGTCATCCAGAGTGGAATGCAGTGGCGCAATCATAGCTCACTGCAGCCTCGACCTCCTGGGCTCAAGCGATCCTCCTACCTCAGCCTTCCAAGTAGCTGAGACCACAGGAACACACAACCACACCTAATTTTTAAATTTTTGTAGAGATGGGGGTCTCACGATGTTGCCCAGGTTGGTCTTGAACTTGTGGGCTCAAGTGATCCTCTGCCTCAGCCTCCCAAAGTGCTGGCATTACAAACATGAGCTATTGTGCCCAGCGAGCCACAGATTTTCTTTATTAGGATGGAAGGGCTGAACTTTTTTTGGAGGTGTGGTGTTGGAGAGTTGTGGGGGGGAGCAGTGTGGGCAGTACATTGTAGGGCGCTGAGGATGTTGTTTGTTTTGATCCATACCTTGGAATCAGGAGTAACAAATATCGAAATTGGGCCCCTACCAAAGAGTGTACGCTTCGGTCAATATAGGGTGAACAGCCTTACTAAGTAACTAACCTGGTCAAAATTATTACAAGCAAGCTCCAAGTAAGCCAACGCAGACCACCTGGTGATGGGAGGACTTTGCTAACCTCTGTGAGACACACAGCTTGGGCCAGTCCATACATGGTGTTTGCTTTCCACAGGGCTTCCCGGCTGGACTGGCACCTCCTCCTCACACTGAGAAGCTCAGGTTCCTCACTGGGCCCCAGCTTTTGGAACTCAGGCCCTGCATGGCATCTCTTGTGTCCCTGTGCTTGGTAAAAGGCCTGCGTGGTTTTGGGTGAATCCATGAAGCTGGGCCCCAGTGGACTCTGTTAGTGGCATTCTCGGTTTCCTTCCATCCCTGCATTGCTCCTTCTCAGATCCATCGTCCTCCTCCCACGTAGACATCTGTCTCAAGGGACTGTCCTCACCTGCCTTCTTCTCTTCCTCTCCCTCCTCCTTCTAATATTTTCTCATCTCAACCCCATGGTTTTGTCCATTTCCTTTATGCACGCTTGGCCTGCAGGTGCCTTGGGGAGAACCCACATTTTAGTTCATCTTTGTACCCAGTGGTGCTCAGCACAGCACCTGGCACACAGCGGGTGCTCAAGACATTTGTTAAATATGTAAATGTATTTTATACATTAAACAAGTACATAAATGATGGATAAAGATGACACAAAAATGAAGTCCACCAATAATGTAAGCGTTATCTTGGCTGGTGGTTTTGCCCAAGAGCAGGGAAGATGTGCCCAGGGGGAGGCTGGGAATGCCCTCTTGCCCTGGGAGATGACTGCCCTCCTGACCACGTGGCACACAGCATGAGCGGACTTTGAATATGTGCACTTCTGTTATGACTGCAACTGTTTCCTTGGGAGAAGGAACCAAAGTAAGGAGGTCCCGTGTAAGCCATTGATACCCGAGGCCCTGCAATCTGGCTTCTCCCTGCCAAGGGCATCAGAGAGAGCAAGGCTCTCAGTGTACTAATCAACCTGTGTCCGTCAAACACACATGGCTGTGCTATGCATGGCACAGGGGAATGACGTGATCAGTAGTAAGAGGAAGAAGACAGACTGGAAAAACCCAAAATGTGTGATATCTTAATAGAAATCCCATGATTAAATCAAGGATCAAGTTTTTTTGTTTTTGTTTTTTTTTCAGATGGGCTGTTAGGGTCCCTTAAAAGCCACATTCTCTGTCCTGGCATAGCCATCCTGGGTTGAGTTCAACAAGTGTGTACTGAGCCCAGGACATCTATACATAGGCAGGATATGCACACAGATCATTGCACACAGGGAGCATCTAAGGCCCCCTGCTGGTGCTGGTGCTAGTGCTAGGGTAATGAAGACAAGACATTTGTCTCCAAGAATCTCGCTGTCTGACTGGGGAGGCCAACATGGCAACGTGTAATTTACAAATAGCATGTGGAGTGCCCTGCTATTTGTGCTCAGGGACAGGGAGGCACAGAGGAGGCATTCTCAGTTCAGCCCAGGGGTCAGGGAAGGCTTCCTGGGGAAGGTGTCTTTGGGAATTAGGATGGGTTTCTCTGTTTGAGCACATCATCACTTATTTCCTTTGCACCGAGTCTCTTGAAAGCTGATACAAAGCGAGCTTGGTAGTCTTGCACTGGAGCTGGTTTGGCAGGTTGAAATCTGGATTAGTAAACCAAGGTTTCCCTGGATTGTCTAACTTAGTGGATACCTTGGGACAGGCTTCCTACCTCACCCTGCTGCAGTGTGCTCTCCTGAAACAAATGCCACAAATGCTTGATGTGATTTGCCACTAGCTGGTGCCTGGGAAGTCTGGGTGCCCTGTGGCACTCCTGCCTGGGACAATGTAATGGATTCTGGCAAATGCATGTCTCCCAGGCACTGGAAGTGCAGAGAGCCATGAGCTGATACTAGAGGTAGCTGCACTCACGTGCCGAGTGCAGAAATCGTACATCCATTGTTTACACAATCATAAATGGGAGCGTGACATTAAAAGAAGATTAAAAGAAAAAGGAAACAAGGAAAACCCAACCAACCAGGAGAACAAAATCTTTAATCCTAAACTCCCATGAATCAGTTTGAAACCAAACCATATATTTTTAATTTATTGAACTGAAAAAATAAGGGCATCAGATTGTTTTAAATTCAGCAGATTTCCATTTTGTTTGGCTTCCTGGCCACCTATAGGATGACTAATAAGAGGATTAAAGAGGCTGGGTGTGGTGGCTCACACCTGTAATCCCAGCACTTTGGGAGGCTGAGATGGGTGGATCACCTGAGGTCAGGAGTTTGAGACCAGCCTGGCCAGCATGGTGAGACCCTGTCTCTATTAAAAATACAAAAATTAGCTGGGCCTGGTGGTGGGTGCCTATAATCCTAGCTACTTGGGAGGCTGAGACAGGAGAATCACTTGAACCTGGGAGGCGGAGGTTGTAGTGAGCCGAGATTGCGCCACTGCACTCCAGCCTGGGTAACAAAGAGCAAAACTCCATCTCAAAAAAAAGAAAAAAAGAGGATTAGAGAGAAGCTGGAGCATCCTGGCACATGGCAGTGATGAGACATCAGGCTCCTTCCACTTGACTGCTGGAGAGCAGTTGTGTCATCTGCCCCCAGGTTTCCAGTGGGGCTGGTGGTTGAGGACACCCATGCCCCATCAGCAACTGTGCCCAGGCCTCCTCAGCAGCTGGAGGTTATTCTCGGCTTCTCTTTTCCACGTCTTGACTCTCAACTCAGTTTCCTCAACTGCAGAATGGAGATAATGCATGGCCTGCCTCCTCCATAGTGATTTTGAGTTTACTGTATTTGTATATATCTATATTGGAGTTAACTTTCATTGGGCTAGTTGACTTCATATTGAATTTTATAGACTTACACTGTCCAATACAGTAGCCACTAGTCACATGTGGCTATTTAAATTTAAATCTAAATTAATTAAAATTAAATAAAATAAGAGAGTGACATCTGTGAAAATGAGGGAGTAAGGATCTTCAAAAATTCCCACCTCCGTACAAGCAATGAGAACAGTGGCAAAAACTGTCAGAATCAACTTTTCAGGACTCTGGAAGTTAACCAAAGGCTTGCAGCAACTCGAGAAGTGTTTGCTCAAGAAAAATGTCTGAATCTTCATAAGAACAATGAGTTTTATGATGTTTTAATTTGCCCTATTTCCATACATACCCTTATCCCCTGGTCTCCATGGTAGTCTTGAAGATATGCAGCCTTCAATTACAGAGAAAACCAGCAGCCACTGGAGGGGGCAGAATAGGGATGGAGTGCCTTCAAAGGCCTATTTCCAGAGAGTTGTCAGCATTTGACCTTTCTGTTGGTTCCCTGGAAGATCTCATTCTCAAGGCTGTCTTTATTTGAGTTGACTTGAAGCTTTCCAAGTGTAAACAGACTTTTCTCCAGGGCTGTTTGTCAAAAAAAAAAAAAAAAGAAAAAAAAAGAAAAAAAAATCAGAGGCAATTATTGAACATCTCAGCGACCTGGATAACAGTTCACTGGATAACAGCTGGGGCAAATAAAAGGCTGACCAAAAAGCTTAAAAAGAAATTTGGGAAGTGAGACGTCCATACAGACTTTGAAAAGCTCCAACGTATTCCTAGGTCTCTAGAGAGCCATATTCATGCCCAGGGCTGAGCACATTCTCAGGAAAGACTGGATAAGGCCATGAGCTCTCATATTTGACTAGCCTTGAGATTCTGCACAAGTGGGAAGTGAACGATAAGGCAGAGTTGTAAACAGCCTGGCTGAGTCACACTGAGCAGAGACTGGTAGACTTATTGGTTCCAGGCACTTAAAGATGGCCTCTTTCTAATCATTAGCTGATCACAAAGCTAACCAAACAGAGATTTCAGTGGCCACAACAACAAAGGACATGGAATTTACATAATTAGTTCAGAAAAATCACCAACCAAACAAGCAACACATAAAGCAATGAATAACAAGAGCAAAATACTCTAGGGAGTGAGGTGTGGGGGGGATCTGATTTTCAGAGTTTCCATATTATATTTGCAAGAGGACAGATCCCTAGATGCCCTTGGCCAATCCAGCTCTTCCCCACTCTTCTTGTAATTCTTGGGCAGAATGTACCAAGGATACAATGTCCAGAGATAAGGAGAAAATGTCTGGAACAACCACAGCTGTGTCCTTATTCCTCCCAGAACAGGATGTTCTGCAATGCTCAAGCTCAGCAAACAAAGTGACATCCAGGGTATAAAATGCAGAGCAGAGTGCTTTCAGGGTCCCTCAGCTGGGATTTCACATGGGGCAAGCACAGATGAGACTCCATCTGCCCTGGGCAGCTTTCCTGAGCCTTGGGGGACTGGCTCACCATAAATCCTAAGCTTCTGTTTATCCTTGCTGCCTATTTGTGAGTAATAAAATCTGCTTTGCCTGACTTGTGTGAGTGTTCTGTTTCACCAGACTAGACTTAAAAGCCTTTGCAATATTATTTAAAATGTCTAGTTTTCAACAAAAATTATGACACATGCAAAAAATATGAAATATAGCTTTATAGAAAGGGGACAATAGCAATTAATAGGAACTGTGTCTGAGGAAGCCCTGATGTTGGACTTAGTAGATGAAGACTTTAAATCAATTACTTTAAATATGCACAAAGAGCTAAAGAAAATTATACACAAAGAAATAAAGGAAACCATGAGGATCTCTCACCAAAGAGACAATGTCAACAAAGAGGTGGAAATTATAGAAAGGAAGCAAATAGAAATTCTGGAGTTAAAAAGTACAATAATTTGAAATGACACATTCACCAGAAAGTTTCAAAAGAAGATTTGAGTAAGCAGAAGGAATAATTAGTGAACTTAAAGATAGATCAATGGTTATTATTCAGTCTGATGAGCAGAAAGAAAAAATAATGAAGGAAAATGAACAGAGATTAAGACACCTATTGAACACCACTGAGTGGGACCAACATAAACACAATACAATCCCAGAATGAAGAGAGAGAGACAGAAAGGGCAGAAAAATATTTGAGGAAATAATGGCCAAAAACTTCCCAATTTGATTTAAAAACCATTAATTTAACATCCAAGAAGCTCAACGAACTCAAAATAAGATAAACTCAGGCTGGGTGTGGTGGCTCACACCTGTAATCCCAGCACTTTGGGTGGCTGAGGCAGGTGGAACCCTTGAGCTGAGGAGTTTGAGACCCACCTGGGCAACATGGTGAAACCACGTCTCTACTAAAAATACAAAAATTAGCCAGGAGTGGTGGTGTGTGCCTCCAGTTCCGGCTATTCAGGAGGCGGAGGTGGGAGGATTGCTTGAGCCCAGGAATTCTAGGCTTCAGTGAGCCATGTTTGTGCCATTGCATTCCAGTCTGGGCAACAGAGTGAGACCATAAGACTCTGTCTTCACACCCCCCAGCCCCCCAAAAAAAGACAAACTCCCACACCTAGGCATGCTATAATAAAACTGTTGAAAGCAGTAAGAGAGAAGTGACTCATCACATATAAGACATACGTAAGAAATATTTTCATCGGAACCCACGGAGGCCAGAAAACAGTTGGATTACATAGTTGAAGCACCAAAAGAAAAACACCGTCAACCAAGAATTCTACATCCAGCAAAACAATTAGTCAAAATTAAAGAAGTAATTAAGGCATTTCCAGATAGACAAAAACTGAGATAATTTGTTGCCAGCCGATTTGCCCTATAGAATATAATATACAGGCTGAAATAGAAGGTCATTAGTAACTTGAAGAAATCCATATTAAGAAATAAAGGGCACAGAACCAGATAAAGGTAATTACATAGGTAAATATGGAAGGAAAATATAAATGTATGTTTCTTTTGAACTCCTTTTATTCTCCTATGTGATTTAAAAGACAACTGCATAAAACAATACAGATTGATCACATTCTGATTCTTTTTAGTCTTTATGTAGATATAGTATCATATGGGTCAATCATAGTTTTCCATGTGCCTATAGATTGCTGTTTTCTGCCTTAAATTTTCTTAAATTAACAAATTAAAAAATTGCATATATTTATTGTGTTCATGTTGTTTTGAAATATGTATATATTATGAAATGGCTAAATCAGCTAATTAACATATGCATTACCTCACATACTTATTTTTGTGGTAAGAATACTTAATACCTAGTCTCTTATGTTTTTTGTATTTTTATTATTACAAATAATACTGAAGTGACCATCACATAGATGCATTGGCATACTTTTGTGAGTGTTTTACCTGTAGGGTAAATTCTTAGCTGAGAAGTTTTGAGTCAAAGGCTATATGTAGGTAGAATTTTTATAAGTTTTGCCTATTGATTTCCCAAGAGGATGCTCCACATTACATTTCTGTTAATAATATATGAGAGTGCCTATTTTTTTACCCTCACTAATACTTGGTATTATTAATCTTTTAAATTTATATCAATGGACAAATACATAATATTTCACTTACATTGCATATATTTATTTTTGAATTAGGTTGAGCATATGTTCAAACATTTTTGGCCATTTATATTTCTGTTTCTGTGAACTGTTTATTGGGCCTTTCATAAGCCTATTAATAGCTGGTTATCTTCTTATTTAGTTGTGAGAGAAAAGCCAGATTTTGGGGGATCCTAGTTACCCTATTCAACTTCGGGGAAAATTCTTGATCTCAGTTGGATTCCCTTCCTTTGTCTGTGGAATGGGAGTGGATGAGCATGCTTTATGGAGGTGTGCGGTATGCCTCGCACATCTTTGGTGCTCAGTGAGCATGAATCTCCTTCCCTCTCCAAAGCGGCAATGGCTTATGTTGAGCTCTGCTCCAAGTCTCTCTGCCCTCCTCTTCTGCCAGCGGCCAGGGAAAGCACTTTGCTTTTAAGGGCTCCTGCAACTAGGTCAGGCCCACTGGACAATCTCCCAATCCAAAGGCCAACTGTGCCATGGAGTAGAACCTAATCATGGTGTGATATTTTGCCACACTCACAGGTTCTGGGGATTAGGCATGGCATCCTGAAAAGGGGTTGTGCTTTTTAGAATCCTTCCTATTCATACCATGGCCTTGGGACTTTTTCTTTCCTTTTTTTTCAAATACAGACTTGGGTGGAGCCCTGCTAGACAGAGTAGGTGAAAGTGGAGCTGCTGTGGGTGGAGACGGGAGGGAAGGCTGGGGCTCCCCTGGTGGGAGCCATCAGAATGTGATCAGTCTGCATTGTTTTATGCAGTTGTCTTTTAAATCACATAGGAGAATAAAAGGAGTTCACTCAAGGCAAGACCCCAACAACTGAAATCTTCAATTTGAATGTTATGGGTTGAAGGCATTGAAGGCTACTTCTTGGATCATGGGCTCCACTGGACAGGGTGAAGCATCAAACCGTTGGCACCTTTCTTAAATAGTTTATTTTATTTTATTTTTTTATATACATTTTAATTTAATTTTTCTAAAAAATATTTGTTTTTCATCTTTTTTTATACAAACTTTTGCTTACCCTCTGCTTTTAAAATTTTTATTTTTTATTTTTATTGTTATGGATTTAGGGATACAAGTGCAGCTGTGTTAAATGGATATACTGGGCCAGGTGTGGTGGCTCATGCCTGTAATCCCAGCACTTTGGGAGGCCAAGGTGGGCAGATCTCCTGAGGTCAGAAGTTCAAGACCAGCCTGGCCAACATGGTGAAAGCCTGTCTCTACTAAAAATACAAAAAATAGCCGGGTATGGTGGTGGGTGCCTGTAACCCAGCTACTGGGAAGGCTGAGGCAGGAGAATCATTTGAACCCGGGAGGCTGAAGTTGCAGTGAGCTGAGATTGCATCACTGCACTCCAGCCTGGGCGACAGAGTGAGACTCTGTCTCAGGAAAAAAAAAAAAAAAAAAAAAAAAGAGGATATACTGTGTAGTGGTGTAGTCTCGGCTTTTAGCGGACTCACCACTGACATAGTGTTCATTGTACCCTGTAGCTAGTATTTCATCTCTAACCCCTCCTGCCCTCAATGTCTATTACTCCTCTCTGTATGTCTGTGTGCACCCGTTGTTTAGCTTCCACTTGTAAGTGAGAACATGCAGTTCTTGGCTTTCTGTTTTTCTGAGCCATTTCACTTAGGATAATGTTAGCAGTTTATTGGGGTAGCTGTTGCTGAAATAGGGTCCTGAATGGTTCAGCCACAGGACCAATTGGTTTGGATAAAACAGGAGAGAGAAGCACCAGATCCTGATGTAGCTGAGGGGCCGCAGGGAAAAATCCTGTGACATCAGGGGGCTGCCTGCCACTAAAGGGAGCCCTATGGCAAAGAGGAAAACAGGTCTCTGGGTGTGAGGGCCAGGCCTGGCAAGACGCCGCATGGGACGCAGAGCCAGACAGACAGAACGCGGACAGAACGCGAGCAGCTTTATGAAAGGCCGCTGTGTGCCGCACTGACTCTCCAGGGGGGCAGGAACCAGGCCTGGAGGCGACAGGGCCTGGAACAACAGGAGAAACACAGCCAGGAACTGAGCTTAGCTACAGCAGGGACAGACATCTTCAGGACACTACCACCACTGCCATCCCCACGAGGTCCCCGAGGCTCAGGACTGGACGCCAGAAGCGGCCTCGCAGAGGTCAGGGTCTCCAGCGTGCACCGGCTGGAAGCCCGGATCCCCACCCATGGCTGCCGCCTGTTGCTCCTCACATCAGCATCTAACTTTTTTAGTTTTGCCCATTTCACTTGTTTGGCAGCAGAGGCGAGTGGGAAAGGCAGTGTTCAGATTCCCACCTCTGTGGGACAGGAGGCCGGGCCGAGGAGGCTGGAACAAACGGGTGTTGAATCAGCCAACTTCAGCATGTGCCGTTCATGCCAAAGGCAGGCTTCTCCTTCGCACTGTAATCAATTAAAAACCTGTTACTGCTGCAAGGGCAGCGCCTTTTAATTGCGATTCCCAGTAAGAGGTACATGTAGCATCATGACCTGGTATACGTGCACACACCCCAATCCCCATGTAAATAATACTGAGCCCAATGTTTCATGAAACAATGCCTGTACAGCCATGTACTCCAATATAGACAATTACATTTAATTTGTAAAAACTTGATTATAATTTCACAACCCACGAATGGGTTGCAAGTAGTAAGTTGAGAAATGCTTTTCTAGGGCTTGTTTGGACTTCACATAAGGGATTCAAAGCAGTTTCTCTCTGTATCTTCAGAATTCTGGCAGAATCAGGCCTCTGGATGTTCCAGGGAGTGTCCTGGTTCCCTGGCTCTTACTACAAGACAGCAGTTCAGATCCATGGAACGTCTCGACTGTTCTGCCTCACGGTGACTTGATCCATCAACTGAATAGGACAGCATCTGATTAGATTTTAGAGGCAAGAGCGTCGGCTCTTCCTACTTTCGAAGATTTTCTTTCGGCACCCACTTGGCCTCATGTTACCACCCCTTTCCTCTCTGGAGGAGCTGGAGAGAATGGCTGGATGGATGCATTTGGGGGAGTGGCTGAGCATGCGCGGTGAGATCCACTCTTCCGCGTGAGCTGCGTGCAGGGAGTTCTCTCCCACCCCCCACCTCTCTCCCCCACTCTACCTTGTCTCCCCAGGCAGCAGTGACTGTCTGTGGGGTCCATGGGGGCCTGCCTGCTGTCCAGGTCAGCCCTCTCTGCCTCTTATCAGTAATGAGCTGATGTTTGGGTTCTCATCTCTCACTTCTTACTCTAATTCCCAATTTATTCATGGGGAAGACAGAGGCTCATTTACTGGGACTTCTTCAGCAATGACACTGGTCTCAACTTATTGGCAGGGAAAATGAAGCAGAGGATCCCAGATCCCACAGTATGTTAATGGAAACCCAAGGCTAGAGGCCAGCGCCCCAGGCTTCCAGCCCCAGCACATCTCTTGAGTACTTTGCTGGTTCTGATGTGCCACAAATACTAAACAATAGCAATGTCCTTGAGGCAATCCTTGGAGACCATTGTCAGCACTTTGAGGTTTCTATCTCCATTGGGCTTGCAGCAGATGCAAGTGGAAAATGGTGATAAAAACCTACTGCCCTGTCCTGGTTTACCCAAGGTCCCAGAGCCACTCTAAAGCCATGAGGTGGTTACATACAGGCATGGATCCATCTGTCCCAAGTGCTTGAAACAATGCCTGGTAGATGACAAGCCTTCAGTAAATATTGGTAGAATTGAATGAGATCATTAGACCATTAAAATACTTGTTTTTAATCACTTCTAAGAGGTTTCTAGGGTGGCTTCAGGCATTTCTTCTTATTTTCAATCCCTACACCATCCTACAATGATTCCCCTTTTATGGATGCGAAATTGAGGATAAGGTCAGTTGGCTGAGTCATGCAAGACCACACAGCTGGTAAGCCGCTGAGCTGTGATTCAGATCCCAGGCTGTTTGACTCCGAAACCTGAAGGCTTTTATTTATAACGTTCTGATATTGCGGCCACAGACATCAAGCTGGCCATGAGAGAAATCACCATAAAGAGAGCCCTGCTCATGTAGGTTGCCTCTCCACGCATCAAGCAAGGGTGGCTTTGACTTTGGGAACTCTATTGGTACAAAGCAGTAAGCCCAGCCGTCGGCATGCAGAGCTGTTCCCATCTGTACCAACGAAGCCCAAAGCTTCCGAACGTATTCCATATCCACGCTGCAGCGCCTGTCTGCAGCGCCTGTGAATGCCAAAAGGCACTTCGGGCACGACTTTTGTAAAAAGGAGTATTTTCCAAGTTCAAGTTGAATAGATATTTTGGAAAATACATTCTGTAGGGTTCTTCTGGGGGTCATTTTGAGAAAATCTCACATACCCTTTTCTGTGGTCCCTTTTATTTAGTAACACATGCACGCACAGACACACGCATGTGCACAATGATGGCGGGCTGATGTGGCAAGTGTGCCTGACGCTTTCTGTTGGGTGGTCTTGAGTGTTGATACTAGAGTTTATGCAGCAGCTGGGTAATTAATTGTTGGAGAAATTGCCAAGGATATTTTCAAACAGAAGCCTTCCCCCACCGGCCAGTTACTGAATCGGGTGTGAAGGACTGAAAGACAGCCTCCTCCTCTGGCTGAGATGAAGCCTGACCCTCGACTCCTTGAGGACTCAGAGTCCCCCAGCCCTGTCCTTGTGTTCTCAGGACAAGAATATGCGAGATGCTATGTAATGGTGTGGAGACTTTAGAGACACAAACTAGATGCAGGTATTCAAATTAAAGGCATGAAATTGACTACAGAAGCCAGCTCTATTTAAGTTCACATAACTAACTAGGGGTTTTCAAACCTTAGGGTGTGTGAAGTCACTGTGAAGCTTGTTAAAATGGAGATTCCTGACTCCTACTCCCAGAGGGGTTCTGATTCAGTTGACCCGAGCTTCAGAAGTTTTAATTTTTAATAAGTAGCTCAGGTTCACACCAGAATTCCACCTGTCTGGCCAACTGGGCATGTCAGAAGAGGCACAACAGGTATACACAGGGGTGAACTTCCTGAGCTTTGGGCTTCCTAAATCAGACACATTACAACTTTATTTTAAGGAAAAAATGGAAAAATAACTTGAAAGGACCAAATGGAGAAATGGGTTGAAATTGTGGTTCATGAACATAATAAAGTATTGTGTGGCCAATAAAAATAACACAGGTACACTCATAATATGGAAACAAGAAAAAACATGCTCTCATGGTGATTACAGTGATGTGGGCAGATTATGGGGAGGTAATAACAGAAATAACCTGATTGTTCTCAATAGTATTTAATTTCCTCTACTCAATTATTTTGTAAAAGTCTTCAGTACAAGCTCAGTATGAAAATATTGTGTGTTTTGCATTTTGCATTAATACTGGGCTCTGTAACAAGTAGAAAGAAGATGTAATTCCTATCTACAAGAAGCCAATGGCTATAAGATGAGCAAAATGTCAAGAAATCTAGAGGTGGTGTAGAAAAATTGCAGACTTTTTGGCCAGAAGATTTGTGTTTAAGTTTCAACCTTAGTACCAAAGTGGACAACCACTGGCAAATATTTTAACCTCTCTTAGAGCCAGTTTTCACACCTTTCAAGTGAGAATAACAATAACTACTACCTTAGGAGTTGTGATAATGGTACATGAGGCTAATAAAAATAAACATACCTTATAAGCTATAAAATGCTATTAAATATAAATGTGTTTTCCGCAAAGCAAAACAGTGAAATGTCAACTTAAGAAAACTTTCCCCTTTAAGGTTTTTTCACTTATGAGATTAGAAACCCATCTTTGGCTTGATTAATAGTGAGTTCTTGCAATCAAGCATCTCTGAGACTTGTGTGTGTCAGACAGCAGAGAGGATACGATGGCATCCCAGGGTCAATCAAGCACAACGTGCACTGTGGTCCTGGCATGCACTATCAACTGAAGCTGTGTCCACCAACAAGCCCATGCTTGTCTTTGTCTGTAGAGGGTGATGGAAAAGCCCATTGGGGAGGGATGGACACAGTCACCTGGAGTGTCCATTCACTTTCCTCCTCCCCAATGCCCTGCACACAGATTGTGCATCCAGCTCTGGCTGTGGACCTGTGGTGTCGTGATGACCTGGGACAGAGAGCAGGAGGACGTTCCCTTTGGTGCCTCTCATTCCCTATGTGCTGGTTAGCACATCATTAGGCCTGATGGAAGGCTCTGCCAGGCCCTCCCCCACCGAGGGCCCCATCAACAGGTGAGTGGGGTCCATTTTGCTGGAAAGACTCTGGAAGGCTGGAGAAGAGACTGAGTGCTCTCTCTCTCTCCTATGGGAAGGCAGTGAGCTAGTGCCCTCTTGGGAATGCAGTGGGAGAACTCACCAGATGCTTCCAGCAAAGCCGGGAAGTGCTAGTGAATTACACGATGATTTCCACACTGTTTATCAAAGATCTTCTGCTCCAATATAAAGCTCCCAAATATGGTATTTCATGATGTGGCTGAGATGTGGCCAAGTGTCCAAGACACATAAATATTTATGAAATAAGCAAGCAAATGCACTTGGAAATGCATTTCTGCCTCAGTATTAATGCGGTGGTCATTGGCATTGATTCTCAAAGTGAGGCCATTTTATGGATCATTCCCAGCAGGGACTAAGAAAACATATCAATGTCCAGAACTTTTAAGATCCAGGAAGCACAGGGGGAGAGTAATATTTTCCAAGGGAAGGTAACATTTTTACACCCAGAGAGTCAGGAACCCCATTCAGTGCTGAGCACAGGAGAATTCAGAGGCATTAGCTTCTGTGAGACTTGGGTTCGAGTCCTAGCTTTGGTCCTCTCTGTGACTATGTGCAAAAACTCCACCTCTCTGAACTTCAGTTGCTTTGTCTATAAACGCTGTCCATGTCTCATGGGGTTATTGTGACGATTAGATGAGATAATATGTATAAAGTGTCTGGCCAATATCATGCACTCCTTAAATATTAGTTTTCCTTTTCCTTGAATTATTGTATTTGTTTTGAAAACCTTGGGTTCTACCAAATCTCACATTCCTTCCCCAGGACGTTCCTCTCAGTCCTGGTGTGTATATGCAGTGAAAGTGAATCCACATGGTCTTCACTTGTGTCTACTAAAAACATCAAAATGTTATTCCAGAAGATTTGTTTGATGTTCAAAATACTAAAGCGGCAGCACTGAGTGGCATGCTCTGAAGATGCCTGTCTCGCTGGATTTTAAAGTGGCACCAGTCAATGCCTTTAGCATCCCTCCACTTACAGTGGTCCTAGAGATAACATGGGCTTATAAAATAGCAAAGCCTGGCACATGATTGCACTTTTTGCTGTAAAATGCTTTCACAAATATTTTCCCATTTAATCACAAAACAGCTCTGTGTGTGTGTGTGATCAATGCAATTGTTGTCCAGCCTTACAGATGGGTTTAAGTAGAATCTCAGAGGTTTCACGCCACTTGTCTAAAGGCAAAAAGCTGATAATTGGCAATAGTAGGTTTCAGATCATATTTTCAAAGGTAGAGCATCCCACAGCCACCTGGAGCCTAGAAATTAGAGGCTGTTCAACATGATTCATCTCTCCCTTTGCCTTACTTTTTCTTGGTTTCCTATGGGAATTTCCACAGGGGTTTTAGCATTTAGAAAGATCTCGTGGATTCATTGCTCAATGAGCAAAGTCACTGAGGGCCGGGCTCAGTGAAAATTTTGCAGGCTGAATAATTAAAAAAAAATCTGGGAAGGATCACAAAATTGAGGGCCAAATGGGACCTTCAGAGGTGCTCTCATTCCTGGAGGCATTCAGGATTTCATTCCACAATTTTGATTGCAGTCCTGCTGTGTGCCGGGCTCTGTGCAGAATCATGACAGCCAGTGTCAACCATGGTGGATGTAGTCCTAGTTGTCAGGACTTTAGGGCCAGTCTTCAGCCAGCCCTCTAAGTTCACAGGTGAAGGAAGAGACCTGAAGAAGGGAAATTACCTTGCTCCAGGCCACGTGGCTGGTTAGAGGCAGATTCACACTCGTCCAACTCCGGCTAAGCTTCACCCCACTCCCACCAAGGCCACTGAATTTAGAAGAGAAAAGACACCCAACGCAACTCTTTCCTCTATGTAGCAGTGGGAAAAGTACAAACGCCCATCTTCCTGGAGAGCTGTCCCAAAGCTTTGGATTTTTCCTCTGATCGCTATGACATGGTTCATAGTGTCCACTTGATGGGTACTCGTGGAAGGAAAATCAGACGTGTTTCCATGGTCCTCACCTGGTGGCTAGGTCTGGGTCCCACTTGCTCTCAGCAAGTGGCCAATGCCACCCCTATGGTCCTATGGGGGCTGGGGAAGCCTCTCAGTGCGCACTCCCCGGCCACCTCTTCATACTTGGGAAGGTCCAGTGTGCCCTGAGCCCCATTGCTCCTGTCTCTGCTTGGGACCACTGCTTTCCAGGGGAGGAAGGCCAGCTCCAAGGAAAGTTCAGATTATTTTAGGTGGGGCCTCATAAACCCAGGAAACAGGAAAATAACCAAAAGAAAAAAAATCCCCCTGCACAGATGGGGGATTGGTCCTAAAACATCAGGCCCTGTTCTGTCTAAATCAAGACATCTGGTCACTTTTTTTCGGCAGGACAAAGACTCTTTTTTTTCCCAAGCCAGGATTTTATGTCTTTAATCTTTTCCAGAAGAAAAGAGTTCTCATTACGTCTGCATCTTATCACATCACTGTATATCATAAAGATGCCGTTATCGCCTCTTCCTTCTGATTAACTGGCCCTGAGTGATTCTAGCCAGTGTTATTAGCTGTGCTCTAAAAACAATGACACTAGTATCACCCAGCCATCAACAGAGGTCAGCTTCATAGGCACTGTTGAGTAATCCACAAGAATCTCTGCAAGCTTTTCATAATAAACAATGACGAGAACGGTTCTTTGTCCAAACCATGGCTAAGAGAGCCTTTCTGCGCAGATATGCTTTGGCACCTGCAACTGGAGTTTAAAAGCCTCCAGCAAGCTCAAGTCCAACATGTGGCCTCACTCGTTGGCTTGGTTTCCTGAGTCAGAACAGCAGAAGGGACTGGAGATGTAGCACCTGGTGTCTTAGGTGGCCAAGCAGCAAGCAGGTGTTATCCCTTTATAAATTAACCATCCTTTGGAAAGGAGCTTGACAGAGAAGAGAGGTTTTGTCTCCAAATTTTAAATGTGGAAATAGAAACAGACATATGGATATTAGAATAACGTGCAAGGGGCCAGGCACAGTGGCTCATGCCTGTAATCCCAGCGCTTTGGGATGCTGAGGTGGGAGGATTGCTTGAAGCCAGGAGTTCGAGACCAACCTGGGTAATAGCAAGACCCCATTTCTACAAAAAATAAAAATAAAAAAATTAACCAGGCATAGTGGTGTGCCCCTGTAGTCCCAGCTACTCAGGAGGCTGAGGTGGGAGCACATAAGTCCAGGAGCTTGAGGCTTCAGTGAGCTATGAGTGCACTTCTACACTCCAGCCTGGGTGACAGGGCTAGATCCTGTCTCTAAATAACAAAAAAGAATGGCATGCAAGAATGACCATGATAGCAGTGATGACTATGATGAGAACGATGTGCTGACAATGCCAGTCACTCATTTCACAGTAGTGCCCTGATGTGGGAAGTACAGGATGGACGCTTGGGGAGCAGAGCACAGCGTAACTGACCCCATGGTCAGTAGTTTTCAAACATGGCTCCCTGTTAGACTCACCTGGTCTGGCCAGCCTACCCACCCCCAGCACCCCAGGGAGTCTGATTTAATTGTTCTGGGTGAGAATGGGGCCTGGGCATTGGTACTGAAACTCTCCAGGAGACCTTCCTTTGCAGCCAGGGTGGAGAACCTCTCCCTTTGATGAAAATAACCCAATCAGGTGGGATCAGGAAGGAACGCAACAGTCAGTGCCTTTTCAGCTCCTTCAAGAATAGGCAAGGTGAAAAGCGAGAAAGAGGTATATTAGTCAGGGTTCTCTAGAGGGACAGAACTAATAGGATATATATGTATATATATACACACACGCATATATATACACAGACACACATATATATACACACACATATATGTATACACACACACACACACGCATATATATGTGAGTTTAGCAAGTAGTATTAACTCCCATGATCACAAGGTCCACAATAGGCCATCTGCAAGCTGAGGAGCAAAGAAGCCAGTCCGAGTCCCAAAACTGAACTCGGAGTCCGATGTTTGAGGGCAGGAAGCATCCAGCAGGGAGAAAGACGTAGGCTGGAAGGCTAAGCCAGTCTGGCCTTTGCACATTTTTCTGCCAGCTTTATATCCTGGCTGGACAGGCAGCTGATTAGATGGTGCCCACCCAGATTGAGGGTGGATCTGCCTTTTCCAGCCCACTGACTCAAATGTTAATCTCCTTTGGCAACCCTCGAAGACACACCCAGGATCAATACTTTGCCTCCTTCGATCCAATCAAGTTGACACTTGGTATTAACCATCACAGATGGTCTAGGAGAAGGGAACAGGAGTTGGCGTGAGGCCTAGAGGTGAGGGACAGATGCCTACTAGGAGGAGCTGGGGCCATGGTGCAGGGTAGGAGCATTGCAGCTGAGTCGGGACAGGGTGAGAGTGGAGATGGAGGAGCAGGTAGGGGAGGGGTGGGGAGGGCTTTGTAGGACAAGCTGCAGGGTCTGCATGTCCTCCTGAGAGCTAAGGGAAGCCACTTTGGTGGCATTTCGCAGGGTAGATGGCATCAGATACATATATAAGTAAATAAATAACATGATTGTGGCTGCAATAGGGAGAACGGATTGGAGAGCCACAAGGCTGGAGGCCAGAGGCCAGGGAGGAGGCTGCGCTTTAACCCGGGTGAGAGGGGATGGTGGCCTGGGCAGAGGGAATGGCTGCAGAGAGGGATTCACATTATACTAGGAGCCGGAACTGCCATTTCACAAGGAATTGATATGGAAGGTGAGAGGAGGAGTCAGCGTTTCCCAGGTTTTCCTGCCTTTCTCAGGAAACGCAGTGCCCCTGCGACTCCACACTCACCACCCCCTCACACTCCTTGTGGCCCTCCCCCTGCGCTAATCTCCTGCTACTCCGAGTCCACCAAATCCTAGGAGCAGCAAGGCTCTCTCCTGAGAAGCGATCCCCTTCCAGAAGATCGCAGCTGGGTGAGTCCCGTGTAGGTCTCCTCTAGGACTATGTGCCTTTTAATCCAGGAGCTCCACCATCTTCCCATTTACTTCGAGAGGGCCATAGCACACAGAGGTGCTGGCAGGGCCAGGCCTCTCCCCGCATCACCAGCGGTGACTCTACCTCCTTCCAAGCTTCAGGATGCCCCTCCCTTCCACTAGCCCACCCGCCCTGCCTTCCATTCATCCGGCGCTGGCTCTGTGGGAACTGTGGCTGAAGTCATGTGTGCAAAAGCATACTCTCTAGGAGAGTACACAGAATTCACAGGCCACACTGAAGCCTTGCTTCATTTGACTGCTCCTGGGACCCCATCACTGTGCTGACTGGGATCCTGAGCCTGAGCCCGCTGGTCCTCGTCAGGGGTGATTTCCTGCTAGGTTTGCTTGCCCTGGGATTCACGTCCCTCAGCTTCCCTGCCTGGACTACCACTTCTTAGCGTTGACATCCTGCTGTTCCTGCAAAATCTCTTTGGTTTAGGAGATACTAAGCCAATTCTGTCTCAGTGAAAGTTTGTCAGGAGCTGAGTGATCTCTGTCAAAAGTCAATCATGACTGGGCAGAGGTAGATACGAGGGGAGGACGGGAAATGACACAGGGGAGGAAGCAGGCTCCGGGAATTAGGCCGGTCAGGGTCACACAACAATAATACCTTCCCTTTGCTACTTGTTTATTCTATGTGCCTAAAGAAGGTCTGCAGGCACAAGCCTCAATTCTAAGTCAAAGCACATACAGCAGCACAGCCAGTGCGGTGAAGTCCCCACGGCTCCTCGCGGCTGCCTGATCCCCATCCCATGGACATGCAGCCCATATGTGTTCGCTCCACAGAGATGAGCTAGCAGAGCAGGACAAAATCACACCTGCCCCCTTGGGCCCATCATTGCAGCAGACACCAGAAATAGTGGTTTGGTATTGCACAATTTGTACATTTCACGATGAGCAAATGGGATTTTAGGTGATCTTGACTTTCCTTTTTCTTCTTTTCTGTGTTGTTTGAATGTGTTATCTTTATAATCATAAGAAAAACAAAGCTGTATGTTGAAGAGAAATTTGGAAGGCATTGTCTAAAGAGACGTGCAGTAAAAAAGAATAGAATAATGTCTTTTGCAGCAACTTGGATGGAACCGGAGGCCATTAGTCTAAGTGAAGTAACTCAGGAATGGAAAACCAAATACTACATGTTCTCACTTATAAGTGGGAGCTAAGCTATGCGAACATAAAGACAAACAGAATGGTACAATGGACACTGGAGACTCAGAACTGGGGAGAGGAAAGTGGGGTGAGGGTTGAAAAACTACATACTGTATACGATATATACTACTCAGGTGATAGGTGCAGACCTCACCAGTATACAATTAATCCATGTAGCCCAAAACTATTTGTACCCCTAAGGCTACACAAAAAGAAATGAGTGAGTAATTTTGTTCAAACTAAAAGCTTACCTAGTTGGCTAAGCCTAACAGAGAAATGCTACTATTGAGCCTCAGAGAAGCTTGGGGGCCACCGCGACCACGTGTGCAGCCTGGAGAACCGAGCTGGACTGAGTTTTGCTGGGAGTGACAGTGAAATGTAAGTAGAAAAAAAAATCAAGTTATTGGGGAACTTGCCCACAAGGGCCATGGAAGGACTCCTTGGGTGAACAGAGCGAACTCTAAGACCCTGTCTCTGGGAGGCAGGTGACACCGAACACCTTTGAGGCTGGTGTACTTCGTCTGCTGCAGCCCACTGTCCAGCCGTCTTGCCTCAGTGAAATGAGGCAAGTGAAAGAAAATGCTCAGAAAAGCATCTGGGCATCTCAAATAGATGGTCCAGGCCCTTGGCCTCAAAGATTTTGAATGAATTCTGAGCCTTTTCTCTTCCATGTCATCCTGGTCTGGGACAGGCCATCGATGCCTAACAGCGCCTGCTGCTCAGGGCCATGGATGTGTTGACGTTGCTGTCATGCCCCATCTGTGGCCATCAGGGAACCGTCAGCATGCTGCCCCGCAGAGCCAGTCCATGGACGCACCGTGGCCATGCTTGTGGCCTAAGGGCATCTTGGGAGAGCGGCTCCACAGTTGTTTGTTTCCTCCCCCAGGTGCGCATCAGCAGGGCCTGAGCCCGGGGCCAGCAAGCATGGCAGGCTCTTGGTAGTGTCCTTAGTGCACACAGTCATCTTCCCTCGTGAGTCTGACCCATTTCTTTTAGCCATAGATGTTTACGTTGGTCTTTTGTTCTTTAGGATGAGTTTTCTCTTGTTTCCTGGGCAACTTAGGCTTAGATAGGCCTACTCCATCAGCCTGTTCTCTCTGGGGCCAGAGATACCTAGGCCTCAGGAGTGACACAATTCAGGGATCCAGGTGGGATGCCTGCCACGCCATAGTGTCACAACCAGCATCCTATGTGCAGCATTCAGGGATTATCTGAAAAACAGAAGGATCCACATCATAGAGTTGTTGTAAGGATAAAATGTGCTATCTTGAAGGGCCTCATGCAATGCAGTGCACGTTTCAATTGCTTAGTACATGGTAGCCACACCATCATACACCACTCATTTTGGATGACAGCATTGGTGGACTGTGTGGGTGGAGGTCTCTGAGTTCTGAGTGGCACCTACGCCCCACACCTCCTGCCACCTTCTCGGGCTCACTCAACTCTCATGGCACTTGATGAAGAGACTGCAGAATGCTCAGGCTGGCTGGTGCAGCAGGATTAGGTGTGGCTTCAACTAGGCTGCTAACTTTGGACAATGCTTTGCATTTGTAAGTGTAAGGGAGGGAAAACTTTCCCTTTAGTGAGATCTAGAAGCTTATATATGCTCTTCGTAGGGGACAGGGAAGGAGAATGGAGACAACTTAGGGAAGGGTAAATGACTTTAACTCTTTGTCTGTGGCAAAGTCTGGCTGGCTGGCATGAACCTCCAGTTTCCTCTGCTGTGCTTTCAGTTCCCTCTTGCCTGGTGGATGCCTGGGGAGGGGTTCATGACATCTGAGTTCCTTTGGAAGATCTGTCTTTGGGTAGAAAGGAGGAGCTCAGAGAAAGCCCCTTCCTGCATTTGCTATTCCCCAAGTACCCTCGGTTTGAAGAAATCGCCAAGAGTGATTTCAATATGCCATCAGAGTGGTGTATTTTGGGGTGGCATTTCTAAACTCTTTTATAAGCTACACTGCATACAAATAGAACATTTGGAAAAGTCACTTCCTGTGACTGTGCAAAAAGGCTTTAAATTGAGAATTGTTGTCTGATTAATCATCACATGTGCTGTGAGAAATGGCGTGGAACCACTTTATGGGGGAAATATGTCTTTTTAGAGCAAATATCTGAAGACAGAGAAATGTGAAGATTCAAAGTGATCATTCTCAGCTGTTCCCTGGCCATCAGCCAATATTGCTTTTATTTCCTCCTTTTACTGGAAACGGCTACTCCTACCTTCATAGAATTTAGAAGTCCAGAGCTGGAATGGGCAAGAACATTCTCAGGGGAGCAGTGAGGCCTGAGCCTGGCCTGAGATGCATCTAGGATGAGACAGCTCACAGCTTGTGGCTCAGGACCACTGCAAGGGGGAGGGAAGGTGGGTGACATGGACAGTTCTATAAGGCAGGTCTTTCTCTGAGGACTTTCCATTTCCTCTGTCCTTCCACCAAGGCTCAGTTGGGTGGTGAATTAAGTTAACTGGTCATTAAGATGAAAGAGGGAGGAGGAAGTTCAGAGCAGGGCTTGTTCTCCTTCCTGGAAAATAGCCTTGAGCTGTGGTTTGAAACAAGAGTTGCTCTTTAAGGATTAGTTGTATTTTCAAAAACCACATCAGATGGAAAACCCAGAGTCACAGAAACTCCGGGCTTGGCTTTGATTTGGAAGATGTTGCAATGATCTGAACCAGCAGTGACCTCAGAGGTGGTGGCCCTGGAAGGTATTGGGTCTCACCTGAGCTTCCACCTTTAGTTAAGGGCATGGCCTGGCTCCTGTCTACAGAGCAGTTAAACATTGCAATCATGGAGCCAAAAGCTCACAAACCGGAGTGATTCATAGCACTGTAAGGACAGCTTACAATCCTTTCCTCAGGCAAAGGTTTCGTGATGAAGACACTAAAAGCAATTGCAACAAAAGCAATCCTCACCACCACTTGATATTTTCTTTCTTTTTTTTGGATAGTAGCCGTCCTAATGTTGTGAGGTGGTGTCTCACTGTATCCTGCTCTGTTTTGATGAGGGAACATCAGATATGCTTCCTGTGCTGAACACCCTCTCAAGAGTAAAAGCCTCAGCCATCCTGGTGGCCTCCCAAACCTGAAGGATCCCCAGTGACCTCTGGCCTCATCTCTGGATGATGCCCTGTCCTTCCCCCAGGCTGTTTCCCAAGCCCACCTAGCAGCCCTGATGTCCTTCTCTATCTGCCTGGTGTCCCCGCTTCACCAGGACTTCATATAAAGTCAGATCTTCAGAAAGGACTTCTCTGTTATTCCTACAAAATCTGCAGTTCCTCCCCTGTCTCTGAATCCCTCACTTGGCCTGCAGTCTTTCTTCTCTGCTGTATATTGAGCATCCGGAAATGCCACCTGGCACATAGTAGGTGCTTAGTATTTGCCAAATGAATGAAAGAAAACTATACTGAACTATAAACTAAGACTTCTGAGAGTTAGTGACATTTTTAGATATGAATTTATAGCCAGATTCCTACCAAATTCTAATTCTATTTGTTTTCAGTAGATTCTCCTGGGTTTCCTGGTATATAATCATATCATCTACAAATAATGACAGTTTTCCTGTACTCCCCCCCTTCTTTCCCTTTTCATATTTTTTAGTATAATAAATAACAGGGGTGATAGCAACAGCTTTATCTTGCTTCTGACCTTCCATCAAGTGTCTCTGAAATTCCACCATGGATGGTAAGTTAATGTTGGCTTTAGATCTGAGGGATGAATTTTGTCATGCTGAAGAAGTACCATGGGCTCCTGTTTTACTTAGGACGTTTTGGTTAAAACCAAGGAAGAATGAAGGGTTAATGCTCTTCAGCCCCCTTCAGCACCTACTGGGTATTAAGCTTTCTCTTTGACTCCTTAGTGTGGGAATTATGTGGATGGGTTTCCTACAACTGGACCGTCCTTGTGTCTTTACCTTTTAAACCCAGATGTGCCCCTGTGATGTGCAGCGAGCCCCTGTGGGCAGGGCCGGCCATGTCCCCTCGTCCCTTCGTCCCCTCGGGAGGCTTGCTGGGAACTGAGGCTGGCCGCGGTGGCAAGCTTCCCAGCGAGCCACTCAGGATGGCTTATTGTTTCTGAATTAAACAAACGAAGAATGAGATTCAATTAGAGGCAGCATAATGTAAACCGAGATGGATTTATATTTAGCAAGGCAGAGACATGTGGGAAAGAATGAAACTTCCTTCGTTTCAGAATTGGGAAGTCGGCTTTGAAGTGTGGGGCTGGGCTTTCTGGATGCTGTCTTCACCTCCCCCAGACGCGCCCCCAGATGTTTCCCTCGAGATACTAAACTTCTTGGGAAAGCAGCAGAATTCAGTGGGCAGCGAGCTTCTGAGGCTTGCACGTAGGAGCCTCGCTGTCTCTGTTAAAGCCACTTGCAAGGACGAAGCCACATTGTCCCCATTTCCTCATTTCCAAATGGGCTGATGGAACCTCAAAATCCTGGTATAATGTGATTAAAGAAGAAAAGAATAGATTTTTTTAAATGATGAAGATGTCACTACATTGAATTTACTTTTCCAAGCCAAATTCTAGAGAGTGCCTTACAGGGGAACAACACCCTCTTTGTTATAATTCTGTTTGGGTCGGCTTTCAGCAGGCAAATGAGATGGGAGGAGATTTCATGGATGTTTCTTAGTTGAGAAGAGTACATGAATGTGAAACCCACAATAGCAATAGCAAGGACCAGCACAGGACGAAGCCCGCCGCCGACTGAGTGCCAAGTGTCATAGTCTGTAGTTTAATCCCCGCATCTAACTGTCCTCATGAGGTGGGTGTCGTCAGCCTGGTTAGGGCTGCTTGCTGCAGTGTCAGCAGCTGGGCAGGGCAGTGGGTCTTAACCAGGAACAGAAAGACAGGAGACTTGCTTCTTTCTCTCCCAGACCTGTGTCTTTGGGGTTGTCCATAATCTCTTCTGGTTTGCTGGGGCCTGTCTTTTTGTAAGAGGACAGCCTGTTCCATGGAGATGCCATTCGTTTGCAGGGAGCTGCCCTGAGGGAAGGAATCAGGAGGGAATTACTGACACAGATTTGTAGGGGTGACTTTATTTTGTACAGGGATTTTAGAGTTTATAGCAGGAAGAAAGCAAATGCGAGTCCAGGGCTCTGGTTGCCTGGGTAAAGAAAAATTGAGTTGCTCATGCTTCCAGAGTAAGAAGGAAGTGTTAAGCTGGTGACCAGCGTGTCTCCTTTGGGGAGCGTCTGGGAGCACCCTAGGGGAGAGGCAGCCAGGCCTACAAAATGTCCCAGAACTGCCTCTGGGGAAGCCAAATCTAGAGCCCACCCTCCAGGAAAGAAGAAAATTTTGGATGAGCAGAAACAAAGTCTTCCTGGAAAATAATTTCAACATGGACCCTGCATTTCTTTAATCCCTTTGCCTAAAGGAGTATTATGTTGCTTTGGAAAAGAAGCAGAAACTTGTTCAAATGTTTTTTTTAATTAATTATGTTTTTCTAAACACTAAAGCATCATGACTTTGTGCTCCCTCCTCCTCACTTCCCCTCTCTTCTCTCTGCCCTTTTCCCCCTCTCCCTGCTCCCTCCCCCTAGAAAGCGTAGACTGGGGCTGAACTAGTTAATGGAGACCAGCCTTCACACAGGGGCATCTGTGGGACAAAGGGTCTTCTGCAATCATGGTGTTTTAGGAAGATTAGGAAAAATGAATAACTTCCTTGAAAAAATTGGTTCGGAGGATTGTTTTCTTCGTTATACCTCTGGAAAAAATTCAGTGATACTGCATGAAGGGAAAAGAATTAATACAGCTCTTCCTCCCCTTTTCTTTATTTTTATATCCAGGAGTCACTGGAAAAATCAGACCTTTTCCCATATCACAGACCCAGCAGCAGTTTGGGCGTGCTCTTGCCTGTGTATAGAAAGCATGTCAAGACCGATTAAATTATCTAATTAAAATAATGACCACAGAGAGCCTGTTTATTTTGGCCTGAGGAAGGTCAGCTCCATGGGCCCCTTCTGTCCTGCTGAGGTCCCTCCCCAGCCACAAGCATACACAAGACCTATGATGACCTGGCTTCTAATAACCTGCTCCCAGTAATGTCAGAGTGGGTCTTATGCCACCAGTGGGGACAGGACTCACTCCAGCTGAGACAAAAGATCGTTCTTTAAGACTCTCTAGACACCGTCTTTGTATCTGTATCTATATCCCTCTAGACATCCATCTTTGTATCAGCATCTGTATCTGTATCAGTATCTGTACTGATACTGTACTTTGTATCAATATCTGTGTTGAATCAGTACTTTGTATCAGTATCTGTTCACCACAGCAACTTGAAGTGTGAAAAGTTCTGGCAAGGGTTATTTTTAATCTACACCAATATGGACAATTGTTTGACTGAGCTGACTACAGTCTTGGGTGCTTTTTGCATCATGAAGATAAAACCTAAGATCCACAGAGCATGTTGACCGGTAACAAGTGAAGAAAACGCTGCCAGAATATTTTTTACACAGTACTAGGTAATCATTTGGACTAATTTGTCATGAGATTATTGGGCTGTCTTGACAATGTGCAGGCTCAGCCCAGTGAAGGGCACATTCCCGGGACCCTGTGTCACCCCTGAGGATGCAGGGTATTAATGAGGGCTCATTACAGTCAGGCTAGATCAGGGTTCTTTGGCCTGCGGTAAGATCTGGGAGCAGAATGTAAATATGCTACACATGATTTAATTTCAAAGAAGCCCCGGAGGAATGCACTGAGCCTGTCAACACTGCAAACCCAGTGCAGGGTGTAAGCCCTGTGCAGGGTGTAGAAATGCTTCTGTGGCTTTAGAGACTTGCTGTTTGGTCTTGCAGTTATTGAACAAAGTGCTCCCTTTTGGGGGTGGTTGGTTCAATATCCTGTAAGTCCTTAGAATGGAGGCCACAGCCTTGGAAAGCCAGAATGTAAAGCCTCATTCTTATTTTCTCACATGGTCCCAGGAGATGACGGCTGGATGAGCACTCTTCAGAGGGGAGCAGGGAGGCAGCGGTTTATGCAAGGGAAGGGCAAATGATGCAGCAACAGGCGAGAAATAAAAATTGCCTGCCTGCCTGCCTGCCTGCCTGCCTGCCTGCCTGCCTTCCTTCCTTCCTTCCTTCCTTCCTTCCTTCCTTCCTTCCTTCCTTCCTACCTCCCTCCCTCTCTCCCTTCCTTCTCTGCTTCCTGTCTTCCTCTTCTCTTTCTTCTTTCCTCTTTCCCTCCTCTCTCTCTCCCTCTGTTTTTCCTTCCATCCTTCCTCCTACATTTAATGAGTAACTGCTATGAGCTACGAGTGTTAGATTTGTGATATTCAATAATATTAACACTGATTAACATTTTTATGAAATTCTTTAAAGTTTGGCATCAACCATCTTACCTTGGGATATAGGAGGAGAAAAGGAGAGCAAAGTGTGAGTTTCTGTAGGAAAAATTTTTACAAAATGGTATCGAGATTATTTTTCAATTTTGGGTGCTCTTCATTTCTTTGTGTAGATCTAGATTTCCACCTAGTATAATTTTCCTTCTGCCTAAAGAATTTCCTTAAACATTTTTTGTAGTGCGGCTCTGCTGGAGGTGAATTCCTTCAGCTTTTGTATGTCCGAAAAAGTTTTTATTTTGCGTTCATTGTTGAGAGATTTTTTTTTTCTGGGTGTAGATTTCCAGGTCAACAGTTTTTTTTTTTTCCTTTCAATTATTTAAAGATTGTGAACTGTTTCTTATTTATCCTTCCAGAAATTTTCATTGCATTTGAAAGCGTAGACTTGAATCTATATTTGTTTTTGTTAAAGAAGAATGGGCTGATTTCAGTGCCCATCTGTCGTTCTGCTTCCTGATGCTCCTTTGGGATCTTTGCCTGTCGTTGCACACTGAACTATACTCGTTCATTTTCTCGGATGCACGGCGCACACGTGCTTACTGTGTCTCATTCAACCAATCCCTTACTGTGGGAAGTTTAGATTTTTTGCCTTCTATATTTTTGTTGTTGTTGTAACAGTGTTCTTATTGGTATATCTTTATGTTGTACTGCTCTTAAAATGCTTTCTTGTTTGTGGGAGTGGACTGCATTCATTTTTTTCTATTCTTTAAAAAATTTTTTTTATTTTACTTTAAGTTCTGGGATACATGTGCAGAATGTGCAGGTTTGTTACGTAGGTATACATGTGCCATGGTGGTTTGCTGCACCTACCAACCTGTCATCCAGGTTTTAGGCCCCACATGCATTAGGTATTTGTCCTAATGCTCTTGGGGGGTGGGGGGCAAGGGGAGGGAGAGCATTTTTTTCCTATTCTAAAATTTTTAGTATTCCTCCAGCATCACCCTTCCTCCTCACCTACCCACTGTCTGTCCCTCTATGATCTGCTATACGGAAACATCTACAGGATGTTTTGTGTTGAGCGGATGAATACATGAGTGAATGAATGATGGGGGGTCGGCGGGGAAATGCCAGGCAATTGCAGCAGCTGTTGCTCAGTGCCCCTTCCTCAGAATGGCAGGCAAGCCAGTGAGTTGAGCACATGGCAGGAAGCTGCACAGGCCTTGGCGAGACCAGCTCCTGAAGTGTCATCTGTCATTTTTGGTTTTCCCATTCGGTGGCTGTCTTCCAAAGCATGAAGTCATTCTTAGAGCTCTGGCATCAAGGTGCTGACCCATTCTGTGAAGCCCTGGGTTGGTCTTCCTGGGGTGCTTGGCACTAAGCAAAGGGCAGAGGGTGAGAGCCAGGGAGGCCCACAATAGAAACAGATAAAGTGCTTCAAGAAAGCCCGCCCCATCCTGCACTGGCAGGCTCTGAAATGATAGCCTATCATTTTGCACACAAAAAGGGGAAGAAAACCAACAGTGCAAATGGAAAAACTGTCCACCGTGTCCAGAGGAGGGTCTGATATGTCAGACTTGTGTGCCAGAGAGAAACCCCGGGAACAGATTGACCTCCAAACCAGGTTACCAGGCCTCCTACCCCAGATTCCTCTCCTGCTCAGATGCCAGATGCAGGGGCAAACACCTGGGGCTGGGGGCTGCACTTCTGCATCATGGGCACTGCTCCAGAGTCTAGCACCTGTAGACTAGGAAGAGGGCCACACAAGGGGCTTGGGGAGTTAACCCACATGACAGCTGGATTATTCAGCCTCAGATGGACATAGGTGCTGGATGGAATGCCAGTGCTGTAGTTTGAATCTTTGATCCCTAAAACCTCATACTGAGATCTGATCCTTGATGTTGGAGGTGGACCTGGGGGAGGTGTTTGGGTTGTGGGAGTGGATCCCCCAAGGCATGAATGTCTTCATGCCTTTCTCACAGCGCGAGAGCTGCTTGTTACAATGAACCTACCCCCTACCCACCCCTCTCTTGCTCCCTCTTTCCTCATGTGATCCCCACAGGCCAGCTCCCCTTTGTCTTCCACCATGAGTGGAAGCTTCCTGAGGCCTCACCAGAAGCAGATGCTGGTGCCATGCTTCCTGTACAGCCTGCAGAACTGTGAGCCAAATAAACCTCTTTTCTCTGTAAATTACCCAGCCTCGGGTATTCCTTTCTAGCAACACAGTTGGACTAAGATAGCCAGGCAGTGGGAAGTTGGGAGACACCAAGCTAGCCAAGTGGTCTTGTCAGTTTTTATTAGAATGCTTGGAATCATCTTAATGTAGTTTGCATTAAGCCAAGTGGTCTTGTCAGTTTTTATTAGAATGCTTGGAATCATCTTAATGCAGTTTGCATTAACACACACACACACACACGCACACACACACATGCACACTCTCACCCTCTTCATAGAGCAATAATCCCTGACTAAAAGTTGATGTGAGCAAATTAACTTTCTTTTAATTTCTTAACCTCTACAACCAAGATTAAATCTATGCTTCATTGTTCTATTTCCAGAAAAAAGGAAAGATGACCATTCCCTTCTGTGCATGGAGGACCTAGTTTTTGGTTTTTCTGCAGTTGCTGCAACCACACTGTTTACTTAGATGCTCAGTTGCTAAGAGGGAGGCCAAGGGGGCAGGCTGTTGGGATTCGTGATTGGGGTGAAAAGACAGGGAGAGAGAAGGAGGAGGAGGAAAAGGAAGAGAGAATGATCATGCCCCGGAGGTTTCAGATATCTGTGTGTCTCAGGTTGCATTCCAAAGCCAACCTCTCCCTTGGCATAGGAAAGACTGCTTTGGATAATCTGAGGCTCTGCCGTCAGCCAAGCTGTAGCCAGATGAGCTGTAACTCAGTTTACCCAGAGGTTCTTGGAAGTTACATCGTGAGGGGATGGGAGTTGACCAGGTAGTATGTCAATTTATGTAAACAAAGCTGATATCCTTTGTTAAATCAAGCATTCTCTGAACGTATTTGTCTGTAGAACTTTTCGTATTTTTAAAATATTTTTTTAAGTAAAACATACTGATATCCCATGGAACTCTGTCTCCAGAGCCAGACTGCTGAGGAAAGATTCCTATGACCACAGCAGGCAGCAGGAAGTGCTTTTCAGAATGGAAGCGTCACTGGATGTCATTTGGAAAGTCCTGTCTTACCCAGAAGATGCTCAAGGAAGTTCACTCATTAGGCGGTGGCTCATTCTTATTTTCCACACCTCTGAGTAGTTTGTAGACGTAAAGATGTGGTCCCAAATTTCAACCAAGTAGCCTCAAAGATGAGAGTACGCAGTTAGACATGAACATACATATTCCATGAACATGGTTGATTTTGCGGATTGCTACCAATAAAAAGTTCTATCACATTTACTTTTAAAATTAGATTTGAAGTTAATTTCATTTTGACATGATTTGAGATGATTTTATGTAACATCATCTAAAAAGTTAAGATTAGAGTGGATTAAAATAAACAGAACTGGGAATACTTTATTCACTCAGTCACTCACTCAAGTTTGTCTAAATGGATGTCCAGATGATCAAAAAGACGGCATCTGTCCGTGTAGTCTAAAGTCACACAGACATTCGTATTTTCTGAAGATCAAGAATTACAAATCCATACGCTGTACAAATTCCATAGAGGTTAAACCTCACCTCGTAAATAGGTGTTGACTTTTAAAACTGACAATCAGACATTCCAGCTGCATGCTGATAAAACTGTCATTCCTCCCTAGTTTTTGTTAGAATCCAGTGAATACTAAAAAAAAGTTAAAATCCTGCCTTCATGAGTTACTGAGTGAGACAATCCAAGTGGGAGGTGCGGCCTCCACAGCCCACACCCCAGCTGGTCCACCTGCAGGCTGCCTCTGCCAGGCCCAGGCTGTGTGTCCATGGGGCAAACCGCTCACCTGGAGTCCCTGAGGAAGGGAGCACACAGGCGGCCCCCTTCAGAGCCTGGATGTCCTGGGAGAGACACGGCATTTCTGGGAGTGATTACCTTGTGCAGGAAGGGACAGCCCACTGGGGACAGCCCTAAGTGGGGAACTGCCTGACCTGCAGTTGCCCAAACGCCATGGAATCAACCAGACCCAGGAGCCTCACAGCCCCTCTCTTCCTTTAAAGCTCCCTACATACCTCCTCCAACCCATATCACACCCACCCTGCCTAGCACAGGCCACAGAAATAGCTGTCCCCAGGCCACGGACATGAGGCAGAGCAGGTGGAGACAGGAGAGAACAGAAGCCAGGGGGCATCTGCGGAGGAAATGGTGGGGATACAAAGGAAAACCTCCCAGGTCTGCAGCGGGAGCGGCAGAGCATCGGCTTTTCTGCTGACAGTTGCAGATGCATCTCTGGACCAGGAGTGCAAAGCTCTGAGTTCTGGTCCCCGCTCTGTCACCAAGCTCCAAGGTGATCTCTGGCTAATCACTCCCTTCTCAGTGAAATAATGGGACAGGGCCAGATAACCTGCAAACTGGTGCCTCCCGCCCTTACCCAGCTCCCCTGGGAGGGGGCTCCTTCCCGGGGTTCCTCCAAATGTGACCTGTGCGGCAGGCCTGTGCTTATGCTCAGAGCTACACCGTCACATTGCACAGGGAAACCTCGATTCTGGGTGTCGTTAGGACACAACGAAGGCCTAAGCATGCCCGAGCCCCTGGTGACTCCACTAGGCGGGCACAGGAGTGTCTCAGAGATGTTTCCCTCCTGAGCACCGGCCCTCTTCCCGTTCCCTGCTAATCTCTGTGTTCTCACTGGGCTGAGCACCTTTGTTCTTGGCATGGGAATTTCCATGTGTTGAATATGCTTAAAACATTTTTTGAGAGGTTGCCTTTCTAAATATTTTGGTTCTTAACTCGAGAGTTTTGCTGCTTTTCAGAGTTGGTTTCCTTTTTATGTGCTAAACTCTTGCTGGGAGAGATCAGAGTAACCACCTGTGCCGGTGGAATTTCAAGTCTACCACAGAGGATAAAAGCCACAATAGTGGCTGGAAAGAAATGAGAGTGAGAAGTCCTGTCTGCACCCCTTCCCTGCTCTGTTTTTCTGCACAGAGGGCAAATGTGAAAGTGGAAACCATAATATTGCCCCGCAGAATGAAAACATCTGGGGTTTGGCTCCTTTTTCCTGTCTTTGGACAACATTTATTATCATCTTGAGATTTAACACACCTATTTTTGCCAAGCAAATGGTGTTATGATGGTGAGTGAGATGACAAGTGCAGCCGCAGAACCCTCACCGGCTGTCTCCCTTCCTGAGCGTCTCTGAACTGACTGGCCCTTGGTGAAACTTCAGCCAACTAGGGCTTCATTCCTTTCTCTGTCAGCCTTGCGAGTCTTGGACATGCTTTTCTCACTGAGTTGTCAGCGTCTCTGGGTTTTCTCATTGTGCACTGTGCACAGTGCCGGGCACAGAGTGTCTTCCTACCATCCTTCTTGCTAGGGTCCTCTGCCATTTGTGGAAGCCCCCTCTATACCTCACACTGTCTTCTCACAGGGCAGCCTATGCTGCCTTCCTGACTGTGTCCTGTGATGGCGTGCAGGACTGCAAGGTCACTTTGCAGAGCGTCTGTTTTCTTATTTATAAAATGGGAATCATATCTATCTTCTCTTTCTCCTGAGGTGGAGGTGAAGGTCAAGCACAGAGCCCTCCTGGCATATCCAGTGCTCTCTCCGTTATGAGGAGGGGTAAGGAGTGAGGATGGTGTTTCCGGGAAAGCAGAGGTGAGGCCCGCTGGACTCCAGGCAGCTCTCTGCTCTCCTTGCCTTTTGCCTCAGGTAAAAAAAATAAATAAATAAGTGCAATGGCCCAGAACACAGTCACCCTCCTCATTCCCCCTTGGCTAGGATGGAAGGCATTGCTAACAGCGGGTAGTGGTGACTGGAGAGGACTTGCAGTGTCCCATTTGCAGGAGCCATGGGGACGGTGATTTCTGTGGAGTGGGAGGGGTGAGAGGCATGGGTGGGCCTTGCTTTCTGCAAGATTCGATTCGTCCGATCCGCCTACCTTGCCAGCTCCCCGCCTCTCACAGCGAGCCTCCGGAGATTGGGAAGCGGCGTTTCCTCACCTGCCAGTGCTCCTGTACTCCAGCTCCGCAGACCCCACTCCAGCCTCGCGCCTTGCATCACACACATCAGAGCAGCATCTCTCAGGCCAAGCCCTTCCACATTTCTGCTGCGCTCCTGGCATGTGGCTAACCCCGCATGGCTTCCTACATTTAGTCATGGATACCGGAGATGGGAAGGGCTTTAAATGCCAGTTGGTCAAGGCTCATTTCACATATGAGGGAAATGAGATCCAGAGAAGCTGAACAACTTACCTGAGATCACACAGTTTGCACTGTAGAATTGGATAAGAACCCCGCTCTTCAGCTCTCAGCCAGCATCCTCGTGCTGTGTGAAGTGATGGGTATATTGGCCATAGCTCGGGATGTGCTACACCTGGTGCATGTGCTTATCCTTTTATAAGCTGTGCTCTGTGAGCATTGCTGTAGGAGGCAGGGTGGAGACATGGGAGAGGGCAGTGCTCAGAGGTTCTGAGTTCTAGTCCTGCTGGCACCAACTGGCTGTGATCCTGGGCAAGGCCCACTGCCTCTTTGGGGCCTGTTTTTCTTGTTTTAAAGTAAAAAGTTTGGACTGCAAGGCCTCTTTCAGTTTTAAAAGTCTGAATCAAATCCCAGGACTTTGGGAGGCCGAGGCGGGTGGATTGTTTGAGGTCAGGAGTTTGAGACCAGCCTGGACAAGATGGTGAAACCCCGTCTCTACTAAAAATACAAAAAAATTAGCTGGGCGTGGTGGTGTGCACCTGTAGTCCCAGCTACTTGGGAGGCTGAGGCAGGAGAGTCGCTTGAACCCGGGAGGTGGAGGTTGCAGTGAGCCGAGATGACACCACTGCACTCCAGCCTGAGAGACAGAGCGAGACTCGGTCTTAAAAAAAAAGTCTGAATCGGTACTAAATGATGGACCCACATTGAAAGAAAGCCTGCTATTTGAAGATGCTTGCTAGTGAATGCCAGGTCTTTTTGAAAAGCGAACACTCCATCAGTTGTTGTTGGGATCATTTCAGATTTTTGCATGTCAGTCGGTCTGGAGAGGAGATGATGCTCTGAAGGTGCTGCCTGGCTCTGAACTGTGGAAGCCAAGAGCTCTGGTGGGGTTGGAACTGAAGGTCCACCACATTTGCCCCAAGAAGAACATCCTTGCTGGCCTTGCTGAGGGAGCCTGGCATGCATCATGCTTGGCAATTGTCTTCCTGAGACTCCCCTGCTGGGACAGCGACAGGGCATGGGGCCCTGAATGCATGACAACAACAACTGCAGGTCTCCTGACCCTTGTTTGTAGAGGTGGGTCATCTCTAGTACCGACCTCCATCCACCTGCGAAGCAGGGCTGGTCACTTTGTTACCAGCCACAGCCCTCCCCTGGAGGGATCTGCAGTGTAAACGGATCATGTGAGTGCTGACCTTTGCAAAGGTCCAAATGTGGTCAATTCAGTTATTCATACCAGGCAAGGAAGCTGCCTTATGAATAATTCAAAGTTGTTGCAAATCCACAAACCTTTTTCACATTGCCTGCTTGCAGTAGGCTCTCCATAAATGTTTACTGAATCACTGAATAAATTAACATATGAATGAATATTTTGCAATAAGCTTTTGGTATTTACATTTGCACATCCATCTGTTGATGCTCTGAGGATCAGCAGCAGTCCTCACAAAAGGGCTCAGGCATGCTCCCAAAACAGGCCAGAAAAGCCAAGTGGGCCATGGTTCTCTCTTGCTCTGCAAGGGTGGCGGGGAATAGAAAAAAATGTTCCCATGGCTGATACAGCCTCTAGCTAGAAGCTGTGAGATTCCTGACACACGCCATGCCAGATTTGTGTGGCTTAACACTTTTATTCTGCTTTTATAACCCTCTCCTCTAGCTTTGGTTAAAACTACTATGTGGTCAGCAGAATGGCCCCCCAAAGATGTTTGGGCCCTCACCCCTGGAAACTGTGACTATGTTACATCATGTGGGAAGAGGACTTTGCAGATATGATTAAAGTTATGGACCTTACAATAGAGAATTATCTTGAATTATCTGGGCAGGCCCAACCAAATCACATGTGTCCTCAAAAGCGAAGAACTCTCTTCACGGGAGTCCGAGAGATGGGGCTGAAGGAGAAGTGGGAGGGATGGAAAGGTGAGAATGCTCCATGGGCTGTTAGGGGCTTGCAGAGGGTGGGGCAGTGAGTCCAGGAATGCAGGTGGCCCCAAGGAGCTGAAAGGGCCCTGGAACCAGTGGAGAAATGGGGACTTCCATCCTGTAACTATAAGGATGTAAATTCTCCCAACAATATAAGTAAGCTTGGAAATAGAATCCTCCCTGGAGCCTCCAGAAAGGGACACAGCCCTGCCAGCACCTTGATTTTGGCCTGGTGGGACCCTAAGCAAAGAACCTACTGAGCCACCCCGTGGCTGGACTTCTGACCCACAGAAACTGTGACGAATATATGGGTGATGTTTTAATTTACCAACTTTTATAGCAGCATGCTAAGACAGCAAACAAATATCACTGTGGCTTTGGACACGTGGCTTCAGCTCTTGGGACCCTGTTTCTTCCCCCTGAGTTTGAAGGGTTGGGCCACACGATCTCTGACACCTCTCCCAGCTCTCAGGTTCTAGGATTTGCTATCAATGAATACCAACAGTTTTTGGAATCAGGCTTTGGAGTCAACCAGGCTGGGTTCAGATTGCCACTTTACAACTTGAAGCTGTGCTGCCTTTCTGTGTTTTTCTTCCTAATCTGTACACAGGGATAATAACACTGCCTTACAAGGTCTTAACGATTAAATGGGATCATGTATGAAAAGAAACCTGGCTCATAGTGTGTACTTGATAAATATCACTTCCTTTCTCTATCTCATTTTTATAGTCCTGCCATTGCAAGCTGGGTTGCCCCCCACAAAACGCAAGGAGGCATCTCAGCAAGTTTCAAGATTTCCATCCTCCTATAGCTGGGACTTTTGGCTAAAGCTCTAGGAACAAGGACATGACTCGGGACTGGCTAGAGTTACAAAGAAGCTGAGAAGTGCACAGAACTGTAAGAAGCAGGCACTTTTGGGATTTGCTGTCAATCTCAAACCCCAGCAGCCCAGCCTGGGGTCCCTGTCAGGTTGCTCACTAGTGGGGAAGACCTCAGGTCCAGGCGACTGTCATCCAGGAGCAGGAGCTGGTTCTTTTTTTTTGGACTCCTAGGTGTTAGGCTGGCTCAGTTCTGCAGCTTCTGGGCATCAAGTAGGAGGTTGGTGTCACTTATTGTGACATGTGATGTAGTTCTAGACTTTTCCAGGCTTTCCAGTGTGTCTGTTTCATGGGATTTGCCATCTACAGTTCAGAAAGCTGACTGATCCAAAGAGAAGGATTTTGCAGTGGGCTCTTCAGTTTTCCGAAGCTCAGGTTTAGCTTCTTTCATCATTCTTTGCGACGGACCCTGCTGTGGTGAAAATGAGATGTTAGGTCACTTATTTCTTCAAGGACGACAGGTGCCTGACCACAGGTGTGGATAACACCTGATGTCCCCGCGGGCCCATTGCCACTGCTCTCAGCCTTCTGCTGGACTCACAGAGTTTATGATGTTGCCAACAGGCACGTCTTCCCCTGGCTCCTCTTGGAAACAACTAGGACCTTCAACAGGAACCTGGCTAATAAAGAAACCACATTATTTCTTCATGCCCTGGGACAGCTCTGACTCATGATCAATAAACCACACTGTCCTGTGTTTGGAAATGGTAGCAGAAAAAACTTCATTTAAATGTAAGTTAGGGAAATATCCAGTCCTATTTTAGTAAAGTCCTGACCCCTAAAATGGCAGCTATATATACATTAGGATAATCTGGGTGAAATTTTAGCCTGGAAAATCTGAGCAACTTTCCCTTAATTGCGTCAGTTCCCTTTTCACTGGGCCCACAGGGATTTAAACACAAGAACAATCTCAGAGGACAGCTGAATTGAGATAAAACACAGGGTTAGCAGGTACTTTGGCCGACTCAGAGCCTAGGTTCAAATTCTGGCTCTGCACCTTACTAGCTATGTGACATTTGGCAAGTTACTTCACCTTTTTGGGACTCAGTTTCCTTGTCTGCAGGGGTTGCTATGAAGATTAAGGGAATTTAAGTGGGAAATATATAAAGCATTCAGAACTTTGCTTGGCACCAGGCAAGTGCATGGTATTAGGTTGGTGCAAAACTAATAGCTGTTTTTGCCATTACTTTCAATGGCAAAAAACCGTGATTACTTTCACATCAACCTAATATAAATATTAGCTATCATTGTGGAATCTTATTACTGTCTTCATATGACCAGACATCACTGATCCCCTGAGCCAATCCTCTCCATGAGAATGAACCAGTCTGAGGCTAGGCGTGGTGGCTCACACCTGTAATCCCAGCACTTTGGGAGGCCGAGGTGGGCAGATCACTTGAGGTCAGGAGTCTGAGACCAGCCTGCTCAACGTGGTGAAACCCCGTCTCTACTAAAAAAAAAAATACAAAAATTAGCCAGATATGGTGGTGGGCACCTATGATCTCAGCTACTTGGGAGGCTGAGGCAGGAGAATCACTTGAACCCGGGAGGCAGAGGTTGCAGTGAGCTGAGATCGCACCACTGCACTCCAGCCTGGGCAACACAGTGAGACCCTGTCTCAAAAAAAAAAAAAAAAAAAGAAAAAAAA
The DNA here is from genome assembly GCF_000001405.40 of Homo sapiens. NCBI lineage: Eukaryota > Metazoa > Chordata > Mammalia > Primates > Hominidae > Homo > Homo sapiens. The sequence goes on from NC_000018.10 coordinate 10,073,879, forward strand.
GAGAACGAACCAATCTGATCCTATGAAGCAGTGAGCCTTGGATCAACCTTTTCACCTGGGGTCCTCCTTGGGTACCTGGCACTATGGCCCAGCCCCTCTTCTCTTGCAGAATCTTTGGGAACTGGCTGGCAGTGGAATTCTCCAAGTCAGGTGAAATCATTGTCTCTCATGTATCAAAATTGCTATTTCGGATGGACAAACTGTTTTTTCTAACACATCTCTAGGACTCAGCTTAAAAAAAATTATGTCAATAGCTTTATTGGCTCCAGATCAGCAAAAGAAAAAAGGGGGCAGAAAGCTCTGCCTTTCAACAGAGCAATCAAAAATGCTGAACCTGTCTTCCCCTGAAGACTTATTTATGGCTTTCTTTTCAGAATTCTTTCCTTTGGTGGTTAGACATGCACAGAGTCTTTGAAGTGGGCGAGACATGTTTTCTGCATGTGTGAGCAGCTGTTTCCCTGCAGGGCTGGTTTGGAAGCAGGTTTTTCTTATGACTTCTAGTCATCCACTGAAAGGTCTGTCATGGGATTTTGCACGGGACTTGGTCATGGTGGACAAATAAGAGGATTGTAGAGGTGACTCTTCATCCCCACTGTGAAGTGATGGTCTTCAAATGCTCCTCTCAGGCGACACCTTTTGAGGCTCTGGAATGCCCCCCAGAGGGTATGATTCCACCATTCCTCCTGTGTGCTCCCACCTTGCTCCTGTATCAGAAGCTGCATCAATATCAGCTATGCACATGATAAATCGAAAGCAAAGCTGCAGTGCAAACATCACTGGGGTGGCTTTCCTGTCACGCCCAGGATCCCAGCGCCAGCATCCAAGCCTGACTGGGTGATGTGTCCATCCCATCGTAACTGCACAATGATCGTTCCAGTCTCTGCTTTTCTTCTAAAAGCAAAACCTACCCTTCCACGGTTACGTGTTCATTAAATGAGACAACACAGAAAGTAAGGATAGGCAATGCACAGAAAGCACTCAGTAAACTCTCTTGTTATCACTGTCATGATCGCATGTTGGTCTAAGCAGGGCTTTCAGACAAATAAAGGCCCGAAAGACTGCGTCAGTCATTCACCCATATTTCAATCTCTGTCTCACTCTCCTGTCTTAGAAAAGAATAAACCTCCTGTGGTTCTGGGTCCCCTGTGGCTACCTTACTATCTCTTTCCTTACAAAGTCAGTATCCAGGAGATTTACGTCGTTGACATTTCCTCTACTTCCCCTCAACCTGTAACCCCCCCACTGTCAGGCTGTGCCCCCATCAGCGCTCTAGACCCTGGCTTCCTGCCATGGTCAAGCCCAGAGGCCTCGTTTGAGGCTTTGGATCTGCCGGGTTCAGTAGGGTGTCCAGCTGTGCAGAAGGCTACAGAACATTCCAAATGTGGCCGCTGGGCACCAAGGAACGGAATTTTTAATTATTTTACATTTAAAAGCAGATACTTTATTCAGTTATTGAAAAACCTTTAAGTACAATTGGAACCACTTGCATCTGTGAATGTAGTTTTTCAACTGTAAATTGTATAAACTGTAAATACAGATCAAGCATTTCTGATGAAAATCTGGTGTCTGAATTGAGATGTGCTATAAGTGTCAAATGTGATACCAGGTTTCCAAGATTTGGTTCCAAAAAAAGAATGTAAAATATCTCGATTTTTTATATCTTCATTACATTTTGAAATCACAGCATTTTGGCCGTATTGGGTTGAACAAAATATATTATTAAAATGGATTTCATGTTTTGGTTTTCTTTTTAGGGTTGCTGCTTTCAAGCAACGTTGGTGGCTTGCATTTTATTTCTATCGTTCTGTGCTGCAGTGGGCATTTGCTCCTGGAAATTCTTTGGCTTCTGAGCTCCAGGCTCTCCTGCCGCCTCTCCCACCCCAGGCCTTTCTGCTTTCCCTCTGTATACTGGTGGCCTCACAGCCGCTCCTCAGGGCTGTGCTTCCAAGAGTCCTGTCCTTGCACTTTTTCTCTGTCATATGGTACATCTTGCTGTGAGACTCCCCTGTTGCTTTTTGCTTGTGCACCAACTTCTAACGTCTGCCTGAACCTTTCTGCAGACAGTTGCAGCACAATCCTCTCTGACACCAAACTCAACACGCTCCAGGTCATTCCATCCCCTTCCTGCAGAATCCTCATCCTCTTTCTGATTGCTGTCCCTCTGAACTGTGTCCAAATCATTCCTGCTAGAAACTGGGGGCAGCCTAGAGTCCTCCCTTACTCTCATGTCCAGCATCTCAACAGATACGGATCCCACAGCTTCTCTCCAGTAAATACAATTCAATCAGCACCCCTCTGGTCTGCACCAGGCATGAGCCACGTCCCCATGACCCCCTGTCCTCATGGCCTCCTGTCCCCATGACCTCCTTTCCTCATGACCTCCTGTCCCCATGGCCTCCTTTCCCCATGACTTCCTGTCCCCATGGCCCCTGGTCACTATGGCCTCCTGTCCCCATGGCCGCTGGTCACCATGGCGTCCTGTCCCCATGGCTGCCCTGTCCCCAAGGCCCCCCTGTTCCCATGGCCTTTTGTTTCTATGGCCTCCCTGTCCCCTAATCCCCTGTCCCCACCCTCTCTCCTTGTCAGCCAGTCTCTAGGTCTAGGCAGAGGAAGGTTTGCAACCTGACAGGCTCACCTGCTTAATTTTCTTCAGTGGTGTGCATTTATTAGGAAGATTGCTAAATGCTTCTTGATATGTTAGGCATCCTGCTTGAAACCTGAAGAGGGAGACACTAGGGCACAGAAGCATAAGGTACAGTCCTCATTTTCTTCCTGTTCCTCAGGACAGTACAAAGGCCCTTTGTCCACTTCTCCATCTCACATTCCCTTTCAGTCCACTCCAAGCTCCCTCTGTGCCAACAGGTGTCCCTGGCAGTGAGCTGCTCCATGCTGTGACCCAGCCTCCCATCCTGCCCACCGGTCACCTCCACCTCACTCCTCCCTGGCATCTATACAGATCCTCCACCCATGTAGGGCGGCACCCTCTCTCTTCTGTGCCCCTCTGAACCACGTGGCGCCTCTGTCACATTACCTGGTAACTGACTGTCCCTGGGTCTTACCAGCCTGGCCTCAAACCACATTGTATTAAGATTAATGTTCAAATCATGGCCAGACTGCATGGTCTCAACTGGGGACTCAGCTGCCCCGGCATCCCTGTTGGCTTTCTGAGAGGTTGGCTCTCTGAGAGGCTGGCTCCAGAGCTGGGGCTCAGGTCCATGTTCCTCTCCCCGGACCCCTGAGATGCCTCACCCTGGCCTCTGCCAGGAGGAGTGTGGCCTAGGAGTGTTGGGGGCATTAAGGGGTTCATTGTTTGCAAAGAATTAAAAACACAATGATAAAAACTAAAACCAACTCGAGGTTCGTCTGCTTTCTAGTATCACCCTCCTCTGGCAACTCTAAACAATGGCAGAGAGAGAGAGCACTGCTCCCCACCCCCAGGGTGGCCTCTCCCACTGCAGCCCCTGCCCCCTCAAAGCATTTGTCCTAGCCACTTATCCCACCATCTTATCATAATTGCTGGTCTACTTCTCTACCTCACCTACTAAACCATATTATTTTAAGGGTAGAGGCTAGATTTTTATATTTATTTTCTCAGGGCTTAGCATAATCTACAATAAAGAACGTATTAAAAAACTTATTGAATTAATATATTAATAGATTTTCTCATTTATCAGAATATCATAAGCAGGAAATTCTTTGTCAACTAATCGAGTGGTAAGAAGACAGTAGGAATTTATTTAAAATAATCTTGCATTATTCTAAGGTTACTAGAGTGCCAGCCAATGTTTTACACTTTTGTTTTACGGTATAGGAAAGGGATTATTGCAAGCAGAATGTGAATTTGAAGTCCTTCAGGATTCTGATCAACAGCAAGAGCTTTAATGAATGCATTCATTAATATTTCTTACTTAGCATGTGCTAGGGCTTGGGCTATAGAGTAAAGTGGGAAAATGGACCTATGTATTTTATTGAGATTTCAGCATTGACAGTAGAATTATTCTGGTGAATACTGAACTTATAAGAAAGTCCAACTAAGCAGATGTGGAATTTTGCAGGCATTTCCCAGGATAAAGTGACATATTCCCCTCCCTCCTGGTGAAGCTTCAGCTCCATTAATCATGACCACTTGGACACTTCAATGAACTCATGGAAACAGTCACTGCCATACTCTGAGGAGGTCTATTGATTTCTAGGTGCCTTTGCAATTTGTGACAGAGATCAGACAGTTTTCAGCCATCTGCACAGATTCTATTCATCCCTCTGTGTGTGTGTGTCACATGCGTGCACAGAAGAAAGGCTTGCCAAGTTTATCAACCAGAGTCTTTAAAGATCACGTGAAAGTCTTGTTTTCTTTTCAAGGAGAAGCCTCTGGTGTCTGGTGCCTTTGATCTGGGCATGAGACGGCCTTGCCTTTGTGTACAGTGGAGGTGAGTGACCATCCAAATTACGCAGATGAACTTACTGAAATTGTGGAAGGTGTAGTAGTTAATTTGGTTTAATGATTTACAGCCATGCTTTTGAATATTAAAAGGTCGTTTGCTTTGAAAGTCTGCCTACAGTTTCCTAGATCAGTGGAAGAGCATGAATCTCAGTTTGTCAATATTGCAAGTGTGTTTTGGGGCAAGATTTGTTCACTGGGCAAGAAATAAGGATTATTTTAGTCATGTACACATATCTCTACGAACATTCATAAAAGTTGGTGTGAAATAGGATGCATAGAACATGTTAAAGAAGTCCTATTTGGCTTTAATGTGCAGACTTGGACCTTAACTCAACCCTGGTGTCCATCTTTCTTCCGTGGAGTTTTTCCTTCCAGGCTGAAGCTGTGATGTGAGCTTCAGGGGGCCTGAGCAAGGGCCCACAGTCAGAGTGCTGGCCCTCACTGTGGCAGATGGGGCGAATACTTACACAGTCAGGCGCGGCCTAGCCACAGCAGTGCCTTTGGAGATAAGCATCCATAGGCGATTTCATCATTGTGCGAACATCGCAGGGTGCACTGACACAAACCTAGTGGGTGGAGCCCACTACACACCGAGGCTGTGTGGTGTGGCCCATTGCTCCTACGCTGGAAACCTGTGCAGCATGAGATGGTACTGAGTACTGCAGGCCATTGTAATACAGTGTTTGTGTGTCTACGTGTATCTAAACATAGAAAAGCTACCATAAAAATATGATATAAAACATAAAAAATAGCAGTGAGTGGTGAGTGAATGTGAAGGCCTACCACATGATGTACATCAGGGGTCCCCAACCCCAGGGTCAAGGACCAGTACCAGTCCGTGGTCTGTTAAGAACCGGGCTGCACAGCAGGAGGTGAGTGGAGGGCAGGCATTACTGCCTGAGCCCCACCTCCTGTCAGATCAGCTGCAGCATTAGATTCTCATAGAAGCACAAACCCTATTGTGAACTGTGCATGCAAGGGAACCAGGCTGTGAGCTCCTTATGAAAATCTCATGCCTGATGATTTGAGTTGGAACAGTTTCGTCCTGAAATCATCCCCGCGCTGGTCTGTGGAAAAATGATCTTCCATGAAACCAGTCCCTGGTGCCAAAAATGTTGGGGACTGACCGCTGATGTACATGACTGTAGACTTTATATACACTGTATATAAAGTGTATATAAAGTATACTTGGGCTACACTAAATTTATTTTAAAACCTTTTTCTTCATTAATAAATTAAACTTAGCTTACCATAACTTTTTTACTTTATAAACTTTAAATTTTTTTTAACTTTTTGACTCTTGCAATAATACTCAGCGTAAAACACAAACACATTGTACAGCTGTATAAAAATATTTATATACTTATTCTATAAGCTCTTTTCTATTTTTAATTTTTTTTTGGCTTTTAAAAGTTTTTTGTTAAAAACGAAAGCACAAACCCACACATTAGCCTAGGCCTACACAGGGGCAGAATCATCAATATCACTGTCTCTACCGGAAGGTCTTCTGGGGCAATAACTTTCACGGAGCTGCCGTCTTCTAGAATAACAATGTCTTCTTCTGGATACTCCTTGAAGAACCTGCCTGAGCCTACTTTACAGCTACCTTTTTTTTCTTTTTTTGGTAAGTAGAAGGAGTACACTCTAACAATAAAAAGTATGGTAAATACACAAACTAGTAACATAGCCATTTACTATCATAATTAAGTATAATGTACTGTACATAATTGTACGTGCTAGGCTTTTATAGGGCCAGCAGTGCAGTAGGTTGGTGAGCAATGGACCATGATATCAGGACGGCAATGATGTTACTAGGCAAAAGGAATTTTCCAGCTCCATTATAATCTTATGGCACCACCATCATCTGTGCAGTCTGTCATTGGCTGAAATGTCTTTATGCAGCACGTGACTGTATGTTTGTGTGTGTGTGTGTGTGTACAGGGTAGTGGGTCATGTAGCTAACTTTTCATCTGAGGTCTGGTTTCACATAAGCAGCCTGAGGTGGCTTGTGGCCAGGCTGGTGAGTCCTGGTGCTAGTCGGGTCCCAAAGGTACTATGACTGAAGTCTCCATGGGGTTCTGTTAAACTGGGTCAACTTAGCTAAGCTGGGAGGATCTTTGCCATGTCAGCGTTCATCACAGGAGATATCTGAGGGCCTTGGAAGGGGTGAGTAAGGAGCAGGTCTGAGCAGGGCAGGTGCTGCTGCCACTCAAGTCCCAGGTGGCCCGCCTCAGGCCGCAGCAGCTCCAGCTTCCCGAAGGTCGTCCTTCAGCTTCGGCAAATCCTGCAGGTTGCCCGCATCACAGGCTGATGAGAGGCAGTGAGAGACGCTTGTTGATGTGGTTTGGATATTCATCCCCTCTAAATCTCACGTTGAGATGTACTCCCCTGTGTTTGGAGGTGGGGACTGGTGGGAGGTGTTCGGGTCGTGGGGGTGGATCCCTCATGGCTTGGTGCTGTCCTCACCACAGTGAGTGAGTTCTCTCAGAGATCTGGTTGTAAAAGTGTGTGGTGCCTCTCACCACTCTCCCTCTCTTGCTCTTGCTCTCACCATGTGACATGCCTGCTCCCCCTTCACCTTCTGCCATGAGTCAAAGCTCCCAGTGGCCTCCTTAGAAGCCGAGCAGTTGCTGGTGCCATGATTGGCAGAACTGTGAGCCAATTAAACCTCTTTTCTTTATAAAATACCCAGTCTTGGGTATTTACTTATTGCAACTTATTGAACTGCCTAACACGCATGCCTTCTTACGCTGTTGGTCTTCCCACTTCATGTTCATCGTGCTTTCCTGAGGGCTGGCCTTGCTGAATCCCACCGAGCACCAGATTGGAGGTACCAGACCCACACAGACACCTCATTCCACTCCCATGAGGGAGGAAGGGCCATTCTCTGCAATAGATCCCTACTCGACACCACTTGAAGTGGTTCTGCAGCCTGGAGTGAGCCCTGGCTGAAACACACTTCAGCTGTTTCTGAGAAGCAGGATGGTCTGCTCTCCTCTCTCCTAGGGATGAGGCACAGGAGGGCAGGCTCTGGCACAGGAGGCTGGAGGGCAGGCTCTGCGATGTGGGGAAGTAAGACATAGCTGTGGTGGTCTCTGAACCGTGCGTGCAGTAACAGGAAGATTGTGGGCACAGGTCTCCTTTGCAGGATTTTAGAAATAGGCAGGCTCTGCTCTTTCTCCAAGAGTCACATTGCTGTAAGGCAGAGGAATAAAACCACTTCTCGGCAGCTCCTGATGGGACACAGCCATGGCCATGGAGCAAGGTGATGAACGAGGCAGAAGCGCCCAGCTGAAGCCCTAGCGCCATCCACCTCCCACTGCAAGCATGTTGACCTTTGACAGCTGGCTTTATCTCTACTGCACAGTGAAGGATCATATTACAGAAATAGCAATGCCTATGCCACTTGGCTGTTTGGATGATGAAACAACATGATTTTTGCTTAAGTGCCATGTAATCCACACAGTGTTACACACATGTTATTTCTATTCATGTGGCTATTAAAACAGTTAAGCTTTGGATTTGCTCTTGTCTGTTTCCAAGAACACTGCAGAGGGAGAGAAATCAGTGAGTTGAAAATCAAACCACTCTCAAAACAGCTCAAGAAAGCAACCACTTTGTCTTCTACTATTTGGTGGTGGTGCATGCATGCTTCTGTCTCCTTCCCAGCCAGGCCATGCCCGGATGAAACTGCAGCAACAGGAACCTGCAGAAATCTGCAGGCAGGGATGACATAAAATAGATCCGTGTGTCCGCAGCAGAGAGCTTCTCCACCTTAGAGTCAAAGAAACTACTTTCTCCCAACCCAGTGCCATGGGAAAAAGAATGGGATTTGTTATTTTTAAATCTTTTAAAAGATTTAAAAACCAAATTCAACTGGGATCCTGCATGGGAATTTCTACTAGGATATATTTCTTGAAGACTTGTTGTCATTGCATTACCGTTTCAAAACAGAATAGTTCATAAACATCTCCTGTGCAGCATTGAACCCTTCTCATTTTAGAGGTGTCCTGGGAAAAGTTTGACATTTAACAGGGAGGGCTGTGATTTGAAGTCTTTAGGTCAGCACCCCAGAGCATGGAATTTTTTTGGTGACTGTATTTTCAGACAGGTCTAGTAAAAATCATTCTTATTTTTAAATGTCCTCTGTCTGTGGCGGGAGCCTTGTCTTTCAGAGTAGGCACAGTGATGTCTAGCTGTCACCATGGTCACAGTTTCATCCAGGCATGGGCTGGCTGGGAAGGAGACAGAAGCATGCATGCACCACCACCGAATAGTAGAAGACAAAGTGATTGCTTTCTTGAGCTGTTTTGAGAGTGGTTTGATTTTCAACTCACTGATGAGCTGGTTTGCAAAATGCTGAGAGCAGGGGAGACAGACAGAGAGCAGAGAGAGCACAGGTTAGGGTGATGGCTCCAAAGGCTGTGGGAGAGTGGGATTGTTACTGAAACACCAGGGGTTTGGTCTAGGTCCTGTTGCTTGCCACACAGAAAGCCAATCACTGAGACAAGTATTGCCGGGGAAGGCAGCTTTATTCAGATGGTACAGTCAAGGAGATGGGAGATCAGTCTCAAATCCATCTCCTAAACTGACTAAAATTAAGAGTTTACATAGCGGGGAAGAAACGTAACTACTTATGGGAAAACAGGAATTAGGGAGGGGTAAGGAAGAGGAGTTAGTCAACAGGCAGCAGGTGGTGGGTTATGCAATCATGATGGGTGAGGGGTCTGGTGTCTCATTGTCCTGATGCTGTGATCTGGAAAGTTTCAGTTCCTTGAAACTATCTGTGAGCGCTGATGGTTGCTTTCCTGAGAAAGGAACTCAGATAAGACAAATGTAACTTTCTAGTTTTAAAACTAGAAGGACCAATTTCTATGCTTATTCAAAAGAAACCATAAACATCAGTTCTATGGAACAACTGGGCTGGTTTCAGGATTAGGGGATGGGGCCCTGTGGGTGCTCCCTGGAGGGGTGAGGTCATCAGGTGAGGGAGGCTGCTGGCACAGACCTATGCTGTGTGTGTACTCCAGCACCCACCCTCTCAGGACATCCTGAGCCCAGGCATGGCTACAGCTGCTCCTCCCAACGGGGGTGGGACCCTCTCCTAACTCTGGCTGGGGGTCAGGCAGGTGGACTGATGCCCTCGGAATGGGACATGGCTGCAGAGGAAGCACATTTTCCCTTTCAGTTCAGAGCTATCCGAATGGAGAGTTCTTCAGGGATGTCACAGTCCTGGTAAACTCTGAGGCAGGACTCTAAAGACCCCAATATTTTGCTTAGTATCCTCAGTGTAGCTGAGCCCTGATTGGTTAATACAACTGAGCCCTGATTGGTTGATACAGCTGAGCCCTGATTGGCCAAGGCAGCTGAGCTCTTGGCCAATGATTGGTTGGTTCAGGTGAGCTCTGGTGTCCCAAAGTTGAACAGAGGTGTTGGTTTTGGGGACCTCCAGAGTATGTGTGTGACTCCTCATCAGCAAATAGCTGCATGTCTCTATTTTATATTTAGGCCCAGTCAGCCACTTTGGATCCACCTTCAAGGACTGGCTCTTTCAGGTTCACATTTGTTAGCACCATTTTAAAAATTGGTTCACAAGCTCAGTGTAAGGGGTCAACCCATGGCAGCCACTAACCTTTTTACTGTATCCATAGATTTGCCTTTTTCAGAATGTCATATCATTGGAATCATATAGCATGTAACCTTTTCAGATTGGCTTATTTCACTTACCAATATGCATTTAAGTTTCCTCCACATCTTTTCATGGCTTGATAGGGCATTTCTTTCTAGTGCTGAATAATATTCCATTATCTGGCTGTACTACAGTTTATTTATCCATTCACCTACTGAAGGACATCTTGTTTGCTTCCAAGTTGTGGCAATAATGAATAAAGCTGCTCTAAACATCTGCGTACAAGTTTCTGTGTGAACATATGTTTTCAACTGTTTTGGGTAAATACCAAGGTGCACATTGCTGGATCGTATGGTAAGACTGTTTAGTTTCATAAGAAAGCACCAAGCTGTCTTCCAAAGTGGCTATACCCTTTTGCATTCCCACCAGCAATGGAAGACAGTTCTTGTTGCTCCACATCCTTGTCAGCATTTGGTGTTGTCGTGTTCTAGACGTTGACCATTCTAATAGGTGTGCAGTGGGATCTCACTGCTGTGTTAATTTGCATTTCCTGATGACATGTGATGTGGAGGATGTGCTTATTTGCCATCTGCATCTCTTCTTTCATGAGGTGTCTCTTCTTGAATGTTTTTAACTCCGGAAAGAAAATTAGTACACCATGAAATTCTTTTCTTTTTCTCCAAAACAAAAAACGACCAAAGTAAAAAAAAAAAAAAAAAAACAAGCAGACCAAAACATGACACTCCTTTAGCCCAGCTCATTATACTCACTCCTAAATACAGAACAGAATATCTGGGAAGGGCTGGGTAGGAGAGGTACCTGGGGGCCTGTGAACGTTGTTTTGCCCCTTTCCTGTGAAACTAAATCTCTCCCAGAGCCCATAGGGAATGAGGAGAGGGGAAGAAAGTTCTGATTTTGGCTTTTTGCATGGGAGCTGGACAAAATCCTGCCAAGGGCCACTTCATCTAAGGATGCTTCTTAAAGGAGAATTTGGTTCTAGGACTAGTGGCCACTAGGAACAGGTTGATAAGGCACAGGAATAGAATGGTCAGATATGGATTATCTCACAGTCATTGAGGACTTACTACATGCTCAGCATGTTGGTAAATGCTTCTCATTGGATTCTCACTGCAACCCCCACATAGTAGGCACTGTTATTTCTCTCTTTCTTGCCACGTGGGCTGGTACATGTTGAATTTAGATGGAGCGGAGCCTGGTATTTGGCCTTGCTTACAGTCTCCTGGTCTAGGTCGCTCAGACTTGAACAATATGAGCGAACAGGTTCTTGTTTGGAAGGCGTGGCTTTAAGACTACCCAAGGCTTGTGGCTCTTAAAGAATATAAAGTGAAATGACAAGACAGCATCCCATGCAAGGCAGGCAGCTACTACACAGCTGAATAAATTGCCAGGTTGTATGCGTAGTGGAACCCTTGAGAAAATCCCATCACCATCCTCACATCTGATAATTGAGTCATATTTGCAGAGATGGTAGCTCACTTTGAAGTGGCTTTGCCATCAGGTTCCTGGGTGGATAAAATTGTATCAGAAGATGAGTCAGCATTCTTCCTCTCCTCTAGTGAAAACAGAAACAGCGAACTCTTAAATCTCTGTTCATTCCTTCTTTCCCAGGCTGGGGGAGAAGGTGGAAGCTTCCTTTAGTCTTACCGTGTGATGTGATCTGCTGTGACATCTGGCAGTGCCTGCAGTAAAAGAAACAGCTGGGAATGGTCATGTCCTGTTTTCTGGATGATATAATGCAGGCTAGAAGTCTATGTCCATCAACTATCAGTCACCGCCTCTGAGACACTGCACGTGCAACTAATTAGCTAGACCAAGAAGTCTCCAAAGACCTGGATTCAGAAACCAAACTCCCCTTGATTACGTGGGCCATATTCCTGGTGGCTGGACTTCATTAACCTTGGCTGTGTTCAGCTATGGAGGCCTCTGATCGAGTCAAGATATTTTGCTGCCTAGTTGTTGCTGATTTGATTCAGGTTTTTATTACTTTACAAAGGCAATGCTTATCCCTGTGGGTGATAAGAAACCAACAAGGCCCAAGCTGCCAGCATTGGTTTCCCCTGCCTCTAAACCAGCATGCTCTATTTGGGTGTTTATTACGGGACTTTGGACTGCAGATGGAATTGCAAGTGCTCCCTGCTCAGGGAACTTGCCCTCAGAGGGAGAATGCAGGCCTGCATAAACCCCAGGAGATCCATTGAGGAGACACCTAAAGCAAGTCCAGTGATGGTGTGACAGGATGATGCTGTGATGCTCATGGTGAGACGGTGGGGCAAGGGCCCCAGGCAAGTGAGAAGGCCCACTGAAGGCCTCGCTTTCCACTGCTCTCCCTCCTGCTTTTCAGCAGCCTCTTCTCAGCTTGCCTGGGTCTCTCTTTTCTTCTGCTTTTTCTGCTGTGCTCTTTCTCTAACTTTCCTGGCCCGTGATTTCTGTGTACTCTTTTCTCCTTCTCCAGGCAGAACTTGTGGTGTGCCACCCTCTGGGAGGCACAGGACCTGTCTGATGTGGCTCCTGTACTCGGGATGGCCAGCTGCCCTCTTCCCGCCTGTGGGCAGGTCCTTCCGCAGCCAGCCGGAGAGGGCAGTCTCAGGCCCTGTCACTTCTTTGTAACTCATGATCAAACAGGTTCTGTGAGGATTAGGGAGGCACCCAGCTTTGTGTTATAATTACTAATCCTTTGTTTTCGTAACATTGGGAGAATGTTTTTTTGTTTGTCTAGATGGTTGATTCTAAATAGCTGCAGAGCTCGTGGCAGTAAGGTTAAATGTCACTCATGACTCATTGGTGCCCCGTGTGTCTGCAGGTGTCAGTCACTGCTGTTTGAAAAGCTGGGGTCCCGCAGTGCTCGGCTGTCCTCAGCTCTGGCCACTGTGATAATGACCTGGTGAGATTTGGAAATTACCGATGGCTGGTCCCACCCCCAAGTTTGATTTAATTGGTTTGGATGATGGCCTGGGCATCAAGATTTTAGAAATCCCTCCTGGTGCTTCTTACAATGACGAAGGAAGCCAGTGCTCAGACTCTATGAAATCAGCGAAGGCTGGAGGCCAGGAAGAGCCAGGGGCCCGAGGCAGCAGCATGAGTTCACATTCCCTTCAGCTGCACTGTTCTCTCAGATGGTCTCACAGTCTTGCTTCCCCAGGAGATGGAAACCTTACTCTTCCTCCCTCATTTATTCACTCAGCAAACATAGGTAGAGCCCTTAATAAGTGTCAGGCATTAGGGAGACCCATGGAGGGGACACAGAGGCTGTTTTCACAAGACTTACAGGGTGGCATGGGAATGCAGCTTTGTAAACAGGTGATTTCAGCACCCACCGTGAGTCTCAATAGAGACCATGAATCTGCACAGGGCAAGGAAGCGCTCACTCAGCATACGTATGTTAGGGGCAAGTTATAGAATGGTTTTTAGAGTTACAATCCTTATTTAATGGTGAAGAGAGTTGAGGGGTTTGGACCAAGTTGTGTGCTCTTGGTTACCAAGGTGAAAGAGCGACAAGGCGTTTGTTCACCCGAGCTCTATCCCCATATGGGTTTGAATCTGCTTCTCCGTCACAGCTAAGGAAGTGTCCTACCATTTGCATTCTGAGAGGTAAGATAATACCTAGAGAATGAAAGCATTTCCAGCTGCTGCCCCCATGGATCTGACCCTTAGTACCCACGCGTGTGCTGTGGTCATGGCTACTGAACGTGACCAGCAGTGTCAGGATCACCTGGGAGCTTGTCGAAAATGTAAATTCTGAGGCCCTCACCTGAGACTTACTAAATTGGAATCTCTGGGGGTGGGCCTGGGGATCTGTGTCTGATGAACTCTTGAGGTGATTCTCATGCCTGTTAATGTTTGAGAAGCCCCACTGGAGGTCACTGGGTCAGCTCCTGATAGGTGGATGCAGGAGGTTGCTCTGTTATTCCCAATTTTCCACCCACTTTAAATCCATACCCTTTGCCATGTGACTCTGTAGTTCCTCCGACCAGAATAGAAGTATCTGCCCCTTTTCTGACAGTGCTGGGCTGACAGGTGGACTGTGGGAGAAGGGGATAGTGTCCTGCTGATGTTGAGCCTAGACCTTAGGAGACATTGGATGTCTCTGCTTGCCCCTCCAGGAGCTTCCAACTTCTGCATGGAAAAAAAAATGCTGCAGGTAACTGCTGTCTCTTTCCCCTGTGCCCCAGAATGAACGCATGTGGAGCAGAGCCTCCCAGCTGACCTGTAGACCTATAGCCCAGAGCAGAACTTCCCTAGCTGACCTGAAGATCTTTAGGCATGAGAATAAATGCATGGTACTGTTTGCCACTGGCATGGTTTGTTACGCAGCAATAGCTGACTGACCCAGTGGTAGGGACAGGGACAGGTTTTGTAGGCCTAGACAGACAAGAGCAGTGCCCAGGTGTAAGGCTATTGGCATCAGGAAGTCAGGCCAGCAGCCTAGGTTCGATAATCAGAGACTCTATGTAGTGTGGCCCTTTACCTTGGCCTCCTGAGTCCTCAGCAGCTGGTCCTAAGCTCTATGCCTGATTCTCTTGGTATTACCTGTTCAGATCCCTGGGAGAATTTGATTAACGATGCCATAGATCACAGAAGCCACGTTATCTCTCACTTGAATTATTGCAAGCACCAAATAAGAACAATGGCTACTAGGTGAACTGATAGCTTAATGGTTTGAGGAATTAAACAAGTTGGCCACAATAACCATTCCAGTTTCTACCTGGTGGAAGACTTTGTCAGTGGAGCCAGAAAAACGCCTGGAGCTAAGGTGCTTCTCTGAGGACAGGTCTTGGCTAGGTAGTGGCTGCCTCTGCTTTTGGAACGCTCCTTCCCCTGTGCTTTCAGGGCTGGCTTGTTGAAGCAGTCAGGATAGGGTAGGCTCTGCTGCTGTAAAAAACTGTGACATCTCAGTGATTACCAGAAACAAATTTATTCCTTGCTTGTACCACAATCCAAGGTGAGTCAGGTATCTCTCTTAGTGGCTCTTCTCCAGGGATGATTCAGAGACCCACGATGCTTCCAGCTTCCACTCTGCCATCTGAGCGTTCTCTAATCTCAGCTGCACAGATGAGAGTGTGGGGAGCATGCCCCTGGCTGTACTGCCCTGGCCAGGGATAGCATCACTCCTGCAGAGTGTGCAGGAAGAGGACTCAAGCATAGGGTCCACAACCAGCTTTAAGGCAGCAAAGAAAGGTGTTTTTCTGTGTTTCTGGGAAGAGGAAGCAGTGTGGGGAACAGAACATTGCTTCTGTTATTCCTGTATTTAAGGTAACATTGTTTCTCTTCTATGGGTTCACTAGACATTTATTTCACCCTTTAGCTCTTAGAGGGCAACATTATTTCCAATAAGGTAAGTAATAACCACCAACGGACTCTAGAGATAAATAAAAACTGGGCTTGATGAAGGAGTAAGGAGTGGAACCCGACAGTTCCTTGCAATGACAAACCCTGGAGGGAAGAACACTGAGTGAGAAATATTTGTGGATAGGCACAGATTTGTATGCAAATCATTGAGATTATTTTTGCTAAATATATTAGAATTTTGAGTTAAATGGCAGGAAAGAGGCCCAGTGTGGCTCATCTGTGTTAGCAGTTTGCATTGCCTTATGAGTCTCTTCATCTTGGCATTTCAGATTGTTACATGTTGAAGGAGACTTAGAAATTATTAAATCGAAATCATTTCATGCTAAATGCAGGGAACCGAGGTGCAGTGTAGTGGAATACAGCGAGCCTGCAAAGCAGGGTGCCAGGTCGCCTGACCACCAGTCCAGTGCCCTCTTCACCACCTGCTCCGTGCAAGGAGGGTTCCTGCCAATCATGTCCCAGGGCATTGGTGAACCTGAGGGCTTGTGCTTTCTTCTGATTTTGAGTCATTGGATGCAAGCAAACCTAAGAGAAGTGGGTGGTGGTGTTTGATGCCTCCTCACGGCACCCCCCAACAACTGCCACATTAGAAAACTCTTCTGAGCCTGCCGTGTGGCCCTGGTGGAAGCAACATGAAAGCTTCTAATAACAGCCTTGGGGAAAAGCACTCTGCCAAGGTGTCTTTGTGTCCTTTTTGGGGCGTTTGATGAGCTTCCTTTGCTTTACATATAGCTTTCCAGGAAGAGGCAGATGCGCTTCTCACCACAGAGCTATTAATACCCCAAGCCAAGCACTTAAAGGAAAACATCAACCAAGTGTTTAGCCATGTAGTTGGGCGGGGGTTGAAAGAGACAGAAGGAGGGAGAGAGCAAGAACAGGTGCAGGGGTTCATTTCAATGAAGGAAAATACAACAGGAAAGGAATCCAGTGCTGCTCTGTTGTGTTTCTAAAGTTCACATGAATTGAATTTTCTGTGGCCCACCAGGTGATATTAAACGTAGCTTTCTTGGATTAGATAATAATTAGGAAGCGTGTTGGTAATAATTAGCAGCAATTTGCCAATCACTAGGGGCCAGCTGGCCCTAGCTCCCTGCTGCTAATTCGGCAGAGTGGCCGTCCGCTCTAAGCAGGCCTTTAAGGCAAGGTGCTGTTTTAGGAAGACAGTCGGGGACAATTCCACAGTGGAAAATCTCTGGTTCTATGAGCATCCAAGGTTGAAATAAGTGTAGGCTTATTTCATTTGGGAAGCTTAATTAAAAAGTAAAAAATGTCCTTTCTTCTACAACTGGAAACTTTAACATGAGGAAGAAAAGGGGCTTCTTTCTTCTTCCCTCTTCTTCTTCCTTCTCCTTCTTTTAAAGATAGTAAGGAAAACTACCACTGTTTCAGGTTTGGAAGCTAGTCTTTGGTTTTATACTAAATGAAACCTGTTAACAGAGCAGATGAGTGTATTTTAAATGGAATCTGTTAAACCAACATAGTAGACACATCCCTTATTTTCGCATGTGTTTGGGTTTGAAGTCCATGAAGCTGGGCAGGGGGGTGATGTGCGAACATTGGGAGAGGTCAGGAATTCAGCTGCTGGGGAAGAGGCTGAGCCACAGGAAGCTTAGATACACGTGTGTGTACTGTGAGCTGGAGCCAGTAAGGGTTCAGAGCTGGGGAGTGGGGACTGCAAAGAATGCAGATGGGGCCTGGCCCACCCTCCAGGGTACATCCACATTTCTGAGAAACGCTATGCCAGGGGAACATTAAGAGTGAGGGGGCTATGTTTTCAGAGGTTACTTCAGACCTTGGGTATGTGGGGAGGTGAGGCAACAAAGACTGAGAGATGTCAGCCAATGAAAAAGTGTAGTCACCTCTCAGAAATACACCCCCTGCAGTATTTTAGAGACAATGTAGAATAGATGCCCAAAGTAAAGATAATCCCAGAGTGGAGTATATTCAGGCTGAGCAATACCATGTAGAGCGGGGTCCCCACCCCCGGGGCCAGGAACTGGTACCACTCCGTGGCCTGTTAGGAACCAAGCCGCACAGCAGGAGGTGAGCAGCAGGAGAGCAAGCAAAGCTTCATCTGCATTCATAGCTGCTCCCCTCCCCGCCTCGAATTACCGCCTGAGCTCTGCCTCCTGTCAGATCAGTGGCAGCACTGGATTCTCATAGGAGCACGAACCCTATGGTGAACTGCGAATGCAAGGGTTCTAGGTTGCGCACTTTTTTTTGCTCTTTTTTTTGAGACAGTCTTGCTCTGTCACCCAGGCTGGAATGCAGTGGCACGATCTTGGCTTACTGCAACCTCCACCTCCTGGGTTCAAGTGATTCTCCTGCCTCAGCCTCCTGAGTAGCGGGGATTATGGGCACCTGCCACCACGCTCGGCTATTTTTTTTTATTATTGTTTTTAGTGAAGACGGGGTTTCACTATGTTAGCCAGGCTGGTTTCGAACTCTTGACCTCAAATGATCCATCTGCCTCGGCCTCCCAAAGTGTTAGGATTACAGGAATGAGCCACCGTGCCCAGCCTAGTTGCATACTTCTTATAAGAATCTAATGCCTGATGATCTGTCACTGTCTCCCATCATTCCCAGATGGGACCCTCTAGTTGCAGGAAAACAAGCTCAGGGCTCCCACTGGTTCTACATTATGGTGAGTTGTATAATTATTTCATTATATATTTCAATGTAATAATAATAGAAATAAAGTGCACAATAAATGTAATGTGCTTGAATCATCCCGAAACCATCCCCCTCGCCCCCTGGTCCGTGGAAAAATTGTCTTCCATGAAATCAGTCCCTTGTGCCAAAAAAGTTAAGGACCACTGGCTTATGGGACCTAACTCTGACTATGTGAATGCAATGTCCTGTGTTTTTTTAAAAGTAATTTGTATTTATTTTAGTTGAAAAATAAAGATTATATCTATTTATTGTGTATGACATTTTAAAATATGCATACATTGTGGGATGGCTAAATTGAGCTAATTAACATGTGCATTATCTCACATAATCTTTTTTGTGGTGAGAACACTTAAAATCTACTCTCAGCAATTTTTAAGAATACAATACCAAGTTATTAACTATAGTCACCATGTTATACAACAGATTGCTTGAACTCATTCCTCCTGTCTAACTGAAACTTTGTTTCATTTCGCCAACATCTCCCTCTCTTACTTCCTACTCAATGCCCTGTGTTTTTTTAAGGCAAGAAGTTTGGGTAGTGACTGTATATTCTGCAAAATCCCTGTGGACTAGACAGGTGAAGGCCAGTGTTGATTGGGAGCCTGAGATTAGGAGGGCAGAGACCTCCGTTCCCCTTGGATCCAGGTTGGATGGAAAGTATCAGATGTCAGGCAGATCACTGGTTTACAGCCAGCAAAATTACCTGGGGAGCTTTAGAAAGTACTGATGCTTGGATTCCATTCCAGCAAAACTAAATCAGCATCCCAGCAGGTGGGAGGGGGGCCCAAGCATCATGGGTCTTAAGAGAGCTGCCCAGTAAGGCTTGAGAAATACCCTTAGAGGGCTCAGGGGGATGGACAGTGTCTCCCCCGCCCCAAATTCATGTTCACCCAGAACCTGAGGACGTGGCCCTATTTGGAATAGGGTCCGTGAAGATGTGATGAAAGACAAGTTCATACTGGAGCAGAGTGGGCCCCAAGTCCAGGGACTGCTGTCCTTCTAAGAAGAGCAGAGGACACAGATGTGCACGGAGAAGAAGGCCGAGTGAGGATGGAGGGCGAAGGGTGGGAGCTACGGGGCCACAAGCCACAGGACAGCTGAGGCCACTGCAGGCTGAAGAGGTGAGGAAGGATCTCTCCCAAGCCTTCAACAGGAGCAGGGCCCTGCAGACACCTTGATTTCAACTTCCAGCCTCCAGAAAGGTGAGAGATGTCATTTCTGTGGTTTCAAGCCAGCCTGTTGTGGCATTTATTACAGCAGCCCTGGGAAACTGAAATGAGCAGTTTCCAATCCCTGACTATGGCCTTTCCCGAAGGGGCAAACAGATTTGTATCCAAAGACCCTCATCAAGGGCTCCCATTCTCACAGGAGGGGAGCAGAGTTCAGGCAACAGAGACTGAGATTCCCACAGTGAGGGGCACTCCAGGGGTGGTAAGGCTGCATGGATGTCTAATGAAAGATGTCCTAGTGGAAAGCGGAGACTTAGGGTCTAGTGGTGTGAGGAGTGTGACTACCGTTGGCCTCTCAGAGCAGACACAGGCACAGGCATAACTGCTCACGTGCAGTGAGGCTGACCCCGCAGAGTACGGCTCTGCACTGCGTAACAACATTTCAGTCAGTGATGGACTAAGTATACGACAGTGGTCCCATAAGATTATAATGGAGCTGAAAACCTTCTATCACCTGGTGATGTAGCCGTCATGACATCATAGCACAATGCATTGCTCACATGTTTCTGGTGATGCACTGCCAGTCATTCAAAAGTCGAGCACATGCAATTATGTACAGCACATAATGTTTGGTAATAATCATAAGCGGCTATGTTACAGGCTTGTGTATTTATTATATGACACTTTTAATCATTATTTTAGAGTGTACTCCTTCTACTTACCAAAAAAAAAAAAAAAAAAAAGGAACTGTAAAGCAGCCTCAGGCGGGTCCTTCAGGAGGTATCCAGAAGAAGGCATTGTGATCCCAGGAGATGACAGCTCCATGCATGTCACTGCCCTGAAGACCTTCCAGTGGGACAAGATGTGGAAGAGGAAGACAGTGATACTGATAATACTTCTAAAAATAGAAAAAAGCTTATAGAATAACAATGTACAGAAAGAAAATATTTTTTGTATAGCTATAAAATGTGTGTTTTAAGCTAAATGTAATGAGTCAAACAGTTAAAAATATTTAAAAGTTGATAAAGTAAAAAGTTACAGTAAGCTGTTTCATTTATTTTTGAAGAAAAAAATTTAAAAAATAAATGCAGTGTAGCCTAAGTCTCCAGTGTTTCTAAAGTCTATAGTAGTGTACAGTAATGTCCTAGCTTTCCCATTCACTCACCACTCACTCACTGACTCACCCAGGACTGCCAGCCCTGTAAACTCCTGTAAACAGATGGTCATATAGTTGCTCGTGGGGTCACCTTGTCCTTGCTCTGCCTGACTCTGTGCCCAGCTCATCTTCCTGGCTGCTGGCTCAGCTGGCCTCCCATGGTCTCCTCCTTGCTCTGTTTTTTGCTGACCCCCTTGGTGAATGGATGTTCCTGGATTCCTAGAAGCTCTGGCAAGTTCTGACTTGTAAGTTCCCTATATAAGTGTATCATAATTTTGTCTTTTATACCACATTTTTATTGTATCTTTCCTATATTTAGATCTGTTTAGATACACAAATACTCATGATTGTGTTATAAGTGTCCATAGTATTCAAGACAGTAACATGCTGCCCAGGTTTGTAGCCTAGGAGCAATGCCATACCATATAGCTTAGGGTGTTGTAGGCTGTACCATCTAGATTTGTGTAAGGGCACTCTGTTTGCACAATGATGAAATCACCTAAAGACGCATTTCTCAGAATGTATCCCTGTTGTTAAGCAATGCATGACTGTATATACTGTAAATTTCCCTCTTACCCTTCTCCAAAGGCATGTGGCAGCTATTTGTCAGGTAACTGTGCATTGAGGAAAGGGGAAGTGATGAGACTTTGAGGGTTTATTGGACTCAAAAGGCTACTATGATACATTAGCCAGAGTAGGAAATTTTTGGGGTCTGGAGTCATGGAGTTTTGACTCAGGTCTATTTCATCTTGTGCCGAGTGTGTCTCTGAACCCATCCTATGCTTACATCCCTGGTTTTGGAATATGTAACTGGAATAGACATAACAACTGTCAGACTCCCCTCATTGTTTCCCTGACCCATGGAATGACCCAAGGTCTACTATAATGGGAAGGACCAAGTGGAAGATTCTAGAGCTTCCTCTACCTCTTCAAATATTAATCCAAAAGCATTATACCCTTCCTGGAAGGACTGCAGAGATTAGTGCCACTCTTAAGAACTTGAAAGTCAGCGTTAGAGAATCCTACCATATTTCCATTTACCTTGTCTATTTGGCCTGTGCAGAAGGTAGATGGATTTTTAGGAACAAACGTGGATTACTGTAAACTTAATCTGGTGGTGAATCCAATTGCAGATGTGTATTGTTTGCACATCACCTCCAGCTGGTTTGCAGCTCTCAAGCTTGCAGATTTTCCCCACTCTTCACCTGTTGGTAAAGATCACCAGAAGCAGTTTGTCTTCAGTTGGCAGGGCTAGCAATACACCTTCACTGAACTAACTCAGGGTTATAGCAGCTCTCTGGTCCTCTGTCATAATCTAATTCACAGGGATCTTGACTGCCTCTCCATTCCATGGGACATCGTGCTGGTCCGCTCCATTGAAGATAATTGATGATATCATGCTGATTGGACCTGGTGAGCAGGAAGTGAGTTGAGGGGAAACTGACCTAGACACTTTGAAAAGACATATGTGTAACAGAGGGTAGAAATAAGTCCCACAAAAATTCAGGGGCCTTCCATCTCAGTGAAAAGGTATAGGAGTCTCATGTTCCAAGGCATTTTAAAAATCCCTTCCAAGGTGAAAGGTGAGTTTCTGTATCTAGAATCTTCTCTAGAAAGAAATGCAAAATCTAATGGGCCTTTTTTGGATCTTAAAGACAATATATACCTCATTTGGTCATGTCACTCTGAGCCATTTGTTGAAGCACCCAGAAAGGCTGCCAGTTTTGAGTGGGTCTCCTAACAAAAGAAGGCTCCGCAAGAGACGTCTCTGCAAGTTGCTCCACCACTTTGGCCATGTGACACAACAGATTCGATGACACTTGATGCGTCCCTGACTGGTTGCTATACTGTGACATTGGCAGGCTCCTATCAATGAAGCATACAGCAAGTCTTTAGGAGAAGCATAGCTCTACCATTCTCTGCAAATAACTATTTTTTCTTTTGATAAATAGCTTCTGACTTGTTACAGGGCCGTAGAAAAGACTGAACACTTGACCATAGGCCACCACATGATCCAAACTGTCCAGCAAGAATCAGGTGTTTTCTGACCAACCAACCTGTAAAATCAGGTGTGCACAGCAGCACTGCATCCTCAGGGGGAGGTAATATATTCAATGTTGGCCTTGAGCAGATCCTGAAAGCACATGTAAGTTACCCAAACAAGTGGCTCAGAGTCTCCCGGCCCCTAGTTCCGCTCAGTTGCCTTCTCTCTCTCAACTTCCGCTATGGCTCATTAGAAATTCCCTATGGCCAGTTGACTGGGAAGGAAGAACTTCAGTCTCAGTTTACATGATTTTGCATGGTATGGCCACCCAAAGATAGATAAAGCAACACTGAGACTTTGCACCCTATTTCAGGGAGAGACTTAGTGTGTCTTTTGTTGTGTGAGAGATAGTTGCACCATGTTAGGTAAAAACATTATTTTATGATCGTATTTATTTGGAAATGAAAAATGGTCAAAAGAGGTATATATGGATGGTTTTGCACTGTGTCCACTTGATCAAGCTGGAACTGTGTTTCCCAGTATCCTTGCATAAGTCTGAGTTAGAGTTGGCCAGAGGAGAAAGTTGCATGGCCTTGGAGAGGTAGAAGGTGGGAAGCAGGCATCACCCCATGAAGATGAGGTGAGATGTGATGAGAGACAGAGGCAGACACTGGTAGTGGCTAGGTTGTTCTCTCTGTTCCTCATGGACAGATGGTCATATAGTTGCTCGTGGGGTCACCTTGTCCTTGCTCTGCCTGACTGTGCCCAGCTCATCTTCTTGGCTGCTGACCCAGCTGGCCTCCTATGGTCTCCTCCTTGCTCTGTTTTTTGCTGACCCCTTTGGTGAATGGATGTCCCTGGATTCCTAGAAGCTCTGGCAAGTTCTGCCTCATGCACCAGTGCAGGTCATCATCAGAGAGTCCAATTAGTGACTCCCTCTTCTGGGCCCTTAATTCCCTAGCTTCCCCACAATTGTATACATGTTTATGCCTATTATAAATAGGAATTGTTGGTACCCTAAGCCTGGGAGGGAAGGAAAAACTCACCAAATCCCTGAAGAAAGGATGGCAAATCTGGGCCATTCTCCTGGGATACGGCAGGAATGAGGTGACTGACTTCTCACCTTTCTCACCTCTGCCACCTGGCAGGTATATGTCAGGGGAAGCCCCAACGGTCAGGTTTCAGCCTCAGTGATCGAAACCTTCAATGTTCACTGTTAGGAGACAGGCAAATTATGAACCCAACTAGAGCCACCAGGCAGCACAAGCCCTACAGCACACCCGTCTTGGTCTTCTAAGTTTGAGGAGAGTTACATAGTAACTTCAGTAATAAAATCTTGTAGAGTGGAGAGAGGAAGCTTCCAGAACATGTTAGTGGGCTGATAGTTAAGGTATAAGCCCATCTCAAGCAGCCCATATTAACTAAAACTTTAGCAATAAGCTCCTGACACGTGAGTCAAGGAGCCTTAGGGAAAACTTTTGAAACATGTGTCTGGTGTCTCTAAATGCCATGAGATAGCCATTTTTGATGTTTTACCCCCTAAATGTATGCTCATGGAGCTGAGAGGATAGTAAAAGCAGACTTCTAAGATGAATTTAGAGATATTTCTTGTCTGGACTATAAACCAAAACCCAAAAAACCCAGGATCCTATGGGGCTCACCAAAGGTTTCTAGAAGGTCTTAGTTGTGGAGATCCTTAAACATGGAACTTTTAGAAAATTAGTAATCACCATTAAATTTGGCTTTGTAGGGCAAGGGGACTTTTTAACATTTAAATCCTAGAGAGCTTAGTTACTAAACAGAGCAGGGTGCTTTTAGGATACTGATGAAATCCAGACATCTATGTTCAAATCTGGTTGTTCCTAAGACAGCCACTATTCTATTGATTGATTGATTAAGAGTGTCTTGTTCTGTTGTCCAGGCTGGAGTGCAGTGGTGTGATCATGGCTCACTGCAGCCTCAACCTCCCAGGCTCAAGTGGTCCTCCCACCTCAGCCTCTGAGTTGCTGGGATTACAGGCGCATGCCACTGTGCCTGACTAATTAATTATTATTATTTTTTGAGACAGGGTCTCCCTATGCTGCCTAGGTTGGTCTTGAACTCCTGGTCTCAAGTGACCCTTCTGCCTCTGCTTCCTAAAGTGTTGGGATTATAGGTGTGAGCCACCACATCTGGCCTACTCTCTTTAGATCAAAGTTTCCTTGTCTGCAAAACAAATAGGTTGGGCTATGACAGAGGATAGACTGATCTCCCAAGTCAGTTCTCATCAACTGGAGGTTTACAGGACTCAGGGAACTGGCGCTGAGAATGGAGGTCACCTTGGCCAGTCAAGAGCTTGTAAGTTAGTGAGAGCCAACTTTTTATATGGGGATCTTGAATGTTCAGATTTACCACTTACCACTTTTTGACTAAGCTTCAATTTCCTCAATGATAAAACGGAAATACTGTGGTAGCTACATGACATGGTGTTTGTAGGGGCTAACTCAGATGTCCAACAAATACTTAAAACCAGGCCGGGCGCGGTGGCTCACGCCTGTAATCCCAGCACTTTGGGAGGCCGAGGCGGGTGGATCATGAGGTCAGGAGATCGAGACCATCCTGGCTAACAAGGTGAAACCCCGTCTCTACTAAAAATACAAAAAATTAGCCGGGCGCGGTGGCGGGCGCCTGTAGTCCCAGCTACTCGGGAGGCTAAGGCAGGAGAATGGCGTGAACCCGGGAAGCGGAGCTTGCAGTGAGCCGAGATTGCGCCACTGCAGTCCGCAGTCCGGCCTGGGCGACAGAGCGAGACTCCGTCTCAAAAAAAAAAAAAAAAAAAAAAAAATACTTAAAACCAGTTCTGGCAAACTGGTTTTCAGCAAAAGTTAACCATGAGAGTGAGCACTTCGGAGCCCTTCCCTCTGCTTCCTGAATGCCTCTCTGTGCTCTGATGCCAGCACCAACTGGGTATGTTCGAGAAATTCTTGGATTCCAAAAGTGGAGATTTTAGTTCTGCAGGTCCAGTTTGGGAACAAGGATCTGTATTTCTAGGAAGCTCCTCAGATAATAATGATATGGAGTCTTGTTTTGAAATCCTTGCACTAGGAAACACACAGGTATACACCCATTTGCACACGCACACAATCTCACATACAGCTACTTAGTGAAGCTATTAAAATCGAGTTGCACTTTGAAGAAGATATTCCTCAGTTTTGCAATGAAATGAGTTTATGTATTTATTTACATCCCTGCCTCTTCTAAAGGATTTCATAAAGAATGCTTTATGCCAGCAATCCCCAAACTTTTTGGCACCAGAGACCAGTTTCGTGGAAGGCAATTTTTCCATGGGCCGGGGGCAGGTGAAGATGGTTTCAGGATGAACCCATTCCACCTCAGATCATCAGGCATTAGGTAGATTCTCATAAGGATTGTGAAACCTAGAACCCTCTCATGTGCATTTCACAATAGGGTATGGGCTCCTGTGAGAATCTAATGCCGTGGCCGATCTGACAGGAGGTGGAGCTCAGGTGGTAATGCTCTCTCATCTGCCCCTCACCTCCTGCTGTGTAGCCTGGTGCCGGTCTGCTGCCCGGTGGTTGGGGACTGCTGATTTACACCACACTGAGTAAGCCTCAATCAGAGGTTCCTCATCTGCCTTTCAAAAATACTCCAGGCAAGACTCACTTGGAGGAATGCAGTGGATTTGTCTGGCATCTGGACATTCCTTCCATGTCATGGCACACATCTGGTTTTTTGAGATGAGCGGGACATTTCCTGTCCAGTTTCCCTCCAGATGTTTGAGGATGTGAAGATGCAGCCCAAGGGGTGAGCAATCTATCCAGCTTCAATGACCTGTTAAAATTCAGTCCTCAGCAGGGTCCTCACTAGACTCATTATGTTCACCATCTGTATGTGCCTAGGTCTTTTCACACAGACACCCTGCACAGCAGTCCTTCGGTTGCATAGAGCTTCCATCAGATAGACAGCGGACTTTTTCATTCCCTCCACTTTGCACATGCATGCCTTGGAGGCCCAGCACAAAGTGAGGGATTGGTGCACATTTGCAAATGGACGTCTTGGAGCAGACAGATGGGTGGATGGTTATCTGGCTTCTACAGAATCCAAGTTAAGCTAATACCATTCAGATTCCTTCCCAGCCTATGCTGTGCTTTCTCAAGGTTGCTGAAATTGAATTCAAAAGCCAAGAACATATGCTGGCCAGGCTCAAAGAGCAATTGCCGATTGCAAACACATGGCTTAGCAATGCATAAGGTGCTATGGGGTGACATTTGGTGTTGTTGATTAAGTGGGATAGTCACAAGAACTGTCATTCAAATCCATTGCCCTTGCACGTAGCACGTGTTAAAAAATTTTGTTTTTTAAACAAAGCACTAAGTAAAAAACAAAACAGAAAAATTCTGATGCAAATGCTTTATGGTTCTGAAGATGGAAACTAAATTTTGGATTTGATTTTTACAGATGTGGATGGAAAACGCCACATAAAACAAGAGGCTCTGCAGTTAGGATTTCTTGCAGCCTTGAGTGCGATTTATGAAACAAGGAAGATTAAGATTCATGGCCATAAAGAATTCAGTATAGAGATATCTTCAGGTCACAAAGCAAAACAGATTTTTTGTGTGTGTGCAGCAGTCATGTCTGTTCCATCAGTCAAGGATGCCTGTGGGTACCAGGCTAGGGCCAAATCAAATGCTTGCCCTCAGAAAATTGCCACCAGGCTTAGAAAGGATAAAGAAAGGGAGGTGGTCACAGAGAGCATACAAGCCTCCTCCAAAATTCCAGGTTGGAAACACTTTGTTATTGGCAAGTGTCCAGGTTCCTCAGCTTTGCCAAGAGACTCTTTGAAGGCAGGACTAGTCTTAGCCGCATGGGTTAGGATCGTGTGGGTGACATTTTAACAAAGAAGGTGGTCCTGTCACATGGAGGAAATGAAAATGTGCTGTGCAGAAATCCCTGAAAAGGCTGCTGGCCGTGAGGCAATCCCATTGTTCTGCAGTTTTTGATTTGGGCATTTGCTATTAAAATAACACCGGCAGTAAGAGGCAGTGTGGCTCTGCAGAGTGCCCTGGCACAGCTCTCAGAGCTGCGTCCTTGGCCTTACTGCGGTTTCCCCCGTGGGACTTTGGTGATTCATTCGTCCCCCGGGTCTCCATTTCTCCTCCTCTCCTTTGGCAGATTCCCTTTACAAGAGAAATTGTTTGCAGAGCTCCCATCTCTCCCCTCTCCCTTCATTCCTTCTGTGACCATTGTTCCTGCTGAATAAATGGATTTGCATATATTCATTGACAGTTTCCTAAACCCTTTCGAAATGCAATGATAGCTGGCTGGGAGCGCATTTCGAGGAGGGGTGGATGGGTCATGCTGCATATGTAGATTGTGACACAAACCATGACACAGGGGTAGATCTTTTCCCTGTTTCCACCTTCCATTGTGTAGCTTTTTCTGGGGTGCAGCCTGGCTGGAGCTTGAGGGTCGGAACATTCTGAATTCATTCTGAATCCAGCCTGGCTGGAGTTGAGGATCAGAACATTCTGAATTCAGAAATAAATAAAGTAAATCCCATCAAAAGAAATCAGTGGTGCTGCTACCACATCCTGAGCGCTGGGCTCAGTGACTGCTGTCTGAAGCAGTGTGTGCTGAGTGCGCCCTCATGCCAGAAGATGGTCTGAGACAGCAAAGCTTCAGGCTGTGCCTGGAGTCACTTCCCGGAAAGCCTCTGTGCCCACAGGTGGGCTCAAGACCAGGGAGTCCCGCAGCAAAGACCACAGCTTGATGCCACTTCACCAAGAGTTTCCCAAACCTATCTGCTGTCCCAAAATACTCACTTTTTGGAACATGTATATATGAAGAACATCTTTGGGGACCTCAGGACTGATGGGAAGGTGCCCACCGCCAGTTAGCAGCTCACACTGAGCAGGTTCAGGGAGAAATGTGTGTGGAGGTAGGACTGGGGGCATTCTCAGGGGCCTTTCAATTCTGGGTAGATCCCCCCTTGCAATGTTTCTCAACCATTTCTTCATGATCACCTCCCTAAGAAGAAAAATCAAATGAAATTTAAATTCTCCCTAATGAGAGAAGTGAAATACGGAGAAACATAATTTTGTTGAATAACATCGCGTTTTAGAGAGCCACAAACCATTATAACATCCAAATTGTTTTCTCCCTCAAGAATCAATTTTTGCTGCCCTTGGAGGCAACATTGCCTCCCTGCCCCCCATAGAGAGTCCATGGTTTAGGGGTCCATGTCAGCTTTCAAATAACTTTGCCTGATTTAGAGGGGATAGGGCTGGCCTTCTGGAGAAGCCACTTTCTTCTGCTGTGATGGATTGGGGAGTGGGGTGTTGGGGAGTGGGGTGTCAGAGGGTGGAGGAGACAAGGATTTGGCTCTACTGTCTCAGATTCCAGGGAAGTTAGGAGTGAGTTTCCCAGATTCAGATAAAAGGAAACAGATACAAGGACTATTGATGTATGGAGGTGATAATGGGTCAGGTTTTAAGAGCAAGAGTTCAAATCTGGCTGGACACAGTGGCTCACACCTGTAATCCTACTGCTTTGGAGGCTGAGGCAGGTGGATCGCTTGAGCTCAAGAGATTAAGACCTGCCTGGGCAACATGGCGAGAACCCTTCTCTACAAAAAAATTAAAAAATAAAAAATTATCCAGGTGTGGTGATGTGTGTCTGTGGTCACAGCTGCTCAAGAGGCTGAGGTGGGAGGACTGCTTTAGCCCAAGAGGTTGAGGCTGCAGTGAGCCATGATCACGCTACTCCAGCCTGGGCAACAGGACAAGACCCTTCCTCAAAAAAAAAAAAAAAAAAAAGAAGAGTTCAAAGATCTTAGCTTTGCCAGTTGTTGGCTGAATAACCAGATAACCTTAGGCAAGTTACTTAACCTCCTTGAGCTTCTCTTTCTCAGTCTGTAAGTTGGGGATCATATGAGCTCACTGGATTTTTGTGAGCAATTTCTCTTCATGATATGAGAAGTGCTTAAGACAGTGCCTGAGGCCTAATTAGCTTTCATTTGAATTCACATTTATTCTTTTAAAAATAATAGCATTATTAATCTGATACCTAATTTCAGGAATGTCAGGTGATAATCTGCCAGTACTTCTTAAGTAACACTTTTATATTTTGTCTTGAGAGAGGTAGTGGTGTCCATTTTTCCTTTAAGAAATGATTAATGGTAGGATTTCTTGGCTCTTGTGGTTGGTAACCAGGAGAGCTAAATTTGGGCTAGCATTTTTCGGCAGCCTTCAAATTAGGTCACTTTGTTAGCCATGGACTTATTTTAAATCTTGGCTCTATTGTTTAAAAGCTATGTGAGCTAGTGCAAGTTACTAGACATCATTGTGCCTCAGTGTCCTCTTCAGTAAAATGGGGACAATCTTGCAGCATTGTGAGTCAACAAGGTAATGCACATAAATTACATCATGATTTAGTTTTTGGTCCTGCTACAGTGGACATTGTTGGTTGCCTCCTGAGCCTCAGTGCCCACCACCCTTCCTCTTCCTAACAAAACTTGTTTTATTCAGGCATCAACCCTACGCAAGACAATCCAAGTGCCTTTCTTCATCTCTAACATTAGTCCAAGCCAAATGGCACATGGCGCTCCCCTGGGTGACCTGAGTTGGCTTGTGCACAGGGAAGTGTGTCATCTCCTACTAGATGTGAACAAGAATACATGAGGCCCCAGGTGCTACAGGTGGACATCTGAAGCCGCAGGCAGCCACAGGGCCTCCTGCTTAGGATGCAGCCAGCAGGCGAGTGGAACACAGAGATAGGAAAGCTGGCATTTCTTTTTTTCTTTTTTTGGGATTTAACTTTATGGATCAATCATTTATTTTATTTCATTTATTTATTTTTTTTTTAATTTTTTTGAGACAGAGTCACACTCTGTCACCCAGTTTGGAGTGCGGTGGTGCAATCTTGGCTCACTGCAACCTGGGTTCAAGCAATTCTCCTGCCTCAGTCTCCCAAGTAGCTGGGATTACAGGCGCACACCACTACACCCAGCGAATTTTTGTACTTTTAGTAGAGACAGGGTTTCACCATGTTGTCCAGGCTGGTCTCAAACTCCTGGCCTCAAGTGATCCACCTGCCTTGGCCTCCCAAAGTGTAGGGATTACAGGCGTGAGCCACAGTGCCCAGCTGACTCAATCACTTATTGATCAATATTCTTGATCAAAACAAATAGCCAATTAGCATTTTTTTAATTTATTTTTTATTTTAATTTTTTTCAACTTTTATTTTAGATTCAAGGGTACATGTGCAGATTTGTTATATGGGTATGTTTTGTGATGCTGAGGTTTGGGGTACGATTGATCAGTTACCCAGATACTGAGAATAGTACTTGATACTTAGTTTTTCAACCCTTCCCCACCTCCCACCCTCTCACCTCTAGTAGTCCCCAGAGTCTGCTGTTGCCATCTTTTTGTTCATGAGTACCCATTGTTTAGCACCCACTTATGTGAGAACATGCGGTATATGGTTTTCTGTGTTAATTCACTTAGGATTATGGCCTCCAGCTGCATCCATGTTGCTCAAAGGACATGACTTTATTCTTCTTTATGGCTGCATAGTATTTCATGGTGTATATGTACTGCTTTTTCTTTATCCAGTCCACTGTTGATGGGCACCTAGGTTGATTCCATGTCTTTGCTATTGTGACTGGTGCAGTGATGAACATGTAAGTGCATGTGTCTTTTTGGTAGAACAATTTGTTTTCTTTTGGGTATATACCTAGTAATGGGATTGCTGGGTTGAACGGTGATTCTGTTTTAAAGTTCTCTGGGAAATCTCCAAACTGCTTTTCACAGTGTCTGAACTAATTTACAGTTGCACCAACAATGTATAAGCTTTACCTATTCTCCTCAGCCTCATCAGCATCTGTTACTTTTTGTCTTTTTAATAATAGCCATTCTGACTGGTGTGAGATGGTATCTCATTGTGGTTTTGACTTGCATTTTTCTGATGATTAGTGATGTGGAGCATTTTATCATATGTTTGTTGGCCACTTGTGTGTCTTCTTTTGAGAAGTGTCTGTTCATGTCTTTTGCCCATTTTTTAACAGGATTATTTGTTTTTTTTTTTTCTCTTTCTTTTTGCTTGTTGATTTGTTTAAGTTCCTTATAGATTCTGGATATTAGACCTTCATTGGATGCATAGTGTGTGAATATTTTATCCCACTACGTAGATTGTCTATTTACTCTGTTGATAGTTTCTTCTGCTATGCAGAAGAGATTTAGTTTAATCAGGTCCCACTTGTCAATTGTTGTCTTTGTTGCAATTGCTTTTGAGGACTTAGTTATAAGCCCAAAGTCCATAATGGTGTTTTTAAGGTTTTTTTTTTCTAGGATTGTTATAGTTTGAGGTCTTATATCTTTAATCCATCTGAAATTAATTTTTGTATATGGTGAAAGTTAGTTAGGGGTCCAGTTTTGTTCTTCTGCAGATGACTAGCCAGTTATTCAAGCATTATTGATGACATAGGGAATCCTTTCCCTATTGCTTATTTTTAAGCTTTAGTCAAAAATCAGATGGCTGTAGGTGCACGGTTTTATTTGTGGGTTCTCTATTCTGTTCCATTGACGTATGTGTCTATGATATGGGTTGGCTCTGTGTCCCCAACCAAATCTCATGTTGAATTGTAATCCCCCAGTGTTGGAGGTGGGGCCTGGTGGGAGATGATTGGATTATGGGGGTGGTTTCTAACGGGTTAAAACTGCCCCCCTAGTGCTGTCTCGTGATAGATTTCTCATGAGATCTGACAGTTTAAAAGTGCATGGCACTTCCTCCTTTGTTGTCTCTCTCTCCTGTCACCATGTGAATATGTGCTTGCTTCCGCTTTGCCTTCTGCCATGATTGTAAGTTTCCCAGGCCTCCCCAGCCATGCCTCCTGTACAGCCTATGGAACTGTGAATCAATTAAACCTCTTTTCTTTATAAACTACCCAGTAGCAGGTAGCTTTTTATACCAATGTGAGAATGGACTAATACAGTCTGTTTTCGTACCAGTGCCATGCTGTTTTGGTTACTGTAGCCTTATAGTACAGCCTGAAGTCAGGTAATGTGACACTTCCAGCTTTTTTTTCTTTTTGCTTAGGATTGCTCTGGCTATTTGGGCTAATTTTTGGTTTCATATTAATTTTAGAATAGTTTTTCTAGTTCTGTGAAAAATGACATTGGTAGTTTGGTAGAAATAGTGTTGAATCTATACATTGCTTTGGGCAGTATGGCCATTTTAATGATACTGAGTCTTCTAATCCATGAGCATGAAATATTTTTTCATTTGTTTGTGTCATCTGTTATTTTTTTTAGCAGTTTTATACTTCTCCTTGTAGAGATTTTTCACCTCCTTGGTTAGATGCATTCCTAGGTATATTATTATTTTTTATGGCTATTGTAAATGGGATTACATTATGAATTTGACTCTCAGAACGTTATTGGTGTATAGAAATACTGCCGATTTTCGTACACTGATTTTGTATCCTAAAACTATACTGAAGTTATTTATCAGTTCCAGGAGCCTTTTGGTGGAGTCTTCAGGGTTTTCTAAGTGTAGAATCATATCATCCATGAAAGAAGAGAACTTGATCTCTTCTTTTCCTATTTAAATGCCTTTTATTTCTTTCTCTTGCTTGATTGCTCTAGCTAGCACTTCCAGTACTATGTTGAATAGGAGTGGTGAGAGTGGGCATCCTTGTCTTATTTTAGTTCTCAAGGGGATGGTTCCAGCTTTTGCCCATTCAGTATAATGTTGCCTGTGGGTTTGTCAGAGATGACTCTTATTATTTTGAAGTATGTTCCTTTGATGGCTAGTTTCTTGAGGATTTTTATCAGGAAGGGATGTTGGATTTTATCAAAAGCTATTTTTGCATCTATTGAGAAGATCACATGGTTTTTAATTCTGTTTATTGATTTCAAAAATGATTTATTTAATCACATTTATTGATTCATATATGTTGAAACACTCTTGAATCTCCAGAATAAAGACTACTTTATTATGGGAAATTAACTTTTTGATGTGCTGTTGGATTCAGTTTTCTAGTATTTTGTTGAGGATTTTGCATTTGTGTTCATTAGGATATTGGCCTGTAGTTCTCTGCTTTTTTTTGTTTTTTTTTTTTTTTTGGGTTTTTTGCCAGGTTTTGGTATCAAGGTGATACTGGCTTCACAGAATGAGTTAGAGAGGAGTCCCTCTTCCTCAATTTTTAAGAATAGTTTCAGCTCTTCTTTGTACATCTGGTAGAATTTGGCTGTGAATCCATCTGGTCCAGGGCTTTTTTTGTTAATAGGTTTTTAATTAGTGCTTTAATTTCAGAACTCAATAGTGGTCTGTTTAGGGTTTCAATTTCTTCCTGATTCAGTCTTGCAGGTTGTATGTTTCCAAGAATTTATCCATTTCTTCTAGATTTTTTAGTTTGTGTGCATAGAGGTGTTCATGACAGTCTCTGGGGATCTTTTGTATTTCTGTGGGATTAGTGAAAACTTGCGTTTCTGATGGCATTGCTGTACCACTTACCAACCAGCCCTGAAGTGTGTCCTTCCTCTTGGCTTCTGGTTATGTGTCAGAATAAGAAATAAAATCTTTCTCTATTGTGTAAGGAGGTTTGAATGCAGATTAAAAGTATCTCAACTAATACGTCTATTTTTCCAGAATCATTGCAACTTTGGGTTTTATTTTATCCATCCCTTCCTCTGTTCATTTATTCAACTTTTTTCTTTAATGAGCCCCATGCAAAAAGCACTATATCACATACTGTGGAAATACAAATGAATCAAATTCTCAGCCCATATGCTTAAGAAACTGAAATCTATTATGGAAAAAAGAAAGTCCAAAAAGTGGCTTGAAGATAAATGCATGGCTCAGATGACAAGGGAGTAGCTGATGAGATGTGCATCTTCCTGTGGGCAGGGAGGTCACGGATGAGACCACGGACCATGAGTAAGGCAGGGCCCATGTGGGACACGTCCCTGGGGCATGACCATGTGGCAAGCACTGGGGGCCATGAGTGGCCAGTTTGGTTGGAGAAGTCTCATAAGAAAGACAAGGGCAGAGTCTAGAGAATCTTGAATGCCAACCCAAAGAATCTGAAATAAAAAAAAAAGTGGAATAGAAAATTCACTGAATAGTTTTGAGCTGCAGTGTGATGGGATGAAATGGTATGTTAGGAAAAGTAAATTGATGAAATCGTGGCACTGAGGCACTGGCTTGGAGATTCTATTTTGTGCTCCCCTCATCCCTTTCGAAATGATGATGACACATGGAGCACACAGATTCCACTGCTTCTCTCTGCTCTAACTCTCGTGTTTCCAGTTGTGCTTTCCTATTATATCAGTAAGAGCCTCTCTTTGAACTAAAGCAGGCTATAAGGATGTAAGGATTTGCATTTTGTTATGCAGGAGATTTCTTTGCATTTTACATCATGTTTCTCCACCTCAAGCGTGTGGAGTTGAGTTCATCATACTTCTCAGCTCATGGTAACTCAGGGTTGAAGGGGAATTCTGAGTTTAATATCCTATTGTAAGCCAGCCCATAATGCAGACGGCTGATCTCTTTATCATATTGTCTCCTGTTTGTTATTATCCATATTCTTTTTTTTTTGAGACGGAGTCTCGCTCTGTCCCCCAGGCTGGAGTGCAGTGGCGCCATCTCGGCTCACTGCAAGCTCCGCCTCCTGGGTTCATGCCATTCTTCTGCCTCAGCCTCCCGAGTAGCTGGGACTACAGGCACCTGCCACCACGCCCTGCTAATTTTTTGTATTTTTAGTAGAGATGGGGTTTCACCGTGTTAGCCAGGATGGTCTCTATCTCCTGACCTCGTGATCCGCCTGCCTCGGCCTCCCAAAGTGCTGGGATTACAGGCGTCAGCCACCGTGCCCTGCCTATCCATATTCTTAAACATTGAAGATAGTCCAATAGTATTTAGAGCATTGGTTCTGCCTTTAGCTAGAGGAGGAAAAGAAACTTCCACTCAAGTCAGAACAAGTTCTACTCTTCCAGATCATCAAATTCTGAAAGGCCGAGTCTCTTATAATCACCTTCTAGTGTATTTAGTGATCCAATTTATTGCATTCATTATAAATGTGGACAGCTCTACAGTTATATCATTAGTGTTCATTCAATCTAAAATAGCTCAAGACCATTCTGCAACAAATTAGCAATTATAAATATGGCCTTCTACCAATCTTAATAGAGACAGTCCTATATTCAACAGTAGTAGGTAGTTGCAATAGTTCCTTTCCACGCGTTTACTTATTTTCTCATTTACTTATTCAGTAAACATTTGAGTGTCTACCATGTGTTGTGTCTGTTACCAAATGTGGAGATGACTCCCAATCCACCACTTCATTATTTCCCCTTCACTGTTCAAATGTGGACGTGTTGTCCACTGCTCCCCTGAGATGGGTCTAAGACCTCTTGGTCCTCCCAATTGTCAGATTTAATAGAATCCTTCACTGGTACCATGACTCAGGGGTGGTGGTTACTGTTGATCACCCTCTCCTTGAAGTGCTTCCCTTGACTATTATGAGATTTTGCTGGCTCTTCTAAGTCTCTGATGACTTATCTCTTAAATGTTGGAATTCTTCAGAAATCTGGTCTTAGTCTTCTTTTCTTCTAAAGCCTTGCTCACCGTTGGGCAATCTCACCCTAAATGCTGATGCCTCCGACATCTTTCTTTCTAGCCTGACCTTTCTCTGGAGATTGGACCACTGTGCTCACCCTCTCCCTGGGGCCACCTCTCAGTCTCTCTCCTAAAATAAGTCATCATCTTTCCATACAACTCCTCTTCCCATATTTTCTGTCCTGGTTAATTGTGATTGTCAACAAAGTCAGTGGATCCATTGTGGGGTTGGTCCATGAGATAAATGCTGCAGGAAATATTTCCATCTTCCTTTCCACATCGTCACTTGTGTCAGTATTGATTGTGAGGTGGATAAGAGTGGCGTTAAAATGAACCACTAATGGTTGGTCTTTTCTAATATACTAGAATAATTTTTCCTGAAAAAAAGTAAGTCCCTTTAGCTTGAACTCTTGAGTGAAAGAGAGAGAAGTGGAGTTAAGACCGCTTTGTTGGCGGGCCACGGGAGTATTCTGCATCTTTGAATGACTTCTGGCCTGGGTGTCAAGGTAGAGGAGAGTTTTGGAACCAGTTACGTTTTGGCCTATACCTGGGAGTTTGTCAGTCTTGGATTCAATGTAGTCAGAATATAGAGGTGGTAGAGCGTCAGGAGAGCTCCTGCCCCCATGGTCTCATCTCTGGGTCCCTCAGGACATCCTTTCCACATGGCTTCAGGCTGTGCAGAGCTGCACAAGGTGGGCTCTGCCTTTGCACAAACTCTTGTCTCTGCTGGAAGTACTCATTCACTCATCTTTTTTTTTTCTTTTTTTTGAGACAGGGTCTTACTCTGTCACCCAGGCTGGAGTGCAGTGGTGCAATCGTGGCTCACTGCAACCTCAAACGCCCAGATTCAAGCAATCCTCCCACTGCAGCCTCCCAAGAACCTGGGACTGCAGGTGTGTGACACAGTATTCGGCTAGTTTTTTTACATTTATTTTTTGTAGAGACAAGATCTCACAAAATGTTGCCCAGATTGGCCTCGAATTCCTGGGCTCAAGCTATCCTCCTGCCTCAGCCTCCTAAAGTGCTGGGATTATAGGTGTGAGCCACCATGCCCAGCTTCATTCATCAGATATAAAGAAAAGGAATGACCCAGGAATTCCACTCCTAGACTTATACCCCAAATGATTGAAATCAGGGACTTGAACACCAATGTTCATCACTATTCACAATAGCCAAAAGAGGGAAGCAACCCAGTGTGTCCATTAACACATGAGCAGAAAAACACAATGCGGCATGTGCATACAATGGAACGTTATTCAGCCATAAAAAGGAATGAAAACAGGAAACATGCTACAGCATGGATGAACCTTGAAGACACTATGCTAGGTGAAATAAGCCAGACACAAAAGGATAAGTATTGTATAATTTCATTTATATAGAATATCTGGAATAGTCAAATTCATGGAGTCAGAAAGTACATGAGAGGTTGTCAGGTGCCTGGGGTGGAGACAGAGGAGTAGGCAGTTATTGCTAAATGGTTACAGAGATTCTATTTGGGGTGGTGAAAAGTTTTGAAAGCAGAGAGTAGTGATGGTTGCACAACCTTATGAATGTAATTGATGCTGCTGAATTAGACACTTAGACATGATTAAAATGGCAAAATTTATGTTACATATATTTCACTGAAATAAAAAACTATAAATGGAGGGATAACATTTACCATGACGGATATTAGTGTACTTGTAGACCTATGTGCATGGAATTTCTGGGCCAGGAACCATGCTTGATTTAACTGTGTGTCCTTGAAGTTCTGCACATTGGAAAGGCAAACAAGGAGGGTTTTGGAGCTGGTCTTGCACAGCCAAGCAATGAGAAGCATTGGTTTCTTATCCTGTAAAAGAGAACTTTCATTTTTAGTATGCTAAAATTCAGCTGCAGAGTTGGTCAGGCCCCTTTTTTGCTCTAAAAATCTGGCATTTTGTGATGTTCTAGGGTAGAAGGAGCAGAGAGGGCTGAAATCTGGGTACAGTGTTTTCTGGAGACAAGACTTGAACTCACCTGGAGGCTGGCATGGTTTGTTGAGGGCACAAATGCAGCTGGACTTGGGAAAGTGAGCTCGGGTCTTGCTGGAGAGGACTGGGTTCTCAGCTCAGCGCTGCCAGTTGGAGAGGCAGGGACCCGTCCTGGAGACAGTGGCTGACCCATGCACCCAGAAAACCTGACTTTCTCTTCTCATGCGACTGAACTCTTCCTGGACAGCCTGCGGGAGGCACACGTGACCTGCAGAGGCACCAGCCTTGTGGCTTCAGGGCTGGGCAGGCGCTGCCCCTCGGGGATTGTAATTATGTTGATCAGAACTGTCTTTTCCCTGGGGGAAGGAGGGCCCTTCTTTTTCTTCTTCATTTTTCCTTAAAAGAAATAAAAGACAAAAACAAAAAGGACTCCTCTTCATTTCCTTCAACGTGCTATGGCATCTTCGGAACTAGGGACTTGAAACCTAAAGCTGATCCTAATTTCTGATGGATAGAATGTGCGTTTGGGGTTCTTTTCCACATCAAATTAAATCTGTCTTGGACTGATTTCCTGGAAGTGTTTTTCATTAGTATAATAGTCCTCAGCTGAGAGATCACAGGATCAGATACTACAGAAGGGGAAATGCAAACTGGGGATCATCAAGTCCATCCTCCATGGAGACAGAGACACTCAGTGGCTGCTTTTGGGGGGACTTTGCTAACGAAAAACTGTTCCTTCTCTGGGCGTATTCCTAGGGCAGGGGCATGGGGCCTGGTGAGCCACCTACTTTAGTAGTTAAAACCTTTATTCTTTTGTTTATTGAAACTATAAGCAAGAAAGAAATTGGGTTCAACCAACCAACCAACCAACCAATCAACCAATCAACCAATCAACCATCCAACCAATGAAGTTCGTCATGCACCCACCAGCTGCCAATCCTTCAGTGGTGCCAGGAATATCATGATTAATCAACAAAGTCTTAAGACAGCGAAGTTCCCAGGAGGAGCCTTCAGACACTGAGACAAAGCTCCCTCAGTATTTAATGACTCTCTTCCTGGTCTCAAATGTGTCCTTCTGTGTAATGCATATGTCCACCCTGTGCCTCACCTACAGAGGGTTCCTGAATGATGGAGGAAATCCTTCTGAAACTCTTTTCTCCCCCACTTCTCTGATATATGACTTGTTTACTGCAGGCTGTTAACAGCCTTGAGAGTGTCTTTAATCCTCAGCCAGGGTCTTTAAATATAATACATCAATAACAGGTAATTATTCACTTTGAACTCTTTGCTCCTTTCCCCCATACCCTGCGGGGCGAGACTTGCAACTTTTAAGCACTGTAACAGATTCTTCCTATCAAAGTGTCAAAACTCATAAGGCCCATGTCAAGGAATTTGTTTGCTTACTTTAATCTGCCTTCCCTCCTCCCTCCTTTCCCTTCTCTCACTGCAGGCTTTGTGGATTACTGTACGGAGGGCTAGTTTTCATCCTTGTGTGTTTTCTTTAAGCCAGCACCACCTTGGACCCTGAAGCATTCGCCCCCACACACGCAACCTTGTGGCCCTGAAGAGTTGCATGCAGTTGAGTTTGTTGCTCCTGGCCTGTCACGTTATTCCTGTTTTGAATGTGTGCAGGAACATCCTGTCAAATTCAAAACTTCCTTTTGCCCCAAACCAATCTTTGATCTGGGAGGCCTGGACACAGCTGGCTCAGAGCAGCTCATGTTGTGTGTGCTGGTGCCTGCCCTGGTGCCTGCCCTGGGAGCCCTGTCCCAAGCATCTTGGAGCAACAGGGGTGTGTTTGTCCTGTTGGCTGGGGTGGTGATGGATGGCCCAGTTTGCCATTGGTCCAGCCCTGTTCAGAAGACAGCTTTGTCTCCAGGGAGCTCTCCCGAGGTTCTTGGGCTCTGTCTGTGGCTGTGGATTTATCTCTCCATAGGAAGCCACTTGCAACTCTTCCACATGTTTCTCTCTCCAGCAAGTTGGAAGAGCCAAATGATTGCACTAACTTTATTGCTAAATTGTTGCATAAAGTGGTGCAAGTCTGGTTTCCTGTTCATAAGAAATCTTTATTGCCTGCCCAAGTCTCCCTTGTATGTGTGAAGGGGTTTTCAGGACACTCGCTGAAGTGCTGCATGATACAAATGCTGTTCACTCAGAAAGAGAAGGTTTGGGTGTGCGGAAGAGAGGGTCAAAGAGTACTGTCCGTATTTCCTACCTCGGGCTCTCCTGAGGCAATGAAATCAATGGTGAACCAGGAACTCTTTCTAGATTTAAGGATTTTGCCAGGTTTAACTGAAGGGAAACATTAAAATTGTTGCCTGATATTGAAAAAGTGACCCACATTTCCATACCCAAATAATCAAAGCGGATAATTTGGTTCTGTGATGTTCTTCAGGTAATTTTCTTAATTGCTAATGATATAAATTCACTTTGAACATAGAACTAACAAGATCTAACAGGATGTTCTGGAGTCTCGCTGGGGAATAGTGGCTAACGAAGTTGAAACTTTTGCTCTTAAATTTAATTTCATCCTTGACCTTGCCAGTGACCTTTGGCCTATTGCTTCCCCTTTTGATATGTTTCCCCACGGTTATGATGGTTATACAATATCAAAGGGGCCTTCACGTGTCATCAAGAACTTATATGATGAGCAATGTGTTTATATTGAAGAGCATTGAAGAATTCAGACACTGTCTGTACAGGATGTCAACATATCCTTCATTTTAATCGATGTGTTAAAAAATCAGTGTTTGGATAGCATGATGGTCAATGAACTAGTGGGATGACTGTATTTTTCTTTTATCCAACAGTTGTTGTGGCCACATAAGATGGTGCCTAAATGCTCTACATACATAATTAATAATGGTATGAAAAGCAAGGGCACCACGGAGCGCTAACCTTCATGGAGGGTTTGTTTGCCCATGAATGCAGCTCAGCAGGGAGGGTGCACTCAGCTCTGTGAAGAGAGGAGTCAGATTTAAAGCTCCCTCTGTTTTGGAACCTTGGGCATGCAGAGGAGCATCTGGTAGAGAAGACATCCAGCATTCCTGTTCCTCTGCTTTGTGATTCTTTCTCTCACTCCTATTGCAGCCTGATTACAGGTTAGGCTTCCGCAGACTGCTCTGGCCAGCCAGGGGCTGGAAGATGGGGAGTGGCAGGAGGGGTAGTGGATCACGTTTATTACAGGCCCAGGGGTATTGGGATATTTCTTTCCTTCGGTTAATCTTCTGCAGCTTTGTTAGCAGCTTAGGGAACTGTAGGATGCTTTTCATCACCACATTGGCTTCCCACAACTGGCAAGCTTTCTAGGTGGGGAACTGTCAGAAACGTGGAATTCACCAGCATGATTTCCTGAAGGAGTATGAATGGTAGCTGTAAATATTGATTGATTGTTAGTTTACAGTGTCAAAATGAGTTGTCACATGCTTCCACAACCCCACCATGGTGCCTTCCATCAAACAGATAGTTTATGTTTTTAATCATCAGAACTAATCTGTTAATATAAACAGAAGACAGCAGATTTTTTCAATAAAAATAGAATAAAAGGGATAACTGATTGTTTTAGAAATAATGGTTTTAATGAATCTAACTAGAAATAAGTAGGTATACATATTTAAAAAAGAACCGACATAGTTTACATACATTAGGAAGAGTTGTATGATAGTACACACAAAAAAGCAGAAAGAGCTGGGGCCAGCTCCATACATACAAAGGAGCCTAAGCAAATTATAGACAACCCCTCAAATTATAAACATGGGGTTATTAACACTCTACACATTTCTAGAACTTAGACCATGAGATCAATGTTCTGGGTGGGTCAGAATTGTGTTCAATTTTTTGGTGCCTCAATTTTAGGGAGACATGAAATCAAGAGCACCAAGAAAAGACAAGATGATGAGGGGGTCTTAAAACCATCTCAATTAAGGAATAGCTAACGGGTTTTATCTGGAGAAGACCGGGGGAATATGAGATGTTGGCCTTCAAAGAGTTAAAATACTCTTGCAGAAAAGGGAGTAGATTGCTTTCCCGGGAGAATGGCTAATATTTCAGGAGAAGAAAATTCCTTTCAATGTAAGAAATATCTGTCTCAGACTACAGCTTTCCAACTTTGGAGTGGAAGTTGCTGTTAGGTAGTGAGCTCCTGTGCACTGGACACTTTATGAATGTAGGGGTGCTGGGGAAGAATTATTCACATATTAAAAGGGAGTTCAGATAAAATTATATGAAAGCCCCTTTCTTTGAAGCCAGGTGTGGGCTGGCTGCCCGGGCCTTCCCTTCTACCTTCTACCTTTTGCTAGAAGATTCCCAGCAAACCTGCTCCTCTTGTTCATAGTATTATCATGAAGATTAGAAGAGTGTTAAAGACTAAATTTTAAAAGACAGTAAAATCATGACTCTCACACAATCATAAAATGAACATGTGCCAAGGATTTTATTTAACTCGATTAATGAGGAAGTCACTCGATATTACAACTGGCTCAAAAGAGAACTCAAGATCCACACATCTATAGTCAGATAAAGAAGGACTGCTCAACATGGTGAAACCTTGTCTCTGCTAAAAATACAAAAATTAGCCAGGCATGGTGGTGGGCACCTGTAATCCCAGCTTCTCGGGAAGCTGAGGCAGGAGAATTGCTTGAACCCAGGAGGCGGAGGTTGCAGTGAGTGGAGATGGCGCCACTGCACTCCAGCCTGGGTGACAGAGCGAGATTCCATCCCAGAAAAAGAAAAAAAAAAAAAAAAAAAGGAGGACGAAATGAACTTACACATCTTACATATGCAATGGAGGCAAAATTGGTCAGTTTCTACAGTGTGATAGTCAGTTGCATTCCACTGGACACAATTTGCATTTCTACAGACAGGAGTAAGTTGCATCACTCCCAGTTTGCTACAAGTTAACTTTCACCTCTACAGAGTTGTAAAACACTCTAGTCAAAGTGGAGGAGCATACCCCTGAGGCATCTCTAGGATTCCATTGAAAAGACCGCCAGTGATCTTTTTTGTCCAGTTCGAAACTGTCCACATTTTTCCCTACATGAAGTAACCTCTCACATAGAGGTTTTCCCCAAAGTTCCTGACAAATGATGTGTGCTCAGTAAACATGATTTATTGTTGATCATCGTTGTGATTCTTACCCAAGTGTCCTGGGGAAGATGCCGGTGGCTGATATGAGGTATTCTTTGACCAAGGTCAGGATCACCATTTTTTCTCTTTCCTTTGGAAATATTATACACACATCAGGCTACCTGCTTTTTCCTATCTTTCATCTCCCACAGACAAATGCATTTAATGTTAAAAAAATCTTTGTTTCTAAC
Organism: Homo sapiens; assembly: GCF_000001405.40. Taxonomy (NCBI): domain Eukaryota; kingdom Metazoa; phylum Chordata; class Mammalia; order Primates; family Hominidae; genus Homo; species Homo sapiens. Next base: position 10,117,182 of record NC_000018.10, read on the forward strand.
GTGCATATAAAATCCTCCTTTTTCTTGTTCTCTTCCAATTCTCTTTCAGTTTCTTATTGTAGGAAAATGTCTCTATGCTTCAAATTTCTAGTTAAGCTTAAGAAAAATTCTAGTGATCTTCCTTTCTTAAGGAAAGAACAATTGTAAGTTTTAACTAAATTTATAAATGATGAAGTTTAGATTCGGTCATTTCAGCAAACAAAAGCTAAATAACCATTGTTTTGAGTTACTGAATACTCAAACATTGACACAGGAATAATACAAGTTGAAAAAATATATTTTAACTTACATTAGATATATAAATGCAAGTTAAATATTCACACAGGTATGCCTTGCCATTCTTATATGAGCCCTGTTGTCCATGGTTCTGAGTTACTTTTGGATTTGGGGGCAGTGTTGTTTCTCGTAACCATGGTCCACAGGTGACCCGTGTCCAGCTTTCTCAGAAACTCAGACCCAGGTTACGAGGAGGCAGCAGAAGAGAATGGTGGGCATTGCACAGAAACCATTGCCACTGAAAGATTGCTAGGAAGAAATTCAGACAGTGTTTCATATAATCCAATATCAAGTCATCAAGAAAGAAACTACGGTTGACCATAATGGAAAGATCACATTGCTAAAAAAAAGTAAATTGTTTGTCTATCAAGTGAAACAAGTCTGTGCAAGTGTTGACTAGGCCGTGGGTTCTCTGGGTGTTGGGGCAGACACCAGTGGGGATGGCAGGACATGGTGTTGACAGCTGACTTGTGCCAGAGGACTCACTGCTATGATTTCTTGTGTTGATAAGAGTCTGCTTTTCATTGTTCTAGAACAATGGAATTCAGACTTATATTTTGTAAGTTTTGTAGCCATTTTTTGCGCTTTTGAAAGTTTTATCCTATTTCTGATAATTACACATGACTTTTCCGTGTCTGTGAAGCTGCAGGAAAGCACATACCGGCTCCCCTCAGGCCCTACCTGTCACTAGGTTTCTGACCAATCTCATCGTGTACACGGGCACAGCCAGAATCCCCCCCTCCCCCAGTGACTTTATGGATATATTGGGAAGATCCTAGAAATATCTGCAGAATCATTATAAACACCTCTTATACTGTTTAAAATGCAAGATGAGGAACATTCCTTCTATACCTAACTTGTGGAGAGTTTTTATCAGGAAAGGATGTTGAATTTGGTCAAATGCTTTTTTTCCATTTTGAGATAATTATATGATGCTCTTCATTCTGTTAATATGGTGAATCACATTTATGAATCTGTGTATGTTGAAACATCCTTGCATCCCAAGGATAAATGCTACTTAATCACAGTAAATGATCCCTTTAGTGTGCTGTTGAATTTGGCTTGCTAGTATTTTGTGGAGGATTTTTACATTTACATTTGTAGAAATATCCAACATCTTTACACGATAAAAACTTTCAACAAATTAGGTAGAGAAGAAATATCTCTCAACACTGTAGAGGTCACACAGGACAAGCCTACAGCTAACCTCACACTCAAGATTGAAAAGCTGAAAGCTTTTCTTCTAAGATCAGGAATAAGACAAAAACATCCACTCTTGTCATTGCTACTCAACAGGGTATTGGAAGTCTAAGTCAGAACAAATAGGCAAGAAAAGGAAATAAAAGGCACCCAGGTAGAAAAGAAAGAAGTTAAATTCTCTGTTTGCTGATGACATAACCTTATATACAGAAAATCCTGAAGACTCCACCAAAAAACTGTTAGAACCAATAAATGAATTTAGCAACATTGTAGGATAAAAATCAACATAAAGAAATAAGTAGCGGCCGGGCGTGGTGGCTCACACCTGTAATCCCAGCACTTTGGGAGGCCGAGGCGGGTGGATCATGAGGTCAGGAGATCGAGACCATCCTGGCTAACATGGTGAAACCCCATCTCTACTAAAAATACTAAAAATTAGCTGGGCGTGGTGGCGGGCGCCTGTAGTCCCAGCTACTCAGGAGGCTGAGGCAGGAGAATGGTGTGAACCCAGGAGGCGGAGCTTGCAGTGAGCTGAGATGATGCCACTGTACTCCAGCCTGGGTGACAGTGAGACTCCATTTCAAAAAAAAAAAAAGAAATAAGTAGCATTTCTATACACTGACAATGAACTATCAGAAAAAGAAATTAAGAAAACAATTCAATTTACAATAGCATAAAAAGGAGCAAATTTAAACAAGTGAAAGATCTGTATATTGAGAATGATAAAACATTGTTAAAAAAATTGAAGAACATGCAAATAAGTGGAAAAGTATCCCATGTTCATGGATTGGAAGAATTAATATTGTTAAAATGTTCATAGTACCCATAGTTCTTATGGGTATCCACATGAACCCAAAATGTTTATAGTACCTATCTGTGGACTTAACATAATCCCTGTCAAAATTCCAATGCCATTCTTTAAATAAATAGAAATAGAAAAAAAATCCTAAACTTCATAGGTAACCATAAAAGACCCTGAATAGCCAAAGAAATCTTGAACAAAAAGAATAATGCTGGAGGCATCACACTCCATCAATTTCTGAATATATTACAAAGCTATAGTAACCAAAACAGCATGGTACTGGCATAAAAACAGATGCATTGACCAATGGAACAGGGTAGAAAGACCAGAAATAAACCCACACATTTATCGTCAATTGATTTTAGACAAAGATGCCAAAAACAAACAATGGGGAAAGGACAGTCTTATCAACAAATGATGCTGGGAAAACTGGATTTCCACATGCAGAAGACTGGAGTTGGACCCCTATCTTACACCATATACAAAAAAAAAAAATCAACTCAAAATGGATTAAAGACTTAAATGTAATACCTAAAATGGTAAAATTACTAGAAGAAAACATAGAGGAAAAGCTCCGTGACATTGGTCTGAGCAATAATTTCTTGGATATAACCCCCAAAGCCTAGACAAGAAAAGCAAAAATAGATCAATGGGATTACATTCAACTAAAATGTTTCTGAACAGAAAAGGAAACAATTAACAGTGTGAAGAGACAACCCATGCCTTGAGGGAATACATTTGCATATCTGAGAGGAGTGTAATGTCTAAGATATATAAAGAACTTAACTCAGTACTAAGAAAGCAAATAACAATGATTAAAAGTGGGCAAAGGACCCAAACAGACATTTTTCTAAAGAGGACATACAAATAGTCAGCAGATATATAAATACTTTCAACATCACTAATTATCAGGGAAATACAAACTAGAACCACAAGAAGATATCACATGTTACAACGGCTATTGAGGGTGCAGAGAAAAAGGAAACCTTAGATACAGTTGTTGGGAATGTAAATTAGTGTAGCCATTATGGAAAACAGTATGGGGTTCCTAAAACACTAAAAATAGAATTACCATCTGACCTATCAATCCTACTTTTGGGTATATATGCAAAGGATCTGAAATCAGTGTCTCAAAGAGATCTACACTTCCATGTTCATTGCAGCATGCGATGGTTTGGATGTTTGACACAACTAAGCCTCATGTTGAAATCTAATCCCCAGTGTTGGAGGTGGGGCCTCCTGGGAGGGATTTGGGTCATGGGAGTGCATCCCTCATGAATAGATTAATGCTCTTCCAAAATGTGAGTTCTCACTCTATTTGTTCCCACAGGAGCTGGTTGTTGAACCAGTCTTCCTGCTCCCACTGCACCCTGCCTTGCTGCCTCTCTCTCCATGTGATCTCTGCATGCTCAGCTTCCCTTTGCTTTCTGCCGAGTGCAAGCAGCCTGAGGCCCTCACCAGGAGCCAAGCCGTGCTGGCACCATGCTTCTTGTACAGCTTGCAGAATGGTGAGCCAAGTGAACCTCTTTTCCTTGTAAATTACCCAGCTTCAGGTATTCCTTTATAGCAACACTAAATGGACTCAGATACAGCATTAATCACAATAGCCAAGATATTGAATCAACCTGTGTTCATCAACAGATGGCTGGATAAAGCCATAAAAAAGAAGGAAATTATTTCATTTGAGACTTGGAAGACATCAGGCTAAATAAATAAATTAAGTGTGGAGAGATAAATACTGCATGACATCACTTATATGTGGAATCTAAAACAGTCAAACTCACAGAAGCAGAGAGCAGAAGGGCGAGTGGAAGGTGGACAGGGAAAGCAGAGATGTTGGTCAGAGAGTACAAAGTTTTAGTTAGAATGGGGAATATGTTTTAGTGATCCATTGCACAGCATGGGGACTGCAGTCAATAATAATGTATATTTCAAAATTGCTAACATGCTAGATTTTAAATAGTCTCACCATAAATAAATATGTGAGGCAATGGATATGTTAATTGGCCTGATTTAATCATTCTACAATATATACATATAACATCACACTGCATCCCGTATGTACAATTATTATGTCACTTTAAAATAAAATAAATAAAAACAAAAAAACGCAAGTTGATTAAACTCTTCAATAACTTCGTTTTGGACTTATGTATCATTTGAGAATATTTTAGTAATATTTACATGTTGAAAACTTCCCCTAAACATTTTCAATCAAAAACTTGCACATAAAATTTCCCAGGTTCATGTGTAAACATGCACCATTGCTACATGTGTGTCACAGAAGGGTCCACTGATGGAAGAGTCTGTGTTACTGTACTCTCAGTGACTGGGTGTGTGTTTGGCTTGGGGTTTATTTTGTATCACCCCCTCACTCCACTCAAGGGCATATAAGAGGTCGCAGGATTAACTTCTGGGTGTGGATGGAGGCCAACGTAAAGGCTGCTCTACCTATACATCAGGGGACTGCAGGGCTTTATTAGGTTTACCCAGACCTCTTTCAGAGAGATGATGTGTTCACACATGTGGAGCAGACACTGAGTGCCAAAAATACTTCCAGAGTGCTTTGCAACTTTGCTATCTCCTAAATAATTGTAGACATCTATGCATTCTTCAGTAAACTGTGTTTATGTACTGTTCCATGGCAGTGAAATCTCTTTCAATATCTTGGTAGCCTCAGCACCCTCTGTCCCATGTGCTTCTCGTGTGACCCCGGCTGTGGTCTGCAGAGCTGAGCCCGTGGTATTTGGGTCACATAACTGTTTCTGTGCCAACGCACGTTTTCTTTCACATTGCTATTAACTGTGCAGTAAAGAAGGGAGATTGGCTGGTGAAAGTGTCCTGGGTCCTTCAAGGATTACTCAGATTTCACAGTGCCTGTAATCTGAGCTCCCTACACTGAGTGGTTTAGTGGTTATGGTCAGATGTCTGCTTTATCCTAACCTGTCAGCTGAACAATCATGTTTGGGTGTGTGTGTTTGAACAGTGCTATAATTGGTACGAGGGGTTCAGAAACGCCCTGGGGATGCCCTGACATCGGATGGGCACGTGCAGCCGGTATCACAGCCTGCCATGCCATCAGCTCCGTACTTGACATTCAGGCCTGGTGATCACCCCTGATCCCCCAGCTTGAGTCCCCACCACTCAGTTTACCCACAGGAGGAAACTGAGAGCTACAGCTTAGGTGAGAAGCTGCCACTTTCTTGTCTGACACAGCCATAGCTATCATAGGATGGTGAAAAATTGGTGTTCACATTAACAAGAGAGGCCTGATAGAAGAGGCAGAGTTGTTTTGAAGTTGAGGGTCGCAGCTCTTTTACCCCTTAGGCCAGGGAGCTAGGGAGGGACCAGAGAGTGGTATTTGTAAGGCCTCCAATTCCTTTTATTTAAGAAGTGTGTGCACACACACTTTTGCTGTAGCGATTTATAAGCACACTTACGTCTCAGTCAGTCACCGTGCTTATTAAAGACATAAATATTTTACCTCTTAGCAAAGACGAAAATAGTTTTCACAGATTTCCTGGCAGGCAACAACACAACCTAGCCAACCCTTTTCATCTGTAGATTTCAACCTAATAAAGTATTGATCTAGGGAACAGAACTTGTTTCTACGTCCCATTCCTGAAAAGTAGAAAACCAGATTGACCAGGGCTAGGGGGAGGGTTTGCCTCTACCTGAGGATATTCTGAATTTTATGGATGCTTTGTTGAGCAATGTTGAAACTGAAAGCGCTGATGGAATAAAAGACGTCAAACTCTCTAAGGCTTGAGGATGCATTATAGAAAAGAAAACCGCCTTTCTTGCAGGTTTCCTGATTACTCATCTTAATTAGGTATTGCCCTGAATGACAAAACTTCCTCTGGCTCCTACGCCCCTTAACCATTTTAATTCTACAACCAAACCCACAATCACAGCTCTCCTTGCATGGCAGAGGCCTTAGGCTCGGGGTGGGAATCTGGCCACGTCTGAATGCAGACTGTAGAGGTGCAGATACGGCCCTACTGAAGGAGCAAGGCTGGGCACAGAGGTTAGGGGAGGCCGACTTGTCCCTGGGCACGTTAAGAAAGACAGTTCCTCAGTCATCTGGGACTTGGTAGAAAAGGGAGAAAGGAAAGGAGACTTTTTCAAAGAACAAGATAATAATCATGGTCAGCCACTGTGTTAGCACTTCTTATATGTTTTCTCCTTAATTCCAGCCATGCCTGTGCAGTGGTCGCTTCTTTCTTTTGCTGTGTGACTGCGGCCTGGTAGGCTCACAGAGGCTTGGCCATCTGCTTGTCCATCGCCCCCTGCCCAGCTTGCTGGCCTGCGGCTCCTCTCACTCCACAGCCACCAACGCTCCACCATCCTGCACGGACAGGATTCTCTTTCTCTACCCTTCGCTGGGAGGCCGTTGCTTCATCTCCTCTCTGGCTGCTCAATCCAAATCTGTATCTCCCTTCTCTTTCCAGACATCACTGACGCAGGGCCCAGTAAGCCAGAGCTTTTTTTTTTTTTTTTTTTTTTGAGATGGAGTCTCACTCTTTTGCCCAGGCTGGAGCGCAGTGGCACAATATCAGCTCACTGAAACTCAGGTTTCAAGCAATTCTCCTGCCTCAGTCTCCCAAGTAGCTGAGATTACAAGGGCCCACCACAACACCCAGCTAATTTTTGTATTTTTAGTAGAGACAGGATTTCACCATGTTAGCCAGGCTGGTCTTGAACTTCTGACCTCAAGTGATCCGCCCCCCTCGGCCTCCCAGAAGTGTTGGGATTACAGGCGTGAGCCACCCTGCCCGGCTGAGCCGGAGCTTTATTACTGATTTGCAGATCATGCGGAAGGCGGTGAGGCTGCAGGCTTGCATAGCACATGGCTTATTAGCTGGTCGATTCACAGCTCTGCAACCTCCCTTTGCTGCTTTTGCCAACCCACATCTAGCCTCCCATGTCTGGCTCAGCTCTCTTCCATTTTGCCTTTTGCTGCTTCCTTAATCAACCCCCTGCCCGCTTCACAACTCTTCCCTCCTTGGTTGTAGAAAGTCCTCCTGCTCTAACTGCCCCCACCCCTAAAGCCAGGGCCTAGGTCGCCATAACTGAGGAGCCCTGCATTTCCTCTGCTCCACCAGGCGTCTTCCTACTTGCTGGTCTCAGGCATCCTCAACAGGATAACTTCCTGCAGCAACACATTTCACTGAGTGGCAAAGGCCAGGTCGCCCAGCAAGCCACTGGGGAGGAAGGCAGGACATGTGTGGCCCCAGAGCCTCAGTCTGTGACCTGGAGAACAGCCAATTTGGTTTTAGGGAATCAGGTTGTCCTGTTGTCTGGGCCACATCAGGCCTGGCCAGCCAGAGATCCAAAACAAACCTGATGCCGCTCACAGCTCAGCGGCCTGAGGTCATTCACTCACTATTCCTTTAGGAAACAAATGCCAGCAAGTGGTGTAAGAATACCAATGCCATTGCAGGCTCTGCCAACAGGTACAATCATTATTGTTATTTTTCTAATCCATGCCTGTTGCAATTCAATCAAATTAATGCTTCATTTATTAGAAAATGTGATTTTTGCAACACAAATAGGGTAGGGCTGCCCCAAAAGTCCCAGTCTTTTGCCACTGACCCCTGCACTTTCCTCAGCCTGGGACCGATCTGCTGCCCCAGGACCCTGCCTTGGCCTGGGCATTGGCAACACAGAAACTGGCTCCTCACAGATCAAACTGAAAAGAGGAGACTGGGGAGTGCCTGGGACGGTGGAATTCCTGAATGTCTGTTGCCTAGGAAAGAAAATTCAATGCCAGTTAGCTTGTTGCTCACACAGATTCTGAGAAAGACTCAGACTTTCAGAGATTCTGCCTCTTGCGATATCATATTAGACTTACTAACTAAAAACAAACATTGTGCTTAAATGGAAGAGCAACATCCAGACAGAAAAGTGCACAGATAATATGTGTACTGCCTGATGATTTCTTACAGACTCAACACTTCCATGTAACCAGCTCCCAGATCAAGAAACAGAACCTTCCAGGAGCCTCCTGGTGTCCCCTTAATCACTACCCCTCCTCCCAAGGTAACCACAAGTTTGAGTTCTACTATCATAGATCCGTTTGTTCTGTTTTTAAATGTTATATAAATGGAACCATACAGTGTGTGTTCGTGTCTGGTGTCCTTTGCTCAGTATCCTGTTTGTGTGATTCCTGTGTGTTGTTGAGGTTCAGCAAGGTTGCTGCTGATTATGGAAGTTCTTTCATTTTCATTTCATTTCATTATTTATTTATAAAGAGTTCCATCATGTGATATACTGTAGACACCATTTTATCCATTCTATAATTAATGGGCATTTTGATTGCTCTCTATTTTGGAATATTATGAGTAAAGTTGCTGTGAGCATGTCTGTGGTGCACACGTGTCCATATTTCTGTTGACTGTATACCTAGGAGGGCAGTTGCTTGGTTGTGAGGTAGGTGTATGGCCACCTTTGGTATATACTGTTAAACAGCTCTTAGAGAGTTTATACCAATATATATGTTCTCCAGGGTATGAGAACTCTGTTTGTGCCACATCCTTGCCAATACTTGATGTTGTCTTTTAAATTTTAGCTATTAGGTGGTGTGTGAACCCTCACTTATTCCATCGTGCTTTAATTTGAGATTTCCTTGATGACTAATATAACTGAGCACTTTTTATAGGTCTGTTGACCATTTTGGATATCCTTTTTATGTAAAGTGCCTGTTTAGATTTTGCCCATTAAGAAACTGTACTGTCTTACTTTTTCTTACAAGAATTCTTTCTATACTCTGGTTTTGAGGGTCCTTTGTCAGATAGATGTATGACAAAAAGCTTCTCCCATTCTATGGCTTGGCTCATTCCTTACTGAAACATTGTTAAGGAAGTGGTAAAATTATTATTTTCTATTAGATAAATAATTATGAGGTGTTATTCTTTGTCTCTAGAAATGGTTTTTGCCTTAAAGTGTCTGATATTAGTATAGCTAGACCATCTTTTCTTGGGTTATTTTGCATGCTATGTTTTTTCCCATCCTTTCAAACTTCCTTTACTTTTATATTTAAGGTATGGCTCTAGTAAGCATCAGTTATTTTCTTCTACTACAGTCTGATAACCTTTGTCTTTTAATTGCAATATGCATTTACATTTAGTGTAATTACTAAAGTTTATGATTGTATTGTTTTCTCATTGTATTGGTTTCTCATTCTCAAAGGAATATGTCTATATTCCTTTTCCCTTCTTTTTGTGCTTGTTTTTCAGGTTAGTTATTTTAAAAATTCATCCCTCCCTCCTATTAGTTTGTTAGTTATACCTTCTTTTTACTGTTATTTTAGTGGTTATCATAGAAATAGTATGTTTCCTTGACTCTCTTAAGTCAAATAAAATTAATTCTTTTACTGCTTTCTGAATGAAGGGACCTTAGAAGACTTTAACTTCACTTCCTTCCCTCCTTTTGTGCTATTGCTACATGTGCTTTAATTTTAGTATATTTAGAACCCTCCAGGACATGGTAACTGTATGGGATAGTCAGCATTCAGTTCTATTCACCCACATACTCGCTTCTCTTTGTTCTCTCCTGCACCTCGTGTTCCTGCCTGGGGTTCTTTCTTTGTCCCTGAAGGATGCACTTGTGCTTCTGGAAGGCTCTGGTCATCTGAACCCAGCCAGGAGTTGGGACTATTCAAGGGTGAGGCTGGGCTTCTGTCCTGTGAGGGCTGGTCCATCTCTGGTTCACTCATTCCTCGGGGAGCCTTCAGGATTCTCATGAGAACCTGAACTATTTGGACTATTTGTCAGGGCCTCTTCTTTTTGCTGAGCCCCAAACTCCAAATCTTGCCCCGCTACCGTTGTGAGTCTGCAGAAAGCTCCGCTCTTTAGCTCTTTAGCTAGATCATCTTTTCTTTGGTTATTTTGCTCCTCAGCCACTGCCCTGGTTTTGGGATTCTGTCCCATGGCGAACAATGGCCTCCAAGCCCAGGGTTCCTCATTGTTGGCTTCCCTCTTCTTCTGGACAGGTAAATCCTCCTTGTTCTGGGGGCTCGTAGTGTCCTTCAAGCAGGGTTTTTATATATACGATTTGCCCAAGATCACATAGTGGACTTTGGGCAGAGCCAAGGCTAGAACCTGGGACCCTGCCGCCTGGTCCAGGCTCTTCCTTGAGGCCATGTTTTCTGCATCACCTCTGAGGCTGGCTTTGTAGGATTGAGGGAGGGGAGGGCAGATCCTCAACAGGGATGAAAAGTAGATGTGGAGGCAGCAGGAAGAGAAGCTGCAGTGCTGCAAGACTCCTGGTAGCTCCAGGCCACAGGGACTGGTCCTGTCCTGAAGCCCCAGTCTCAGCCTGAGAGACCTTGCTCTGCCAAGTGACTGGCTGGCCAGCAGCTGCTGACCCCTCACAGCTGGCTGAGCCTTTGCAATGATGGCCAAACTAAAAGCCAGTTGTAGAGCAATGTGACCTTCTCTTAGGGTATTCTCACATCCACTTTCTACTAAGGGTACCGGACCATGGCAATATGATCATGCACAGCCTCTTATTACATATGGACCTCCCAGGGAGGAAATGACATGTCATGAATATCGAGTGAGTGTGTTTGCACGAGCAATCCCGAATTCCACAGGCCAGCCAGATCCCACTCTGTGGCTGCTCATGTTACTCAGGGTGAGGGTCTGAGCCTCATCCCGGGACAGACACTCAGGACCCTGTTGTGTGCGTCACCTCCCATCCTCCTGGGCCACACACACACACCCTTAGTCGTGTCCTTGACATGAAGATTATTTGCCAGATTAACTTCTTTTGGAGAAAGGGAAATGAGGGCTCTTCACCTCTGGGCGATGCCATCTCTCTTTTCACTCTCTCTCCATCCTTATGAGTTTCTTTGACTCCCAGTACAAGCTGCTTCTTTGCTTCCACAGTGCAGCTTCCAAGAATCTCTTTTTGGAGTCAGTTTGAATCATTATCCACGTCTTCCTACATTACTACTTGGAGAGCCAGGTGCTGAAGTGCACATGTTGGCATCAGAGAGAGCAGGTTTTACTCTGCCAGTGAGTGGCTGTGTGAACATGAGCCACTGGTCTACCTCTACAGGCCTCAGTTTTCTCATCTGTTAAATGAGGATATGACAGGAATTTAGGCTTATTTGAATATGGAATGAGATAACTGCAAAGGACTTATCACAGTGTGGTTGGTGGTAGTATTATTAGCTTTATTATAGGCTTGTTACCATAGATATGAACTGTGTTAAATACTATGTTATCTAACTATGTTAAAAATCTATGTTACCGTAGATTGAAACTACGTTAGCTACTACAGTGACCATGGAAATGAATCTTTTCTCTTTAGATTTTTGCAAGCACATGCAAAGGTGCTTTTAGACTGTCTGCCCTCACCTTCTAACCTACCCAGAACTTATGAAAACATTAGCCTGGGCTGCCTTCAAGCCTCCTCTCCCAAAACCACTACCAGAAAGCCTGTTCATGATCTTCCCCGTTGGAAACATTCTTGGTAACTCCAGGACAGGATCACACGCACCCTTGAATGCTGCAGCACTTACTTTCCGTGCCATCACTGGGAGCTGACAAGCTGTCCTGAGTCACTGGTTAACAGTTTATGTGTATGCCCTAGTACGTGAAGATACCATAAACTTATAGCAAGCAGTTAGGGGCCATAGATATATGGTTTTATATTCTCCAACAGGGAATTTCCCTGTAATTTGGTGGCTCTAAATCAGCATGAGACTGATTTAGAGCAGAGGCTCTGTAGTAAAACAGGTCTGGAGTCAAATCTTGTCTCTGATTGTTATCGTGCCTTTGGGAAAGTAGAGATAATGGTTCCTGCTTCTCAGGAATTCAGTGATGATTAAACAATGTTTTAGCACAGGCTTGGCTCATAACAAGTTCCCAATAAATAGCAGCTATAGTTAATAACTATTTGTTGACTAATTAATTGCATTAATAAATTAATAGGAACATCTATAATTTTGGACATCTCCCTTAGCACACCTTAAACGTCAGCTTTGCATTCATCAAACACCTAAGCGAGCATGTGTTTAGCTGCATGCGGTTCAAGAACACCCTGATTCTGCTCTGCAGCTCTCATGTTCATTAAGCAAATGCAGGGGAATTAGCAAGGCACACTTATTAAAAACAGGCTGGTCTAGAGGAGCCTCTCATGTTTAATACATTACAGACCCAGTGAACTGTAAAAATAAATGAAGGCCTGCAATTCTGTTGTTTTTGAAGCTCTTAATTTTTTTTTCCTCTTTGAACCTCTGGGGGAGGAAATATGTTTTGAAACCATGGGATGTAATAAACATGACAGCATCTTCTTAAAGATTCATCTATAACCTGCACTCATCCGGACTGTATCGCAGGAGTGTTTTCTTGCTTTTCCAATAAGATGATCCCCTGAAAGAGAAGTAATGACAGTAATAAATAGCTTTAATTGTCAAATGCATCTTAGATGATATTCATGCTTAGAAATGGAACATTCTAGCTGCTAGAATGGAAACCTCCCAGGGGTTTGATGGTAGATGTGGGGTTTGTAGTTATAGAATGGAGTTGGGTGGGAACTCTTGGTCAGCTGCTCCCAACCGTTTCCAAGCAAGGTCCCTCCGCTGGCCTCTGGTACAGTGGTCTCAAGTAGTCAGTCACTTCACTTCCAGGGACAAGCTGCACAAGATAGCTTTGCAATGCTGAAATGTTCCCAGGCAGGGGTCACATTTCCAAGACTTGATAAAGATGAAATGCGTTTGGTAATGCTTCCCTTTCCCCATCTGCCTCCCTGGTTCCCACATTTCTTTGCCTTTCTCAAGTGAAGGTTAGGATGCAGGAATATCCCAGAGACCACCGAGGGGGCTGCACCCGCTCTTCTTCCCTCTTAGTGGATGTTCTGGCTTCCGGAACTCAGCACCCTGGGCCCTGCTCTCTGAGTTTCACATTCTTGGCCCCACGGTGCGAAGGTACTTCTGGGTTGGCCATTTTAACTTTGGTTAATCCTCAGCCTGCCTGTGTCTCCCCACCACCAGCCCCCAGAAAGCCTCATTTCAACATAGCCTGTGAGATAGGCTTCCTATCAAATTTGATGAATACATTTGCTGCTCTCATGCTTCAGGTATTACGGGCCTCCTCTCTCCCCTTTGGGCTTCCTAATCTCTTCCACTTTTGCCCAGTTCATGGAGTCCACTTAACAACACAGCAGCTGACTATGGGACAATGTTAGAATCCTCCAGCATATGCACATTCCCCTGGAAATTGGGAAAGGGGGTGATATGAAGGGGAGATTCCTCATTTCCTCTGGCCAAGCGTCATTCCTGCCTTGGTGACGCAGACACTTCCTCCAGCTGGGTTCCTGATCTCCTCTGCATTCTCCTTTTGGGTGGCTCCCTTCCTACTCTAGGCCTGCAGCCTTGAGGGAACTTTATCCCTCCCTGGTCCATCCCATTCAACCTAGTCTAGTCCAGCCATTCCAAACCACATGCTGGCCAGCACTGGGAGCTGCCCCTGCGCTTGCTCTCTGTCCTCAGGAGCTCCATTAACTGATGTAGTAATTTGTTATTATACATTTCACATGTTTTAATTTCAGGAACCCGGAAAGCTAAAGCTAAGCACAAAAAATGAAAATAAAACCACCTTTAATCATAGAGATTGCACCTTGATAGTTTTAAACAAGGGTAGGTATGTATGTAGTACAGATACCCACACATTTGGATTCGGATGTTCTGATTGGATGTTAATTACATGTTGCCTGCATAATTTCCTCTTGCTTTTTTCTTGAGAGTTCCGTCTGCATTACGAGTCTGGACACATTCTCAACCCTTTTGAGTCTGCAATTAAGTGGTTGGCAGCTGTAAGTAATATTAGCCACTACTTTTAATGGAAAAAAACCGCAGTCACTTTTGCACCAACCTAGTATGACTTGATCTCTGTGGCCCTCATGAAACTGAGTCCACATTAGGTACCTAATAAGAAGGTCTGGGTTGTTTACTTTTTTTTGGTCCTGGGGATGTAACCCCACACAAGAGGCTCCCCTTCTCTCCCAGCCTGGCTTGTGAGAGTCATCCCGAGCTCTGAAGATAAAGGGTTAACCAGAGCACCCGCGTCAAAGGGCTTTCAAAACGCAGCCATGGCAGGGGCCTCCAAGCCTCTTGCAGTCACTGGAAGCCTTATCTGTGAGAGCAATCATGAGGGAGAGTCCGTTTTATGTGCTACAAAGGCGCTGCTTTCTTCTCTTCGTCTGACTGGAGCTCTTGAGATGGAGGGAAACTGTTGGCCACAGTTCTGAAAACTGCAGATAAAGGCTTTGATTTGTTAATTAAATTTTTACTATCTGCATTTGATATCTCAGCCAAATTGTATCCGCTGCAGGAACAACAAGAAAGTCTCTCACTTCAAAGGGGCGCCCACTTGGTGACCTGTAATTACGGAATTTACTGCGGGGTGAAGCGCTGTCTGGGGCACACCTGCCGCCCTAGCGCCCCCACGCTGCCCCTCAATAACAGCCCCTTGTCCAGGCAGATTTCGAGCAGCCCCGGCTCCCCGCACTCGCGCAAGGGCGGGGTCTGGAGGAGCCGCGCAGGGCAGCCGCGCAGGGCAGTCCCGCAGGCTGGGCCGCCCACACCTGTCCCCGGGGCGCGCTGTCCTCTGCCCGGCAGCTGCTGCCGCCCCGCCCGCTCCGCCGCGGCCCCCACACGCTCTGCAACGCGTCCTTGGCAACCTGAAAGAATCGGCCTTCTTGTCCTCTCTCCTCATAGATGTCTCGGTGAAAAATGGCTTCTTTAATGAAAAAGTTAAAAGGCCGGAGCCACGCTGGGTGAGGTCACCTGCTGGCTCCAGGCAGCGTGAGCTGGGCCAGACTCTCCCGCTGCGGCGCAGGGGCCACCCCACCCTCTGCCCTTTCACTCCCCCTGGGGCAGGGCATTATTAAAGGATGTTTAGAGGTCCCCTATGTAGGGCTGCTGCCCTGGGAGGGGCGCATTCCAGAGTCAGCGCTGACCATTTTTTTGCATGAATGGAATCAAAATCTGCTAGCTGTCTGAAGGACTCCATTCCTCTGGTTTGATATAAGCGGAGTGGGGTTTGAGAAGCCTGAACAATTCTGCAGGACTTTCTGGTAGATTGGTTCCAACGCAGGCTTTGCTTTGACCAGTTTTTCTTATTGTCTTTCATCTTTAATTTTAAAATTCAATTTTAGTACTATTGTTTTAAATTAAAAAAAAAACTGTCAAGCCATTTAGGAAAGGTGTAAAGTATATTCCAACTGGCGAAAAAGTACAAAATTTAATTTAAAAAAGCATTTTGGATCCACACAATTTTCATATGAGATGGGGATGTATTTTCTCAGATGAAAGGTCTGGTTGTTTCAGCTCTGGGGGTCCCCCTGATGACTGGTGTGTTGGTCTGCATACAGTGGGGATTCATCCCCGGAAGAGGAAGTGGGGGGAAAGAAACACTTGCTAGTGAGCTTATGCCGCATCCCAGGGTACGGTCTCACATGAGACACGGAATGTTGAGCTGTTGATCTGGTTTTGAAAACATAGGCTTGCTGATTATCTGACAAAATCCACCCTCTTGTATCTGTTGCAAAGTTGACCACTTACCATTAATCCACCTGCCTCCCAGGGCTCTCCTCAAGAAATCTGATTTCATTTGCTGTTGGTTGGTTTCTTCTGAAAAGTAGCTTCTGAATATCACTGTAAGGCTTTTAACCAGTTAGGATCTTAATGGTGTGAGAGTGTTCTATTGCTGACCTTGTCACTCGAAGTAAAAACCTTTTTAAAAACTCACAAACTCCTTGGTAGGCTCTTGCCTGATGCCTGAAATAGAAGACACAGCAATAGGTCAGGAAGCCATACAATTCACGGTGAGCAGGAGAAACCCATGGCAGATGGCAGCAGTGATTTCTGTGTGTGTGTGTGTGTGTGTGTGTGTGTGTGTTATAAAGAGTACAGATGAATGGCCAAAGAGATGCATAGGGCAAGGATTGGGGAAGGGTCTCAGAGCCTCCATGCCCTGTGGGTATGCCACCCCCACAGCGCCTGAAGACGTTCACCAACCTAAAAGCTCATCAAATCTCCATTGCTCAAGAGGTTGATAGAAATTAATCTTCAGCCCTGCTCCCCTTCTCGGAGGTTGGTGGATGGGGCTGGAAGTCCCATCTCTCTGATCACAGGGTCTTTCTGGCCACCAGCTTTATCCTGGGGCTATCTAGCGGCCCCACCCTAAGTCACCTCCTCAGCATAAACACCCATGTGAGAGAAAGGGGCTCTTGAATAACAGAAGACACCCCTACCACACAGGAAATTCCAAGAGGCTTAGAAGCTCTGTGCCAGCCACTGGAGAGAAAGACCAAATATATTTCTTCTACCATATGATGGCACTTAAAGACTATTGGTTCTTCCAAAACACCTTCCTCTAATTGTTAGAGTGAAATCAAGATTGCCTGCAAAACAAAATATGGTAAAAGATGTATCTTTTATTGAAACCAGGCCGGTTCCCTTGTCCTCCTCACAGGGCGTGCAATGGTGATGTGGCTCGCTTCTTCAGTGTCTGGCTACTCATAGCTCTAGGAGCGCATACAGACAGGCAGACTGTGGGACTCCGACCCCACCACAATGTCTAGGGGTGGATATTTACAGCTGGAGCCCCAGTGGGCTTGTGTTACAGGTGCTCTTTTAGATTGCTGTCTATAGGTGGCTTGCGTTAACCAGCTCAATTAGACTTCCTTAAAACAAGGACACAGGGATATCTGTATCTCCCAGTTTCTTGCCTTGGTGTACCGGAAGAATGGGATCATATGTGACTTTAGGAATAAATGCAAGGTTTTATTGAGTAGAAGTGGCTCTCAGCAGATGGGAGAGCCAGAAAGTACATGGTTTTACCCTGGAGTCAGGCTGCTCTGCGGCCCGGCTCTTCTAGCTTTTCTCTGACTGCTCAGTCCAAACTACGCGTCCTTCCGCCAGTCAATGGCCTGCCAGCCTCCCAGTGGCTCTTCTCCCTGTGGGCTCTCCATGACCAGGCGACTGACCAGCCGCTTGTGTCTACTTCCGCGGATGCGCTCCTCACGATGTCCAGCTACCTCTGTGTCTGCCAGCTAACATCTCAGGTTTTTATAGGCCCAGGATGGGGGCGTGGCAGGCCGGGGTGGTCTTGGGAAATGAAACATTTAGGCAGGAAATGCCTGTCCTCACCTAGGTCGGTGGGGGAAGGGAAGGGAGACTGACATAATGTTGTCTGACATAATGTTGTCTGATCTCTGGCATCTCAGTAGGAATCGAAATGTGCTCAAGTCAATTAGGTTATGCTCTTAGATGTCTTCATGCTCATTAACAACACAAGGAGCCCTTGACTAAAATGACACTAACCACATGCAAGTAAGGTGTGATCAGACAGACCCAGGCCACAAACAGTTCTGCACATTCCAACTGTTCCATTCATTGCCCTTTCGGGAGGGAATCTGAGAGCTATGCTTGATGAGGAAAAGCCCTTCTCTGGTAGTTTGCTGGTCCCCTAGTGGTCACCTCATCCCTGCCACATGCACAGACACACTGAGCACCCATTTGCAAGACATTGCTTACGAACTGATCAAGGGTCAGAGATGAAGTGGAGGGAGGCAGTATTTTCAGTGGACGTAAGCCCTGAGCCCATGTGCTGATGCCCAGGGGCATGTGTTGGGCACTCAGGGTATGTGTAAGCATCTGCCAGCCTTGGACAGGGAAGGAGAACCATATTATTTCTAATTTATGATTTGATGTGACATTATGGGTTAAGAGGAATAAGAAATTAGACTTGCTTCTGTGTTAAGGTATAACTGAGGTGCTGTGATTCCCATTTTCTGTTTCCCATTTTACCTTGGGGGCTCAAGGACATCCCAGCATCACCTGATTATCTCTTGTTAGAAAAAAAGCACATGGTTCTAACTACTGTTAGTCATGTTTCCCAAAAGATCATGAAAACTTGGGGGCTATTCGATATAACTTTGGTTTTTTCTATGTATAGTTGCTCAGAGATAACAATAAGAAAATATGATTATGATTCATATCTTCCACAAATGCTGGGAAACAGTGTTAAAATTCATTTCAAGTCTGTTTAGTCATCAGCTGTATTAAGGGCCAAGATGGCATATTAAGATGGATAAAGATGGCCTGGGATCAATGTGGATGGGCCTGATAACTACCATCCACTCTCCCTGTCTTTCCGGGGCCTTTAACAAGGTGACTGAGTGTTCTAATAAAATGCAGAGTGGACTCCTTCCAGATGCCACCCTTCCCAGCTAAAGGAAAGCTGGGGGGTTCCAACCCAGTGAAGGACTTCTCCCTGACTCATTCCTCCATTCTAGGGAGCCAGTTAATGAAAACCACATATGTGCTTTGACAGATCCTTTCAAATCACATCAGTTTGGCATAAATGGACTAGAGGTAGTTCCTTGGACAAAGGCTGGGGTAACTCTCGATCTCCAGCCTTATTTCTGATGACCTGAGGAAGACAGCTAGCCTCTTTGACCAGGAATCCCTGGAAAGGCCATCTGAATGGGCCCAATGTAAGTGATCAGATAATGCAGACTTGGCTTGCTTTATAGCAAGGTGGACTGATTGCCTATGGAGTGTATGCATAGAGAAGCCGGGACGTGACTGACTGGAGGAGGCGTAAGTCCTACAAAGCTCTGAGCTTCAAAGGGAAAGGAGGATGGATGCTCTAAGGCCCAGGTGGTGAACCAGAAAGTGTGGCTTCCGTAGATCTGAGAAGTGGCCCACAGGCAGCCTGCAATGACCCAGTCCAATGTCCTGGAGAGGCCAGATTCCATTTGCACCCTCTGCAGCCTAATATCTGGGTTGGAATCCCTGGCCTCCTAGTAAGGTGTCAAGTTGAGGCAGGAAAATAGAGTCTGGGGCCAGAGAACCTAGGGCTGATTCACGCTGACTTCCTAGAACTGAATCAAAAGGAAAAACTTCACCTCTCCACACCCAAGTAACAAAAGAATCAGAGGTACTCCTTTTGCAACTACCCCCGTCTCCACTGCAAGGCAGATGAAAACTGGAAAGTACCTTTGATTGATTATCTCCCGCAACCAATCAGACTGATCACGGGCCTAAGTCTTCATTTGCATAGAGTGTAACTAGGTAACCAATGGGAAACCTCTGGAGGTTTCCCAGAAAATTCTGTAACCTCAGAAAATTCTGTAACCAGCACTCTTGAGGGGCTCACTTGCATCTGCTCCCGCTATGTGGAGTGTACTTTCGTTTCAATAAATCTGCTTTCATTGCTTAATTTTTTCATTGCTTTGTGTGTTTTGTCCAATTCTCTGTTCAAAATACCAAGAATCTGTACGACTTGTAGTCAAGGCCCTCCACCAGTAACAAGGTGACCTTGGGCAAGGTCATGTGTTATCTGAATTATCTCCTTTACCACTAAAATGGGGCGAGCAGTAGCATCTACTCCCGAGCAGTTGTTGTAAAGATTATGTGAATTAATCCATGTACGTCCTCAGAGGACTGTCTGCTGCATAGTTATTACTCGAGTGTTAGTTATTATTACTAGATGGAGGCTGAATCCTTTTCTTGTGAACTTTATTTTTATTTATTTATTTGTTGAGACAGTCTTGCTCTGTTGCCCAGGCTGGAGTGCAGTGGCGCTATCTTGGCTCAGTGCAATCTCCGCCTCCTTGGTTCAAGCGATTCTCCTGCCTCACCCTCCCTAGTAGCTGGGACTACAGGTGCGTGCCACCACACCTAGCTAATTTTCATATTTTTAGTAGAGACAGGTTTCACCATGTTGGCCAGGCTGGTCTCCAAATCCTGACCTCAAGTGATCCACCTGCCTCAGCCTCCCAAAGTGTTGGGATTATAGGCGTAAGCCACCGTGCCCAGCCTTCTCGTGAACTTTCAATATCTCCTTGTCATGCCCTATGGTTAACCTAAGAGTTGATAGGGCAAGACAGTCTTCTACAGCACACTTTTGTGCTATGTGGGGTTTGGTCTTAGACACTGTGAGAAGTCAGGGAGGGCATAAGAGGGGACATAACCAGCTCAGGTATTCAGAAAGACCAATCTGGAGTCAGTGTAGAGAATGGACCTAGACCTGCAGCTGGGATCAGGGCAGGTAATGAGTCTGGGAGAGAGGGCCTGGCCAGGGCAGCTACATCAGGGGAAGGGGACACGCTCCAGAGGACTGAGGAGATGGGGCAGTGTTTTCATGAATCAGATGTGTGTAGTGAAGGGGAGAGAGAGAGAGAAGTCAAGGATAGATTTCAGGTTTGTAAACTTGTAGGTATTAGTGAGTTTTTTTTTAAATAATAATTTATTTTTTAGTGGTGTTGGGAATAATTCAGAGGCAGTGCCTTCAGAATGCTGAATGTCAAGATGATTAAAGTCAGCATTAACACTGGGTCATCTTGGACTGGAGAACTGCCTTTCAGCCCCTTAGCTCCTAGTTTTTAGGGAAGCCATTTTCCCACCGCTCTGAAGTATGGATGACCATGTGACTCCTTCAGGCTAACCAAAAAGTGTTTTATTGCTGGTGCCATGTCTACACCTTTCTCTTCTCTTGCCATGGGAATGATGGGAGCTCAGGAGACTTGGAGGTGCCCTAAGCCTGAACCCCTGAGCCATCCCATGAAGGACAGCAGCTGTGGAGAGTCACCGAGACCTCTAGGGTACTTTGCATGGGTGAGAAATAAACTTTTGTGGTGTGAAGCCGTTGAGATTTAATGGTTGTTTCTAGCATGACCTACCATATTCTGATTACACAGTGGAGAGAGAATGAATGAGATATGTATATTAAGCACCTTGGACACATAATAGCTAACCACAGCTGTTACTGGTATTAGTCTAGATCCTGATACTAACTTCGTCAGTGACCTGAAGCACTCGCCTAGCTGAGGCTAAGTTTCCTCCTCTGTGAAAAGAGTAAGAACAGGGAACCATGAGGGTCCCTTCTAGGGTGAAGGTCCTGTGGATAGATACACTATGAATACTGACAATGGGGAAGAAATGAAAAGTGAAAAATTGTGGAGCAGAAAGCGTTGCTAGATCCAAGGAAAAGCAGGAGATCATGTAGTCAGACTCCTCTCAGTTTCCAGTCTCCCTGGAAGGGATCCTCCTCCTCCTCTGGGAGGAAGGAAGGGGAGAGAAAACTCCACTGGGGATTCCGGGCTGGCCGGGAGGCATGTGGTTAGCTTTCTCTCCTTGTAGAATCAATGAGTTTAAGAATCGGTGGGATTTTGTAGGAATTTGTCTTGTAAGGTTACAGTGTATTAAAAACTCTTGGAAACTGAAGTCCCGTCCCTTAGAAATAGTAGTCATATGGTAGAAAAATCTGGAAAATAGTAATGACTCAATAAATGTGTTTTTCTTTTCTCCTTTCTTGTCCAAGCTTCATAACTAATGCCTATCTCTTCTGACTAAAGAGAACTGCTTCTCTTCTTTTCTGTTCAGATATAAACAAGTGCTATTTTATACATCCAACATTCACTTTATGCGCCCATATATTTACCATTCACGATCTCTGGCATTTCATCTAAGAAAGCCTGTTAGGATTTCACTTAGTATGAGTCAGCTTGCAACTTGCATATGTTAGCTTCCATTGATACAGAAATGTCTTTCTTTAACTTTCTATGTATTTATTTTTTGAGACAGAGTCTCGCTATGGTTGCCCAGGTGGGAGTGAGGTGGTGTCATCTCAGCTCATTGCAACCTCCACCTCCCAGGTTCAAGTGATTCTCCTGCCTCGGGAGGCTGCCTCAGCCTCCCAAGTAGCTGGGATGACAGTTGCAAGCCACCAGGCCTGGCTAATTTTTGTATTTTTAGTAGAGACAGCGTTTTACCATGTTGCCCAGGCTGGTCTTGAACTCCTGACCTTAGGTGATCCACCTACCTTGGCCTCCCAAAGTGTTGGAATTACAGGTGTGAACCACCGCACCCGGCCTCTTTCTTTAACTTTCATTCTTGAAGCATGTTTTCCCCATGCACAGTGTGTTACTAGGTTGGCAGCTGATTTTCTTCTGTCCTTTGTAGATACATACCATTGCATTGTTTGCTGCCTTCTGTTTTTTTTTTTTTTTTTTTTTTTGGTTTTTGGGGTTTTTTTGTGTGGAACATTAGCTGTCAATCTATTGCTCACTTGAAGGTACTTGAATTTTTTTTCTCTGGCTGCTTTTAAGATTTTCTTTTTGTCTTTTTTTTTTTTTTTGCAGTTTTATGATGATATGTCTAGGTGTGCATTTCTTTATATTTATCTTTCCTGGGGCTTATAGAACTTCTTGATACTGTAGATAAATAATTAAACAATTAATCATTCTTTTGCTTAACAGATATTTACTGAGCGCATACCCCAGATCTTGGAGTCTAGTGGTGGGAGAAGACAGGAAATAGTTGATCTCAGCATGAACGATCAATGTGGCCCTGGTGGCAAGTGCATGTGCTTTGGGAGCACATCCTGTTGGGGTTGCTGTTGAAACCAAGTCCTGAAGGACAAGTAGAGGATCAGCAGGCAAAGCGTGTGAGAAGGCTGGAGAGAGTGTTTCCATATGTGGGTCTCCATCTGTAAAGCTCCAGGAGATGAGGGCATGAAGGGCATGTGGAACTGCAAGGAGGCCAGTGTGTCTGAAACATGGTGCAGGACAGCGGGATCTGTGGAGGACAGGGCCAGAGATAAAGCCCGTTTTTCCAGGGCCCATCTCCAGCCGCTGCATTTCTTTCGAGCTTTAGACAGACTATCTGCTTCCCATATGACATTTTTTCCAGGATGATTCAAGCCACTTCAAACTCAACTTGTCTGGAGCTGACTCATCCTTCTCAAATCTCAGCCTCCTCCAGAATCCCCGCCCCTGACTCAGTTGCACTCCTAGAAAACTGGACAGTGTTCCCTGCAGGCCTGGCAGCCCTGCAAGGAGGGAATGACTTGAGAAGAGTTTTTGCTTCAGAAAGCTCACCCTTGACTGCAGTGTGGAGCAAGGATTGGAGGGATGAACTGGAAGCAGGGGCCCCTGCGAGGGGAATGTTACTCTAGTGCAGGTGGAGAGGATACGGGCCCATCCACACTGGCAGCAGCAGAGTGGTGGGAGAGTGGAAAGGGGTGAGCAGCAGAAAGGAAGTCGACTTGGTGAGATTTGGTGACTGATGGGAGGGGAGGCAGACTGTGGGTTTGAAGCACTGGGCCAATGGCAGACTCATGTAGGAGTGAGAGGGGCCCTAGGACGGCAGTTGGTCAGGGTGGCTTTGGGCTTGTTGAACTGAAGTGGTGCCCAGGAGGAAGCTGAGCTGCAGCTCTTAGTTTCAGGCGAAAAATCAGCCCTGCAGACACAGGGCCGGGATTTGTTACCCAATCTGTTGTAAAGTGCTTCCTTCACAGTATGCCTTTGCTCTGAATAACTCTAACCCCACAGACTTACTCAAGTGTCACTTTACAAACTCTGACACAGTGAAAAAAAAGTCTCTCTTTTTTTCTCCTACCCCCATTTTCATGCAGGAAATAACAACAAAGACCCAGGTCAGAGATGAGTCTTTGTAGAGCTTCCCAAAGTGATTTGAGGCTGGGAGGCTATAGTCAGTGGAATATAGAATTTGTGCAAAAGCTGGAGAAGGCTGACAGTGGCGGTCAGGGAAATCTAAATTGGCCCCAGCTGACAACCTCATCCCAAGCTTGGTGGGGCCCCACCCCCTGCTGAGAGAGCCACCCATTCAGGCCCCTGGGCTTTGTAAATAGTTTCTGTTTAGTTTTCAGCTCACAAGAAGCAAGCACATAAAAGAGTTAGTCATCGGGCCGATTCAGCAGGGCACACATTAGCTAGATATTGACCTGGGCTCCTTTCACACCAGGTGAGTGATGTGTTGAATGTTGGAGCTGGGTAGAATCTAGCCTGAAAGTCTATATTAACTTTGCAGGGATTATAAAAGAGAAACTGAGGTTGCCTAAATGGGAACTATTTTCATGTGTTCAGATGGGTTGACCTGTGTGAGTACCCCAGGCTAAAGTAGCCAAATAGGAGAAGACACTGTGAGACTCACCCTGGTCTGTTTCAGCCGAATGAACTGAGGTGGGCAGAGAAGTTTATTTTTGAAATGGCCAAAGTCTCTTCCTGATTTGGTTGATCCAGCTGGGGCAACTCCTCACACATCCGAGGCTCTGGCTCTGCAGGGTAGCTCGGGGTGCTTGGCTGATGTTTGAGTTAGGGGAGAGCTTTCACATCTGTAGGGTGACAGAAGCCCTTATCACAGCATGATGCAAG
The DNA here is from genome assembly GCF_000001405.40 of Homo sapiens. NCBI lineage: Eukaryota > Metazoa > Chordata > Mammalia > Primates > Hominidae > Homo > Homo sapiens. The sequence goes on from NC_000018.10 coordinate 10,141,657, forward strand.
CCACTGCTAGGAAGACACCCTTGGGGGCCAGCCATGCTCTGGGGAAACCAGCAAGTCACTTTGAGTTCACAAAGAGTTGGCTTTATCCAAAGGTCATGCCAAGGGATACTCTTCATGTTCCTGGAGTCTCCCGAGGCACGCCCTCCTGCCCGGGCATTTGTTCTCCACGGTCCCTGGGGAAAGCACCAGCTTTCACATACTCCAAGTCCTCCACCTTGTGACATCGAAAGAGGTATCAACAGTTTAAATCTGTGCACTGAGCATGTGAAAAATTCCATTTCCCACCCGCCACAAATTGTCTAAAAGACAGACTGATTTTATGACAAGAGTGTTTCTCTTCTCTATTGTTTACTTTCTTTAGTTCCTGATTCTTCATTTTCACACATTTTTATGTGGCCTGATACATAAATTCAACTTAACAGCAGCCATTGTGTTTAGGAAGCCCAGAGAATTCTTATTTTCCAACTGTTCACCAGCATTCTCTACTTGTGGAAAGTAAAACCCTTAGAGCCCAATGTGACTTATGCGCGGATATTTTTCAGATAATGGAGTAGCTACAAATAACCGATTTTCCTGTTTCTCCGAGCCTCTCCCTGACAGATAATGAAGTCATAAAGGGCATCATGATTTCAGTGCCGATACTGGAACCTCGTGTTCAGATTCAAACTCGCTTTGTTCTTGACTGTGTGACTGAAAGCTGGAAAATAAGCTGTGACTCAAATTTTTGTCTGGATAATTTATATTGTAATTAGTTAACTAATTAATTAATTTATGAACAAGTTGTGGGTTGTTAGATTTAAATGGACACAACTGAGTGTAAGTTCTAACTTTTCCTTGTGAGACGGGACCCCTGGCTTCAGTTTCTGTGCAAAATAAAAATCGAGCTATGTGATTTTTAAAGTGCATTCCAGCTCTGTTTTTTCCCAGGTCTGTGATTGGAAAATATCCCTGACTCACAGCCCTTGCTTCCCGGTGCCCTGGCTCTCACCCTCACGTTGGCCCAGCACTTAGGGCTCCCCTCCCTGGCCTCTGCCCAGCTATGCGACTTGGCGCCCTCTTCCCTTTATAACACTGGTGCCCTCTCCCAAGTCCAATTGTGAAAAATTCTGAGACTAGGTTACCCTATGCTATGTTCCTGCTACCCCTCCTCCTGAAGCCTGCTCCCTCCCTTCCCCCATGCAGCCAGCACGGGAAAAAACACTTAGAGTAGATCGAGTTTATCCCCCACGTTCCCTCACCCCGCCCACATGCCCTCATCCCCTCTCCTGCCACCAGCAACCTCCCTCCTGAGAGCCCCAAGTCAGCATTCTCGTTCTGCGCAGACCGTCTTGTGAAAGCAGAAAGCCACCTGATGAGCAAGTTCACATGGACATGCCAATGACAGTGCAGTCTCCTTCTTGGGAGGATTGCCCATCTATTGGGTGTTTTGTATGTGCCAGGTGCACTTTTACTCCTCTTTCAACGATGTGATGAGGTCATTATTATCATCCTCATCTATAGTGCATGCTATAGAAGCCCTGAGCAGCCCTCGCAGGGCCTGCCATGTGAATTACCTTGCCAGTGACTGGAATCTGCTTTAAGAAGATAGAGCTGGTGGACAGGCGTGGTGGCTCATGCCTGTAAACCCAGCACTTTGGAAGGCCGAGGCAGGCAGATGACCTGAGGCCAGGAGTTCAAGACCAGCCTGGCCAACATGATGAAACCCTATCTCTACTAAAAATTAAAAAAAATAATAAAAAAAATATTAGCCGGGCATGGTGGCAGGCACCTGTAATCCCAGCTACTCTGGAGGCTGAGGCAGGAGAATCCCTTGAATCTGGGAGGTGGAGGCTGCAGTGAGCCGAGATCGTGCCATTGCACTCCAGCCTGGGCAACAAAACTCTGTCTCAAAAAAAAAAAAAAAAAAAGAGAGAGAATATAGAGCTGGGGCACAGATGTTCACACAAGGTGATTACTGGAGCCAGTGGTCCTTTGGCCTTGAGACTACGGATCCCTGATGCTGTCATGGAGGGAGGCAGAGGTGCCTTCCCTGGCCCTCTTCTTGCCAGTGCCATTTGGCTCAGTTCTACAGACAAGTAGCATGAAGACCAGCTGGCTGCATGGCTGCCTCTGTGTACCCTGCATGGTCATCAGGCCACTCTGGGCTGCTCCCACCACAAATCATTCTCCTTCCACTCTGGCGTCTCTCCAGGGTGAGTCCTCACATTATTGCATGTTATTTTTGGTGGAACGGGAAGGGAATGTCACTAGCTTTGCTAAGGTTCATTATGTTAATATTGTAATTTCCCTCAGGAAAATGAAGAAGAAAAACATCTAGATGCCAGGCACTTATTGACTTCCAAGAACAAAACCTAAATATTCACTGCAGAATCTAAAAACATGTGAATCCTAAACAGCAGACTGCCAAAACCAAGCATGTTTGCTGATGTTGATTGTGAATGTGTGTCAGGAGTGGATATTTAGGCATAAATTTCAGGCTGTCTCTCTCCTTTTATTTTAGATCTAGGCACAGAGGTCACTCTGAGCTTCCATTTGGACAGCTGCCTGTTCGTGGGAAGATCACCAAGCTCTTAACCCAGGAAGGGATGCTGTGCTGCATATTGGCGTTGTTGTGAGGTCAAGAGAGATTTCATCCCTGCTGTCCTTCCTCAGATGGGTCATTATGTCTGGATTCAGGAAGAGAATATGCAAATGTTGAGTCTGTGCCTCTTAACAAACTCATCCTGCATGAAAAATCATTATTTACTTCATTTTGTGCCTTTTTTTTTTTTGTCTCACTCTGTCACCCAGTCTGGAGTGTAGTGGTATCATCTTGGTTCACTGCAACCTCCACCTCCCAGATTCAAGTGATTCTCTTGCTTCAGCCTCCCAAGTAGCTGGGATTACAAGCGTGCACCACCACACCTGGCTAAATTTTGTATTTTTAGTAGAGATGGGGTTTCACAATGTTGCCCAAGCTTGTCTCAAGCTCCTGACTTCAAGTGATCCACCTGCCTCGGCCTCCCAAAGTGTTGGGATTACAGGCATGAGACACTGCCCAACTCATTTTGTGACAATTTTTAATGATGACTTGGTATTTAGATCAAAAGATCCAACCTGAGCAATAAGTTTGAGAGAAACAAAAGTAACTTGGAAACATTGGAAATTCCTATTCAAAGCTTTCATGTTACTGGACCACTTGCTTTAACTGGTGAGGCACAGATAGTCTGTCTTTGCATCCCACTTCTTGCAATGAACATTGAGATTAAGTATGTCTGCTCAAGGCATTTTGCATTCAGGTCCTATCGAAATAAGGGAAGGGAATAAAAAGGAAAGGGAGACTGACATAATGTTGTCTGATCTCTGGCATCTCAGTAGGAATCGAAATGTGCTCAAGTCAATTAGGTTATGCTCTTAGATGTCTTCATGCTCATTAACAACACAAGGAGCCCTTGACTAAAATGACACTAACCACATGCAAGTAAGGTGTGATCAGACAGACCCAGGCCACAAACAGTTCTGCACATTCCAACTGTTCCATTCATTGCCCTTTCGGGAGGGAATCTGAGAGCTATGCTTGATGAGGAAAAGCCCTTCTCTGGTAGTTTGCTGGTTCCCTAGTGGTCACCTCATCCCTGCCACATGCACAGACACACTGAGCACCCATTTGCAAGGCATTGCTTACGAATTGATCAAGGGTCAGAGATGAAGTGGAGGGAGGCAGTATTTTCAGTGGACGTAAGCCCTGAGCCCATGTGCTGATGCCCAGGGGCATGTGTTGGGCACTCAGGGTATGTGTAAGCATCTGCCAGCCTTGGACAGGGAAGGAGAACCATTCCGAGTGTGCACTGTCTGGGATCACACAGAAGGACCTCCCAAGCCTGGCTGTGACAGTCACTTTTCCAGCTATTGTTCATCTGCTCAGACACAGGCCTGGCCTGACAAGGACAGGGGTCAGGAGAGAACACTTCAGCAAGGAAGGAAGGAGGGCTCTGAAGTCAGTGTGAGACTCTTCCATTTGGAGTGTCATCCAAAGGGCTCTCCCAAGCCCTGGGGCCTGAGACCTGGGGACGGACAAAGAGGCCAGCACATGGAATGCTTGCAAGCAACAGGCAGCTTGAAGTAATTAGGCATGAATGAAATCACAGCAGGTCTTGCAGTTGATACCTGAGTGCTCCATTGGCAACTGAAGTCATAAAAGTCCACTGAAGAGAGGCCAGAAAATAATGTTAGAAAAGCCAAAAGGAATAAGAAAACGTTTTGAAGAGGAGTTTTTTTGAAAAGGTGCCTTGACGAGTATGGCGGGATAATGGGCAATCCAGTTGCCTGTGTGGATCCTTCAAATGCAAGTTGCAAGCAAATCTGCTCCTAGTTAGTGTCACCCCTGGGACACAGCATATCGCGGGTGATTGCCATAGGCTAGTGTTTCTGAAGCCTTTGACCATGACTTACCCTAAGAAATACATATTACATCCTACCCTGGTATTATATTCACACACAAACACATCTGTTTATAAATGCATGCACACATTTCATAAATGCATACAACCTCAGTAAAAATTTCATGACATAGTGCTTGCCTTTTCTGCCTATTTTGCATGATATTTTCAACTCTATTGTATTCTATTCTGTTCCTCTTATTAATTCATTCAAACACTACAATTCAGTACTTTATCAAATTGATTTCAAATATTGGGGACATTGCCCACTAATGTTTTGAAATCATATAGTAGATGTTGAGTAGTGTATGTGTATCCTGGGTTGCAAAGCAAAATGCATTTCTTACTGTGAGTTTTAATCAAGTCGCTTCTCCTGCCCGCATCCTACAAAGCGAGGAGCCTGGATGCTCTTCCAGATGGGAAGTTCCCTGAAGGAGGCACTAGGCAGAGGAGAAGGAAAGACTCACAGCAGCAAGTGTTGAAAAAGATGAGCTCATGTTCATGCAGTGGGTCTGCATCTTCTCCATCTAAACAGTTGTTCAAAGAGTCAAGGAGTCAGCAAACTACATTCTGCAGACAGGATCTGGAGTGCTGCCTGTCTCGGTGTATGAAGCGGCATGGAACACAGCCCTGCCATCACCTTGCCTGTTGCCTGTGGCTGCTTTTGTGCTGCAGCCTCAGGGTTGAAGAGTGGCAACAGAGTCCAGGTGGCCTGCAAAGCTGGCAATATTTACTATCTAGCCCTCTGCAGAAAAAAATGTGCCACCCCCCCTCCCCCCATCAGTGCCTTAGGATGAGTGTCTGGAAACCATTCCCTGTAGCCCTTTCATAAATGCATCTCAGGCTGCAGACTGCTTTGTGGCACCTCTATTATCTCATCCTAGATGATTAGTTACCATAAATCGTCAATAAATTGCAATTTTGGGGACACAGCGGGCATTGCAGATAGAATCCCCCTCCTCAATTCCCACACACCTGATAAAAAGCTATTGGGGGAGCAACAGCCCATGCAAAATTCAGTGGCTTGTGCTTCAGGTTGGGTGATCTGGAAGCAGATGCTGAGATGGAGCTTGGAGTGCAAGATTAACTCCTGTGGAAAGAACGGTGAGGAAATGAGATTTGAGCAGAAGAAAAAGCTAAATGGCAATGTAGGCCTGAGGAAGCCTCAGCCCACTGGAGGGGGATCACCAGAGCCAGTGCTGACTGCCAGAGCCATCATGGGGCATCAGTTACAGCCCTTTCTTGCTCAGTCAGTGCTGTGGGCATGACCTCAGATGAGGCAGCTCTCTGCAGCCCAGGTGGACCCCAAAGCTGCCTGAAGACCGTCCTTCCTGCCATGGGGCAGCAAGTCCTTCCTTGAAGGCTGACCTGTGCCTCGGATGGCCTAGCATGGTCTACCTCTTGGCCACGTGCCACACTTCTCCATGCATCCCGGGGAGCAGCTCCAGCTCCTCCATGGTTAGGGTGCACTTTTCTTTCGAGGGGAAGCTTAGAGAGGGAGATTAGTGGGACACATTACACCCCTTTGCTGCAGTGAGTGTCCGGACTGAACTGGCAGTCCTAGCATAGTGCCATAGTTCCACTCTCAGTCCAGAGTCCCCTAATCCCTAGACACCACCCCTGCTGTCTTGGTGTCCTACCTGGTGGTGTGACTCAGACCCTCATTCCTGAAGTCCTGGTCGCTGTGATCTCCTTGAGCTGGGTTTGCTGCACATGCCCACGTATGGTCATGGTTAGGTAAGGGCACGCAGGAGGCGCCAACGTGAGTCCCCTGAAACCCACATGGACTCATGCCTGCCACTGTGTGTCATGGCAGCCCAGCCTCCCTCTGACAAACACAGAAAGGATGCTGGCTCCTTTCCTTGCACAGAAGGACCTCAGAGTGCCCAAGTGGCTGTTGTGCTATAACTCAATGAGGCCCTGGCTCTGCTCCCCGGGGGAAAAGTATGCCTTTTGGGGAACCAATGCCTCTGACCCTGCAGAGCCCAGTGTTGTGGGCCTGGGAAGCAAAAATTCCCCCAGTGAGTCACTGGGAGTGATAATCCCCCCTGGACGCCAGTAGAATCCCCTCAATATTGACAAATAAAAATGTCTCCAGACATTGCCAAGGTTACCTGCAGCTGAGAGCCACTGGCGTGTAGACCAGGAGTGTGTCTCATTTTGTGCTGTTTAGCTCATATGAGTTCTGCAGATTGTGAATGAATGAGATGGGGATTCATTCTGGAAACTGGATCTTGCTTGCCCACTTCTGGAATCTCATTTTGTGGCGTGATGATAGCATGATGGTAGCTGAAGAAGAAACAGCTCTCATGAGAATGGGAACCACAATCAAACAAAGCATCAGAGGCTTGGCCCTCTTTAAGTGCCTTTAGAGCGCGATGCCACTCCAAAAGGCCAGAAGCCTGTGGTGCACAGGGGCTTTTAGCCCCACTCTCCCTGAAGGCGCAGCATGCTGGCTGGCAGAGAAACAAAGCTTAGCATCTTCCTCAAGTTTCAAGATGTTGTCTTGATTTGGCCACTGTTACCCACATGGAAATTTCTGACAACTGGATTTTGGAAGTTCGATTTTCCACATTGGATGAGACAAGCTTTGAGATTTGGACTAGAATCAGAGGGAAGATTCTGTTAATTGCCCCTAAATTACCTGGGAGTTTTGAGATTCTGCAGACAGAAAATGTTCCATATACATATCCTGAGAAATCATTTCCATCTGAGGTGGTTTGGATCGACCGACTTTCCAAGAAGGGGATGATGTGTCTATTTCCAGTTGAGCCTTCCCAAGAAAGGGACAGAGCAATTGCAATACTCCATTACTTCCTTCAGGTTATTAGTTTTAGGCATGGTCCCTGATCCTTTCCAGGCCATTCTGAGACTATAAGAAAAACAACATTCGGAGTTTATGGACAGGAAGGCGCTGTACAACACACATATAGATTACTGCCAGGAGGCACCCTGCAAGGTGATGGGTGCCCGAGTCTACAGATTCGTGGGCCCCAGGGCTGCACAGACCTTTTTGTGCCACCTCCCAGTCTCTACAGTCTTGATTGCAAATGTTGAGTTTTGGAAGTGGCCAGGAACTTTGTTCCACTCTCTCTACGGAGCCATCAGCTCTTCCTTTTTGGCCTTTTCTGCGAGTCCCCAGTCAGCAGCAGCTGTGACTTGCCTGTGACTCTCTATGCAGACCCCACACACAGGAGCCCATACTGCCGGGGACTATAACCTGTCCTCTGTTTGTTGTTCTCTCTTGATTTTTATTTCATGCTTACTGGGTCCTTCAAGAACATCTTGGACACCACCATTAGCCCTGCACCAACAGAGCCCTCCTGCTTCAAGCTCTTTGACCTGTTCCTGCTCCGCGATGCCTCTTCCCACATCAGGGCCTTTATTCTCTTGCGTTCTCTGACTACATCTGCTCTCTCTGAGCTGCTTTGATTTGTCTCCGACTACGTGCTTTTCCAGCTCCATGTGCTTTTCCTCATACACTTAGAGACAAGACAACGCTTCCAGCCTTCCCTGTAGTTGGGTAGGCCGTGTTGCCAAGTTTGATCAATGTCCCACCACCTGCGGGCCTAAACTCTAAAAAGCTTCTAGAATGTGATCTTCTATGTTCTCTCTTTCCCTCTTTTGCTGGCTAAATGCAGAGGACCCAATGGAGGACTCTAAGAGGTGAAGATGGAAATGAGAAGTGGAAGGAGGGAACGTCCCTGGTCCCCAGATGCTTCTATGAGAGGAGCTACTCCAACCCACCCCCACCTCCTCCACTGACCCATATGGGAAAAAAATCAACTTTTATTGAGTCAAACTCCTAAGATCTGGTGGTTGTTTATTACAATAGGTCGGCTATCCTGATTCATGCCCTGTCCCTCCCCAGTGTCATCTGAGGCCACTGCTTACCTTTTCTCACTTACAGGCCCTGGATGGGCTTCCACGGGGTTCCCAGGCACTGAGGGAGCTCCATCCTCTATGCACTCACCTCTGCAGCACCTTCGGTTTTGCTTTGGTTTGACTGATTTCCTCAATGCCTATACATGAGAACTCTTCCTCCCCACATCTTTTTTTTACTGTGTACCACCAGTTTTGGCAACACACTTGTAGATTCCCATAGTATGCCCTACTCTGGAGCTTGTCTCCCTCCATCAGAATGTCTGCTGTGGCCCCAGCTTGCCTGCATGCCTCTCTGGCTATATTCTGTGGGGTTATCCGGGGCCTTCCTGCAACCTCCCCTGAACCCTGACATCGGCTGCCATGGGCATGGGCTGAGCTCCCAACTTCCAGCAACTCCTCCACCCAGGCACTCCACACGGACACTGCGCCACCCACTTCCTACAAACTCTCCAAGATCAATCAATGCTCACCCCTGTAGGGGACATCTGAACTGTAATAGGCAGCAAGGAGACTTCCCTGGAGGTGTTGACTCTCTCTGCATGGAAGGGTTGGAGAATGTGTAGAGGCGTGCTCTGAGTCTGTTTGTAGCCATGTGTGGTGCATCCACGTGGAAGCATGTTCTGTGTGCTGCATCCATGTGGAAGCATGTTCTCTGTGTACAGCATCCACGTGGAAGCACGTTATGTGTGTGCAGCATCCACGTGGAAGCACGTTATGTGTGTGCAGCATCCACGTGGAAGCGTGTTCTGTGTGCTTCATTCACGTGGAAGCGTGTTCTGTGTGCTGCATCCATGTGGAAGCCTGTTCTGTGTGTGCTGCATCCACGTGGAAGCATGTTCTGTGTGTGCTGCATCCACGTGGAAGCGTGTTCTCTGTGTGCTGCATCCACGTGGAAGCATGTTCTGCGTGTGCTGCATCCATGTGGAAGCGTGTTCTGTGTGCTGCATCCATGTGGAAGCATGTTCTGTGTGTGCTGCATCCACGTGGAAGCGTGTTCTCTGTGTGCTGCATCCACGTGGAAGCGTGTTCTGCGTGTGCTGCATCCATGTGGAAGCGTGTTCTGTGTGCTGCATCCATGTGGAAGCGCGTTCTCTGTGTGGGCCTTTTCAGCCACTCTCCTTCCTGGGCTGCCTCCTCCTCCTCCATCTGTGCTGAACTGCTCCTTTCATTACACTTCCTGTTCATTGTAACTCTGAGTCCTTAAAATTTTTACTTTTGGTCCTTAATTCAATTCAATTCTTTTTTACTCAAGCCTGCTGTTATGTCGGTGTGGTTCTAGGCATGGGAGAAGTCAGATGAGGACCCAGGCCCTGTCTTTGAGGAGCTCACCACCCGGTAGGAGGGAAAGAGACTGCCAGGAACCTGAAAGTCATGAGGACTGCAGAGAATTCAGCACTGGAAATATAAATGAAGCGCTATAAGAGAAACCAACAAAAACCCCAAACTACCAGGTGTTTGGCGTTCCCGAAGGGGTCTAGGTGCACTTGCCGGCTTCTGGCTGGATTTCTTTGAGGGCTATCTTATTACTGTCTCCTGATTATGATGATGGCTTGGTGTCTCTGTCCTTCATTAGGGGCTGGTTTTTCTTCCTCATTGCACTCTTCATGCTTCTCTTTATTCCAAGGCTGAGCTTTCTTAGGCATAACTGGGGTGAATGCTTTCATGAAACCACACTTCTTCATCAAGCTCCCAGGCCTGGGCATCCAAATCCTCTTGGGGGCTGTAAACCTGCTCACCTGCGGCTCACCTGTGGCTCATCCGTTCTGTTGTCTTCCAATACACTCAGCTCTGCATGGATAGGCTGCCTTTAGTGTATGGGCCTGCCCAGACCAGCACATGGGCATCTGTTTCCCAGGAAAAACCCAGCAGTGGCTGTGGTGGCTGGATGTGGGATTGGATGGGCACACAGAAAAACATAAAAACCATGGCAACAGTAATCATAATAGTAATTAATAGTCAGGATAATAATCATCTAGCTACGGTGGCAATGTACTTGAAAGACTATTCTTTGGGTGTATTTTTCTTAATGTCCTAGATGGAACAGGATGATTGGGCTTTTGAAGATATCAAAGAAACTTGAAAAGGACCAGACTGTAATCAACGTTGATTCCACTCACACTAATGACGACCTGGTTTCTAAACTTGGCAACATTAGACTTTCTGGACTTTTTTTTTTTTCTGAAGTGGTTGAAAGGAAACTGGAAGTGTGGAAAATGGAAGGATGAGGACAAACTGTAGGGCGCTGCCTCACTCCTGGACTCTATAATCCCATTCCTCCAGGTGGGGGCCACCTGCCCACTGCTGGCTCTGCCCTCCCCAGTTTTTAAGGATCCACACAGACTTTGCAAAGATTTTGAGATATGTTGGACATGAACTCTGGGTATGTGCACATCTGGTTCCAAGCTTATACTCCACTCTTCATAGCTCAGGTGTCTTCCTCACGGCAGGGGCCACCTTCCATCTTCACCACTACTATATCAAATGGGCTTCCATCTTCCCCTCTGAATTCCAGCCTCTCTCTGGAAACCTAACATTTTTTCTAGTCTCTTTTGCACTGAGATTCTGTCCCTTTTATTGCAGCAATGAGTTTACCCAGCCCTCCATCCCACACGAGTCCGGGCAGGACCCAGTCACCTGCTAAGACTCCCACACTGACTGTGTACGAGTTACTCCACCTGTCCCTGGATTCCCAGAGCCCTGCCTTAGTCGCCTGACAGGACAGAGTTGGGACATGAATTGGGCACCTGAATTAGCCCTGTTTGTGTCCAGGTCCTCTAGATGCTTGTGTAGACTTCCAAACTGACCGTGCAGCTGGGCCTGGGTTGCAGAGTCTGCGGGTCGGCTCTGGTGTATGCATTTCACATTATCTATAGTAGCAAAACTTCCAGTTTTTGATGGGACATGGCTGCCTAGAATAAAGATATTTCTTACCCCCCCCTTGCAGCTCCCATGTGTGCAGACATAATATGTGCAATTTTCAGATCATACTCTGCATCAGGGAACAGCAAACTTTTTCTGTTAAGGGCTGGATAGTAAATATTTTAAGTTTTGCAGGCCACATAGTCTCTGATGTAGGTCCTCCTCTTTAAGGAGCCATAGCAAATAACTAAATGAAAGCATGGTTGTTTGCCAATAAAACTTTATTTACAAAAAGAGTTTGTGGGTCAAATTTGGCTCATGGGCTTGTGGTTTGCCAACTCTTGTCCTAAACTAATATCCCAAGCAAAGCAGAGTAAGAGGACAGAAGGAACCCAGGTCCCTGGAAATTCCATTTCCGCTCTAGATGCTTCCAACCAGGATTTTATGAGAGGAAAATAAGTGTCTACCTTGCTTAAGCTACGGTTTCTATTTTTTTTTTTTCCTTGAGACAGGGTCTCACTCTGTCACCCAGGCTGCAGTGCAGTGGTGTGATCGTAGCTCACTGCAGCCTTAACTTCCCAGGCTCAAGGGATCCTCCCACCTCAGCCTCATGAGTAGCTGCGATTACAGGTGTGTGCCACCATGCCAGGCTAGTTTTTAAACTTTTTTTTTTTTACAGCGATGGAGGTTTCCCTATGTTGCCCAGGCTGGTCTCAAACCCCTAGGTTCAAGCAATCCTCCTGCTTTGGCTTCCCAACGTGCTGGGATTACAGGCATGAGCCACTGCATCCGGATCTGGCCAAGCTACTGTTTTTATTTTCTGGTTGTGGTAGATTAAGGATGGCTCCAAAGTTTTTGCTACTCCTCCCATTGAGAAGTTAAATCCAATTACGCTCTCCTCGAATCTACCTAAATGACTTGTTTGAGTGATAGAATGGGATAGAAGTGGTGTTCTGGAACTTCTGAGGTTAGACCACGGAAAGCTTTGCAGTATCCACCAGAATCTTGGGACACTCTCTTTTGGATCCCTGAGTTGTCCCTGAGTGTCATTACCCTGAGGCTGCCATGATGGAAGGGACTCCGGGGCACCCTGCTGGACAGTCCTGAGTGGGCCAGTCTCCCATCATCCCTGCCCAAAGCCACCCTGGACCCTCTAGACCAGTTAATCATTTCTGAGTGGCCTCCATGTGGGACAGAAAATATCATCCAAGCCCTTCCTGAATTTCTGACCCACAGAATTATGAGCTATAATGGAATAGTTGTTTTAAGCCACTAAGTTTTGGCCTCCTTCCTTTGGCTGCTCTTAACCTCTGCCTGGCCTGCCCTATTTCTCTTCCCTCCTGCTCCTCCCCGGCACATCTATTCCTGAGAAGCAACACATTTAAGGAGCTAGAGAATGATTTGTTTTCTAAGGTACAAAATGAAATACTGGTTCTATAAAGTCCTGATTATAGAGGGGATACAATTAAACTCTTCTCTAAGGAGAAGAAAAATGATGAAGGTTTAAGGCAGGATATCATTGCTTACTAAATAGTCCTTCAGTTTCTGATCTGTTCTTTTCAGCTCTAAAGTTCTATGTGACAGGATTTTGAAAAAGCACAGGCTTTGGGGTTACACATAGTTTTGGATACTGGCTCAATCCCTTAAGGGCCTGGGTGTTTTATTTGACTCCTCCAAGATTATTGGCTGTATGATTCAACTTAATCTCTAGGCACATCTCCTTAGTGCCTTAGTTTTAATAATGGAAATAATTTGCATATGATAATGTGTGGCAGATCAGTGCTGATCAAGCACAATCATGAATTCCTCTATCACTCAGAGTAGCTACCAGATCTGTCAGTCACGTGTGGTGACTGAATAGTTGAAATGTGGCTAGTCCAAATTAAAATGTGCTGTCAGTATAGAATACACACTGGGTTTTGAAGATTTAGTACCAAAAATGCAAAATAATTAATTTTAAAATATCGATTGGGGCCAGGCGTGGTGGCTCACGCCAGTAATCGCAGCACTTTGGGAGGCCGGAACAGGTGAATCACGAGGTCAGGAGTTCGAGACCAGCCTGACCAACATGGTGAAACCCCATCTCTACTAAAAATACAAAAATTAGCCGGGCGTGGTGCCAGGTGCCTGTGATCCCAGCTACTCAGGAGGCTGAGGCAGGAGGATCACTTGAACCTTGGAGGTGGAGGTTGCAATGAGCTGAGATCATTCCACTGCACTCCAGCCTGGGTGACAGAGCGAGACTCCATCTCAAAAAAAATATATATATATATTAAATATATATATATAAATAAAATATATATATAGATTGGATGACAAAATAATATTTGGATACATTTGAGTAAATACAATATATTAAGATTAATTTCACTCATTTCTTTTTACATTTTTTGGTGGCTACTTAAAAAGTTCAAAGTTAGTTACGTGGCTCACAGTTATGACTTGGATTACATTTCTGTTGAATAGTGAGTGTTGCTTAAGATCACTAGAAGCCAAGCTAGTTTTAGGACCTCTTTTGAGACAGGGCACCATTCTCTTGTCTATACATAATCTGAGAATCTATGTGTGGCAGTGGTCCCTAGTGCCCTCCCACATATCTTTCTCTTCCTCCAGACACACAGTAGGATGACAATTCCATGCTGTAGCCATAAGGCTAGTTTAAATCAATGGGGTTATGAGAGGAAGTAAGTGGGTTACTTCTGAGCCAAGCATTTAATTAATGCGAGACCTGTTGCCACTCTTGCATTCTCTGCTGTGTTGACTGCAGAGCAGCAGCCTCTCAGCCTGGAGGACTGAGTCACTGCGTGGAGGGGAGATGCCCTGGAGAGTTACCTGGATCTATAGCAGAATTTGCATGGAGGAAAACAAACTATTTTTGTGTTAAGCCATTGAGGTTTGGGGTTTGTTGCAACAGCATAAGCCATCCTCCCCTGACTAATGAATGTATTTTCTGATTAACAAAATAAAATGATCACTTTTTTTTCGTGTTTTACTCTATACTCTGATGAATTTTGAAAAAGCAGGTTTAAAACAGATTTTTGATGGCTTGTCATAGTCTAGGGAAGATGAGCTTGGCTAAAAACTAGAAATCTATGGAAAGTGTTTGAAAAAAATGAGAGATACCATTAACTGTTTAACAAAAATCAAATAGTACAATCTAAGTCCATCTCATCTTTTCTTGGACATTAATAGGGTAACAGAAAATTTACAGAGCTGATTGGGTTGTATTCCAACATGTGATCCCCCCAAGTAAGCAGTTTACAAGCGGTATGAAAAATGTTAAGAAAATCAGAATGTCTAGGGATATTGCAGATTCTTTCCTTGGAAATAGTGTTGGCATCTCTAGGCTAAAGATGTAATTGGCTTTCTGTGTAGGTATCACTTTCTAGAGTCATTAGACGCCAATTTCGAACAAAGTAAATCTGTTATAATCCTCCTAATGGATTTTGCTTTGTCTCTTCCCACCCATTTAGAAAATTTACTTGGAATTTCTTGTATACTTTGGAGTTAGAGCCAAGGGGTAAGATGTGAGTTTAACATGTAATTCTTCCTACTCCATTTCCTTACCACATTTCCTTCCAAAGAAGAATGCTGCCACCAGGTGCTCCTCAAAGACAAGGGAGGTGGGCCTGTAGCTTTTTCTGAGTGGAGGGAAGAAGCCAGGCTATTCTGGGTATGAAATGTGTGCTGTTATGTCTCCACACTGAGGAGGATTGCACAGGAACTGGGTTAAGATACCAACCCAAATTCAATTGTTTGCAAACACAAAGCCATGATTAGAAAGCATATCATCACAGTACGTCAGTGGTGCCATCGTTAGGAATACAACAGCGCTAGAAATGTGCAAAAGTCATAACTGCATTTTCTGATTGTGTGTGCGATGGCATAGCAATCAAATGAAGATGTAAAAGCTTTTATTGTTTTTAAGAAGCATGAAGTCAAGTAGGCTGTTTCCAATAGGAGGACTGAAAAACCAGGCAAACATGAATTTTGTTCACAGTGTCTTTTTTGAGAAAAGAGTATGGTTGTCTGCCTCAGAAATCTCCTGGTCTTTTGTTAGTTAAGTCAGCATAACCAGTATTGGGAGGTGTGGCCTTTGGAGATGGTTAGGCCATGAGGGCTCTTCCTTCATAAATGGCATTACGTATCCTCATAAAAGGGATTGACCGAGAGAATTTGTCCCTCTTGCCCTTCTGCCCTCTGTCATTTGAAGGTAGGGTGTTTCTTCCCTCCAGAAGATATAGCCCTCACCAGACACTGAAACTGCTGGCACCTTGATTTTGGACTTCCCAGCCTCCAGAACCTTGAGAGATAAATGCCTGTTGTTTATAAATTACCCAGTCTCAAGTACTTTGTTATAGTAGCACAAAACAGACTAAGACAATTAGTTACTGCATTATATTATTATCTCTTTATATGGGTTGATGGCTTACTGTCATAACTAGTTTGGAAGAGACTTACGACTGGAAGTATTATTTATATATTTTTATTTCCTTTTTGCATTTCAACACCAACTCTCTGACACCAACTGGCTATCTTACAATTCAGGTCAACTCTGATACTAACTGCCTAGACTTAGCATTAGATCTACAGGTTGAAGGGCAAAGGCCCCCAAAAGAGTGTCTTTACTTTATGTTCCATCTCCAAGTGGGGCCCCCAGGCTACCCAAACTTCTGTCTAACTCGGCTACAAATTGGTGAATTCTCACAACTCATCTCCCCCCAAATTTAGATAATTTGCTAGAATGACTTACAGAACTCAGGAAAGGGCTATCTTTATGGTTGCCATTTTATCGTATAGAGTTCAAAGGAACAACAAAATGAAGAGGTGCAGAGGGCAGCAAGGTCTGGGAGCCTGAGCCCCTCTGTTCTGTGCAGCACTATCCTCCCGGTACATTGAGGTGTTTACCACCCAGAAGCTCAGCTGAGACTTGATGTCCAGAGTCATTATCAAGGTTTTCTTACATAGGCATGATTGATTAGACTATTGGCTGTATGATTGAACTTAATCTCCAGCCCTCCCATCCTCTGCAGAAGTCAGAGGGCGGGGCATGCTTAGTCTTTCCGGCATGGTCAGTCCCTCCCTTGGAATTATCTAAGGGCTCACCCTGAGTCACCCCCTCATTAGTATAAACTCAGACATGGGCTTGGCGTGGTGACTTATGCCTGTAATCCCAGAACTTTGGGAGGCCGAGACGGGTGGATTACCTGAGGCCAGGAGTTTGAGACCAGCCTGGCCAACATAATGAAACCCTGTCTCTACTAAAAATACAAAAAAAAAAAAAAAAAAAAAAAAATTAGCCAGGCGTGGTGACATGTACATGTGCCTGTAGTCCCAGCTACTCGGGAGGCTGAGACAGGAGAATCACTTGAACCCAGGAGGTGGAGTTTGCAGTGAGCCGAGATCATACCATTGCACTCCAGCCTGGGCAACAAGAGCAAGACTCCATCTCAAAAAAACCCCCCAAAACCAAAAATAAAAACAAAAAAATCTCAGACATGCCTGAAAGGGCTCATTATGAATAACAAAAGAGACTTTTATCAGGAAATTCCAAGGGTTTTGAAGCTCCAGGCCACAATCTAAGGGAAAAGACCAGGTATATTCTTTGATATATTACACCTTTGCACCTTGAATAGGATCTGGGGTAAAACACATTCAAATGCCTGATGTTACTGTGTGATGGGCAGATATGGACTATTGCAGCTTGCATATAAAATCATCATTATTATTATTTTTGCAAATAAATGTTTAGAGGTGACAGATTTAGTCTCTTCACAAAAAGACCGGAGAATGGATATACACTAACAGAGAGAAGAAGGGTTATCTGTTCCTCAAGGAAATGGTCTTACCTTATTAGTGTCTCAGGACTGTGTATGAAAATGATGGAATTATTTTGATTATTCAGATAGACGGAGAGCAAGAAGTGCAAGGGGGGGGCCTCTCCTTTTTCTTTCCCCCTCTACACCTGAGCACTCTACTTCGGGGCCCAGCAACCACATCCATGTTGCAGGCCCACTTTGGAATTCTTCCTCTGGGGGTGATATTGGTGTGAATAATCTCCATTTGTATCAGTGTAATAATATGAACTAACCAAGGACAAATTTATAGTGCTTATTAATGTTTCCATTTTCCCCACTATAATGTAAACAGAAATTTAATGATTGGAAAATTAGGTCAAATGTTGACTGAATCTCTCATCAAATACCACAATGATCAGTGAACAGTAACTGTTTTTAATAATTTTAATATTACAGTGACACAAAGGTATTTAAGACATCAATCCTTTAAGAAATTTCTCAAAAGATAGCCAACAATCACTGTGTGGATTTCCTGTCTGTCTGTTCATCTTTAATCCCTCCCCCTTTCTATTTCCTTCATTTGTTTGATGCCCTTTAAAGCAGCAGTAACACAGACACTCTTTTTCATTTATTGCCCAGGTCTCTTGGAAAAGCCTGCTGGTGGTCTCACTGGGGATAGGACAGTATCACACCGGATGCCTCCAGTTCTCGTGGAGGGGCTGTTCTGCAGCTGTGGGCCAGGACGGCCATAGAGTCAATGAGGAAAAACACCTGGATGGTCACCCAGGTGAGCTCTCACCAACCAGCTCATAATCAGATCTGTTAACTTTTAAAACATCAGGAGATCTTTATACATTTGGAGAAAGAGACTTTGTTAGTTCTAAAGGGTTACAGCCTGCAAGGTGGCCATTCCATGGGCTGGGAAGTGTAGCCGTCTACAAAGACCAGAGCACTTGGATGGAGGAGGGGTGCGAGTTGGAGCTTTATGCTGGACAGGTTGTCTAAATATACCCATTCAACAGATTACAGGAAGAGCTGTGAATGTTCATGAAGGTAGTTCTGAGACCTGCATATTGAACAAGCGTGTATGTAACATATGACCCATGTTCACTTTGGGGTGGAGACTTAACATTTAAATGTGTTACAATTAGGTCCTATATGTCAAAAGGTCTTTTCAGGACATGAAGGCATGCAAGTGTGCAGCCTCTGTAAACCGGCCAGAATGAGGGCATGGTCAGTGGTCTTAACTGGAGAAGGTTACTGAAATCAGTGTCTTGTCCAATCAAAGCTGTAGTGATGGCTGGTGGAACAAGGGGTCAGTTAGTCAGTGTCTGTTGGTGAGCTACAACTGTTAGAATTTTTTTGTTTTTTTTTTTTTTGAGATGGAGTCTTGCTCTGTCGCCCAGACTGGAGTGCAGTGGTACCATCTTGGCTCACTGCAACCTCCGCCTCCTGGGTTCAAGCGATTCTCCTGCCTCAGCCTCTCGAGTAGCTGGGATTATAGGCTCTCACCACCACACCCAGCAAATTTTTGTATTTTTAGTGGAGACGGGGTTTCGCCATATTGGCCAGGCTGGTCTAGAATTCCTGACCTCAGGTGATCAGCCTGCCTTGGCCTCCCAAAGTGCTAGGATTACAGGCGTGAGCCACCGTGCTGGGCCCTGTTAAAATATTACTTATCTCTCTATGCGAGTGCTTTTTCAGCTTCGAGAGAAAAAGAAAACCCTTGTGGAATTTAGAACACACTTTGTTCTTGAAGTGTAGGGTTGTGTGACTCCACCCTTGCCTGGCACGGCCTTCGGTCCTCTTTGGAATGTGGTATCTCATTGCCACAAAGGGTCCCTTGTGTCTGTCTTATGATCTTGACTTTAACATTCATGCTGGTCAGTTGTTGTGTCTAAACCACTAGAGGGAAGGGTATAATGAGACGCGTCTGACCTCCCGTCCTGTCATGGCCGGGAACTTAGTTTTAAGGTTTTTCCAGGGTCCCCAGGCAAAGAGGGGTCCATTCAGGTGATGGGGGAGCTTAGGAATTTATTTTTAGTTTACATACCTAAACTTGAAAAAGGAAACTTTTAAGAGGAAATACAAATGAAAATTAAACTCCCCCCATACAAATGGTCTACCACAGACCATTACTCCTGGGTCAGAGAGCTGAAAACTCACTTTGAAAGGGTTTATAAACTGATAAAACAGAGGTGAAAAGTACAGTTATAAAATGATCACGGGGCTAGCCTGCTGCCGACCTGCTGGGGTCCTGTCTAGAACACCAAAAGCCTGCATGGCAGTGATCAGCTGACTGAGGAGTGAGTCCCTGAGAAATGCTTCTGGGGAGCCTTGGGCCTGTGCTCCCCTCTTTCTGCCAGCTGCTTTCCCATGTGAACTGATAGAGATTTTCAAATCACTTGGTTCTGTTCTCTTTTCTTCCCAGTGCCCAGAGTAGTGGGTAGCTCACCCCCCAGTGGGTCTACCCCAGCAACAACCCCAGTGGCCACCCATCGTTGCTAGTCTGGAGCTTGCGGTGACCCTCATCCTGGTGCGGTTCTGAGGTCCTTGGGGAGGGGGGAGTCCCCTGGGGGAAATGCCTAGAAGCTTCCTACAAAGGTCTGGAATGGTCGGTGCAGCAAGGGAGGAGAGGGCTACTGGAAAACTCACAGGGCCTTAATTCAATTTTGAATCCTATAAATCACACAACACTTGTGATTTTTAAACACTATATTTTGTTACACTTTTACTTATTAAATTATCTATTGATATATTTTTCCTCAAAGCCTCTGAGAAGACTTTGCACAAGCTGCTGAGGACACTAAGGCTGGAGACATGGGACATGGATGCCCTGTGATCAATTAAGTTGGTTAACGTCACCAGCGTAGATGATGTCAACGCTTCACCCTCTGGAGGCCCCAGAAAGCAGCTTTCCTTCACACGCCGCCGGACTGTCCACTGATGGAGGCGGATGGATGCTCTTGGCCGCATTTCTCGGCACTCAGGTTGTGACTGTCCCAGGCTTCCTGTTAAATGCATTCCTGGTCCGAATAGCTTCACCCACGTGCTCAGGGCAGCGGGTGGAGTGCCATCTCCACATTTTTCTGTAGGAAACCCTCCAAGGAGGTGCTGCCTCCTCCTTCGGGCAGTGAAAACTCCTCAGCAAACTGGGACATAGGTGCCAGATGTTCATCAGGACTACCCTGGAAAGAAGTCCAGGCCATCCAGATCAGGGAGGCTGGGTCTGAAGCTGGGTCTGCCAAGGCCTGGTTTCTGTCCAAGCCTCACTAGGGGAGGGACTTATGGTGCAAACTCCCCATTCCCTCTGGTGTGTGCGTTGCAGCCGTGATGCTGTTTGCCTCAACTTATGGGTCTTCTCTGGGCCCAGATTGAACCTTCCTATCTGTTTCCACTAGCTTTGTATGCCATATGGCATTTTACAGCCCCATACTATGTAGGTAACAGAAACAACAGCACTTGCAAACTACATATATTTCAAAAAACAACTAGGTCTTTTGATTAAATTATAAGCTTTAATTATATTCTAACTAATTAGAACATGTTTAACATAGACCTCTCCCATACCTGAAAAACTGAATGAAAAGAAACTTACAAATGAACCCTCTGTAGGATTACCATTAGGTTAAAAAGATAACTAAAAAATATACTATTTTAGGCCAAGTGTGATGGCTCACACCTGTAATCCCAGTGCTTTGGAAGGCTGAGGCAGGAAGACTGCTTGAGGCCAGGAATTTGAGACCGGCCTGGACAAGACAGTGAGACTCTGTTTCTAAAAAATAAAAATAAAAAAATTAGTTGAGCATGGGGAAGGGTACCTGTTGTTCTAGATACTCTGGAGACTGAGTCCGGAGGATCACTTGAGCCCAGTAGTGCAAGGTTGCAGTAAGCTATCATGGTTAACACTGCACTCCAGCCTGAGTGAAAGAGTGAGACGCTGTCTCTAAAATAAACACTATTTTAAAATTGCAACATTCTCTTAGTCCCTTCATCGTTTCATGGTTTTCCCTCTAGCAATTATATCATCTTCTGACCTTCATATTCCCTATAGGCAAGTTTTTCTAAACTTTTCCTTTATATGCTGTGTAAGGCCTGTTCCTCTTTCCCTACAACAGTGACCTGGAGTAGGCAACTACTTTTATCCTTTTTAAAAGACTGATTCAAGCCATTCTTGTATTTCTGCATCAACTGCAACATTTTAACAACCTATTCAGGTTTCTCCTACTGCTGAACTCAATTTGCCAGTATTTTGAGTCTTCTGCATAGTTTCATAAATGAAATTGGACTGTAATTTTTTGCATTGTACTTCCCTGTAAAGTCACTGAGGGTCTGGTGTCTTTTGGGGGCAATATTTTTTTTTTTCTAGAACAGTTTTTGTAATAGTTATGTGTTCTCTTGGGTTTTCTGTATCTTCTTGAATAAACTTTACATTGATGTTTTAACTTAAATTTATGTATAACTTTATATTTTTTAGAAAAGTATCCATTCCAATTTTTTAAGTTTGTTGGCAGAAAGTGATTTATGGTGTCTTCTTGTGATTTTGAAAATCTTTAAGGTATCCATGTTTACATTGCTGATATCAGTTGTGTTTTTTTCTCTTTGTCTCAGTGGGTCTGACTAGTTATTTATTCTATTTAGCGTTTTCAAAGGATCAGCTTTTGTTTCTGTTGATCTTCTCTATTAAATCTTTGTTTCCTAGTTCATCAATACCTGCTCCTATCTTTATTATTTACCTCCTATATCTTCTTTTAGATTTACTTTTCTTTTTGTTCAAGCTTTTTGAATTGAGCAGTTAATTTGTTGATATAAATGCACTCATTTTGCTTTTTTAATAAACACTTAACGCAATAAATTTTCTTCTAAGTGCCACTTGTAATAGATATTGGAGTACTTTCATTTCTATTCTAAATAATTTGTAATTTCTACAACAGGTTTCTCTTAACCTGGAATTATATAAAAGTGCTATTTTAATGTTTCCAATTATATTTATTTAAACAATCTTTAATTGTGGATTTCTAATACAATTACAAGTTTGTCAGAGAAAATTCTCTGGTATTTATTAACACTTCTTTCGTATTTAATGTGTGGTCTCTTTTTCAACTCCTTGATGTGTAATTGAAAAGAATATATTTTTCTTCCTTGGGTAAATGATATTTATATGTATTTACAATATTAGATCAAGCTTTCAAATTTCATTGCTTAAAGCATTTATAGCTTACCTAAGTTTGTCTATTAATTTCTCAGAAAGACATGTCAAATCTTCCACTGTGATTATGGGTTTGTCAGCTTTTTCATAATCCTGAAACTTTTTGCTTTTGGGAGGCAATCATATTGGTTTGTGATCATGTTATCTTTTTGGTGTCATACATTATAGATAGGGTATCATTGTCAGAAGTGACTTATCTTTCAAACATTACTTGTTTTTTTTGTTTGTTTGTTTTTTGAGACAGAGTCTAGCTCTGTTGCCCAGGCTTGAGTGTAGTGGCTCAATCTCGGCTCACTGCAACCTCCGCCTCCTGGGTTCAAGTGATTCTCCTGCCTCATCCTCCTGAGTAGCTGGGATTACAGGCGTGTGCCACCATGCCCAGCTCATTTTTGTATTTTTAGTAGAGATGAGGTTTCACCATATTGGCCAGGCTGGTCTCAAACTCCTGATCTCAAGTGATTCACCTGCCTCAGCTTCCCAAAGTGCTGGGATTACAGGCATGAGCCACTGAACTGGCTACATCTTAATTTCAGTGCTGCCTCAGTGCCTGAATGAAAAAGCATTCAGCAGACCATATGGTGGCAGGTGGAGGGGAGGGGACATCATTAGCCCACACCTGGTGCAATTTCCCAGAACGTCACAGGCAGCAGTGTGTGTGGCCACTGAGCAGCCACTGAGCGACTTCATTCTCTCTTGAAATGTATAAGTATTTTGTTATAAATGCAGAGGTTCCAATATGTTTCTGCGGCAAATCACACCGTAAGCAGTGACTCCACGCCCTTCCAGGCTTAGAGAAGCTCAGCAGCGGTGCAGACCCCCTGCCCACCCAAGGCTCGACAGCCTGCAGTCTGCCAGGTTCCGGCTCAGCTGCCTCTTCCCGTTATTGCTGGAAGGGCCAGAAAACATCAGGTTTGGTTTTCCTTGCTAATCCTTCCAGCCATTGCTACTATTTTGACACTTTGCCTGTTGAAGCATGGATCAGCTTTCTAAGAGCTGATGAGATTCATTTCCTAAGCCGTTCCCTTCACTCAAGGGAAAAAGAAAAGCAAGTCCACTGGAGAGTATCTGATTTGGCGCTAGACACTGTTTTTCGCTAGGGCAGGGGCTCAGGAAGGAGGTCCTTCAGTAGCTCTGTAAGGGATATCCGCAAGCCCCAGCGGGAATGGCCCAGGATTCCTTATTTCCATCCCATGCAGATGGGCCCTTTCTCAGTCCGACTACATCCGCTCAGCACGCAGCTTGGAGACACTGGTCTGATGGAAACAAAGACTGCAAGCAGCTATACTATATGTGGACCATTTTCTAATGAAATAAAGATTTTATTTTTCTTAAAGACAAACAAAAATATCAATGTTATTTTTTATAAGGTGTATTGATTTCAGGCAAAAAAAAAAAAAAGTTAAAGCAGCAGTTATTTCATAAGTGTCCTTGATTCGGGTATCATGGTGTCTTGGCTGGAGTTTTTCTCAGGGCGGACCCTGAGAGGAGGGTTTGAATCCAAACCGTTTATTTTGGGATTTACAGGGAACGGCCAGAAGGGAGTGGGTAAATGATGACAAGGAAGGGAGGCAGCCAACAGAAGACGCACTGTGAAGCCGGTTAGCAGTGATAACCGGAACCTAATCCCAGGTAGAGTGAGAACATTTTGGGAAATGGTATTAAACTCTGCCTCTGAATTATCCCTCCTGCACAGCAGCTGTGAGGGAATCTGGACGGAGTCTCTTACTGAGGGAGACTCCCCGGGTGTGAAGTGTCTAGCACCTGAGGCCTGGGGCACACGAGCTCAGATCCACCTTCTCCAGGTGCAGGTAAAAGCCTCTGGGAGGGATCATCAGGTGCCTGCCACTGAGAGCCCACCTGAAGTCAGCACAGCACCGCTGAGGGCCCCGAGGGCTCTGCACACTGGGAGTCACAGGCCCAGACTCCTCAGGCGCTGGAAAGACACCTTGATCCAGGCAGGACTGTGGCTCGAGATTGTCTCCACGGACGGCCGGGGGATTCCTGTCCCTCACAGAGGCCTTTTTTCTTCTCTGAATCGGTGTCTCTAAGGGCCGGGTTTCTGTGCACTGGGTGGTACCTGCCAGATGAGTTTAATTCTGCCCCGCACATACCGGCGAGGACCCATCCCGCTCAAGCTCTCTGCTGGGGACTTCAGGCCCAAGGTGAATGCGCGCAGGGCCTGTGGCAGGGGATGAGGGCTAGTGCAGGCCGAGGGGAGCAGCTACAGAGGTAGGGTTTCCATACCCAGAGACGGGCATGGACACTAGAAAGGGAGGATCCCCTAGCTGGGAGGGAAGCCAGGACAGTGAAGACGTAGTGGGTCTAACGGGGGGTACCGCATGAGCCGAGGTGCAGAGGCTGGACCCAGCGGGGACGCCGAGGGGACTGCTCCTGCAGCCTGGGGAAAAGAAGGGGGCGTCAGAAGGTCTCCGAGCCAGCGGGGATCGTGTTCAGGAAGCTGGGGAGGCTTTGTATGTCATGGAGATCTGTGGAGAGGCTGAGACGTGGTCTGATTTACACTTTGGAGAGCCTATTTAGGGCCCGAGGCTAGGGGTGCTGATGCTCCTGCTCCCAGGGCCTCCGAGCTGCTGCCAGGCTGTGTGTGGTCCTCCTTCCACCGAGCCACCACAGGCGTGCCCTCCCTTGGGCCTGGAGAGGACACCTGGCTGGGGATGTGCCCGCCGAAGGGAATGGAGTTTGGCGTGCAAGCATGGAGTCCGCAGGCCCGTGCTCATTGCCCTGAGAGGGGCAGGATGGAGCAAGGATGCAGGAGAGAAGGAGCAGGACTTCACCGAGAACCCTTGCCCCAGGGCCTGCGGAAGGTCAAGAGGGCAATCCCCCTGGGCTTAGGGGGAAGGGCCTGTGCCCAGGGCGCTTCAGCCCCAGGTCCCTTCTTCAACCAGGGCTGTCCCGCCTGTGTCTGAAAACAGGCTCTGGGGTCAGATGCAGTTTGAATCATCACTGTGAGGCTGAAAAAAGAAATACACGTGCAATGTCACTAGCCTAAATTTCTCCATTTATTTTTATTTTTATTTATTTATTTATTTATGTTTAAAACAGAGTCTTGCTCTGTCGCCCAGGCTGGAGTGCAGTGGTGAGATTATGGCTCACTGCAGCCTCGATTCCTGGGGCTAAAAGGATGCTCCCGAGTAGCTGGAACAACAAGGTGCCATCAGGCCCGGCCCCACCCCTGGGTCTTTAGCAACAAAGTGAGGTTTGTTTCCTCCATATTTGTGAAACATTTTAAGAGCTTTTGATCTCGTGGTCACCATCTCTCACTTTGATTTCTTGTCCCTGTGAACTCCTGATCACTTTCACGATCTGCCTTACGTGGTGATTCTGTTTTCTCAGTGCCAGTTTTGTGGGGACACAGCCCTAGTTCCTATAGGTCCCCAAGCAAGTGGAAACAAAGCTACGGTGTGTGGCAAGACTGTGCAGCCTGGACTACATAGTGAGACCTCATCTCTTCAAATAATTTTTAAAAATTAACCAGGTGTGGCGGCATGGCCCTGGAGGTTGAGGCAAAGGATGGCTTGAGCCTGGGCAGTTGGGGCTGCAGTGAACTGAGATTGTGCCACCACACTCCAGCCTGGGTGACAGAGTGACACCCTGTCTTATACAAACAAACAAACAAACTGTGCTGAGGTTGGGGGAGATGCTTGTTGCAGGGCAGCCAACAGCTGGACCTCAGGAGGAGGAAGGGGTGCAGGTTCCTCCACCCCTCATTTGTCCCTGGGGAGTGCACTTGCTTTTTCTTCAGAGTCTTGCCTATGACGGAGTGACAGACTCCCCATTCTGCCCTGGACTGCCTCACATCTCCTGCCTGCTTCCTACTTGCTGAAAATCTCCTAGGTTCTTTCTTTCTTTTCTTCTTTGTTTTTGATTAAGAGCAAATTAACTGTATCTTACCTTGAACAGAAAGGCATCTCCTGTCTGAGAACAGTATTGCCTCACCACGGTACAAGGTGCCTAGAGTTCTCCACGTGCTCTTCATCCTGCCCTTGGAATCTCAGACCTCCTCCCTGCCTCTCGGCTCATAGGTCCCGGGTGCCCACCACTGCACTGCTTTTGCTCGCTCTGATAACTCCTCCTCTGGCCCGGCCTGCCAACCTAGAGACACTCATTCCCTGCTGTGGATTTGCTCCGGGGCCCAGGGCCTTGTACGCCCTTTCTGTTCCGTTTAGAAAAAGCAATGAAAGTTAACGCTAGGGTAGAAACCCAGCTTTAGATGTCCCAGGGCAAGGCATCCAGGGAAAGGCCAAAATGGCAGTGGAGCCATGTGGCATCGAGCACCAGCAGTTAGGCCTCATGGCAATTCAGGGGAGGTTTTGCTGCCAAATGAGGTATGAAAAATTTCTGTTTTTCAGAGCACTGTAAATTTCAGACTGTGACAAAAGGACTATGGGTATGTTCTGTTCTTATCACTGTGTACTGGGATAGTGGAGGCAGGGTGGCCTCAGTCCTTAGGGAGGTGGAGGGATGTCAGCTGGGCTTGAGAGATGGTAGGCCCTTGATAACTAGGGTAGGGAGGTCAGAGGATGTTCTGGGCCTGGAGGAGCAGAGGGCAGGGGCCTGGGGAGGGCCATATGCTGGGGACCCGGATGGCACTCAGAAGGCACATTGTGTAGGTAACCAGGTTATACTGGGACGCATAAAGGCTGGCACAGTCCCGTCCTGCTGGGAGCCACCTGCTGAGTAACAGACAGGTGGCTTTTCAGAGCCAGCACCTCAGAGGGTCTCTTGGTCACTCAAAGGTTCGATTTATTTCACTACATGGCTTGGAGCCTTCCCATTTACATTAAGAGGACTTGGGCAGAGGACGAGGTCACTCACTGGCAAGACACCAGGCTACATGTGGTGTCGCCAGCGGCAGCCCCGGTAAATTCTCGCTCTGACAACACACAGACCCTCTCTGTGAGCCTGGAGCTGGCTGCATCTGCTAAATCTTATGAATATCCAGAACTGACTTCTCTTCTGCCACAAAGCCCGCCCTCTGGATTTCAGCTTTAGTTATTAGGGGCCACGTAATGTTGAGATATGAAAATATGAATTAAAGTCAGTCTTTTTATTTGGACTTAGGTTATAGTTTATTCCCAAATTGTCTTTACATATTAGGTTGGTGCAAAAGTAATTGTGGTTTTGCCATTAGTTTTAATGTGTTTTCATATCTCCTTCTAGCAGAAAGTTCTAAAGAAAAGTTTGCCTCCCCCCTCATGCCTACCTAAGAGGTTTGTCCTTAAAGTGAGAAGAGAAGACTTTTGTCTCCACACAAGCCTGCACAGGCCACTGGCTCCCACGTGAGCTGGTGAGGGGTGTGCCAGAGCCCTAGATCCTCTGCCTCATTGGGCACACACTTGGCAGGAGGGGCAGGTGGGGAAGAGAGAGTGCTGCTCAGATCCGATCCATCCGATAGATGATGTGCTTTGGTGACAGTACAATGTGCCCTCAAGCTCTTTCATCTTATTTGGGTACTTACTTGGCATTTCAAAAAATGCATATGCTGCCTGTCATTAGCTATACAGTGAGTAATGCAAATACATTGGTTGCTGATAAAAGCCATGAACATTCCTTCCTCTGATGCCAATAATAACAACCATAATATATGAGTGCACTTCAGCTCTTGCCAACAATTACAGCAAATGTACAAGAAGAGAGGCCAAGCAGCCAGGGCACGTTCATGTGCAGATTGCCCTGGTCTAAATAAACATGGTCTCATGAGCCATCATGGACTGCCTGTGAGGCAGGAAGAACATAGCTCGGATGCAGGGCTCTTACTCCTGGCTGGGTACAGAAATCACCTATGGGACAAACAACAGCGACAACAAAAACAATAGCAAACAAAACAGATGACTGGGCGCCACTCTCCAGAGACTGTCATTTAATAATTAACAATAAGCAGTTGTGATGTAATGTTTAGATTGTGATTTACTAGTTACTTGCTCTGGGGTAGGTCCCCAAAATGGAAAATTATCAAAGTTTTCTAGAATGGTTCTAATAGGCAGCCAGGATACACAACCCCTGTTCTTCATTCTCCTAGTTCTTTGTTAGACAAAACGAGGTACAAGCCTGAAGTGCTGAAAAGTTAATTGGCTAACCCAGGCCTGAAGGGTAGGTTTGGGGCAAATGAGGAATCGGAACTTAAGGTCTGACTTGCCATCACTGTTGGAGGGTGACCAGCCAGCCCTGTTGGCCTGACATTGAGGGGCTTTCCAGGATGTGGGACCTTGAGCTGTAAAACCAGGAGAGCTTACCAAATCTCCTTGCATAAAGATAATAGCCTTGCTTTATTATGATCAACTTGAGCTGCTGCTGCTGCTGACAGCAATGTCACTTTACATGTGCAACATCTTGTGGTTGCTGCAATGTATTTCAATCTACATTAACTTATTGCACCCTTGCTACAGCACAGCAAGACAGATAGGACAGGTAACGTTGTGCTCATTTTGCAGATGAGGGAGGATGCTGCCATGAAGTGACAGGCACAAGATAGGCAGCATTAAAATAAGGACTTTAGACAAATTAAATTTAGCAGAGTTTACTTGGGTAAAGAATGATTTGCAAATTGGGATGCCCTCTGAGTCAGGATACGTTCGGAGCAACTCCAGTGCTGCTGAGTGGTTGGAAAGGATTTACGGACAGAAAAAGGAAAGTGAGGCACAGAAAACAAACAGACGTGAGGCACAGAAAAAGCCAGACTGGTTGCAGCTCAGTTTTGCCTTAGTGGAACTTGTTTGAACAGCTGGCTGCCTGTGAGTGGCTGAAGTCTGGTTGCTGAGTTTGGCTGAGACTTAGCTATTGTTTCAAGAGTAGGTTACGTCTAGCTATGCATCCAGTTAGGCTACAGTTTCCTATGAATGGACAAACCATTAGGCTGAACTTGAAATATGAAGGTGATAGCTTTAGGCTAAACTTAATTTAACAATTTCCCCCTATTGGTCAACCTCCCAATTTTGAGAGGTTGACCAAAACATTCGGCATTGATATCACTTTGTCACCTTTGCAAATGTATTTATTTGATCTCAAATTTCACTAGGAAGTGGTAGAATGGTAGGTTATATAAGGTGAGAATAAGAACTCTAGGTTACTTTTTGGTAAAGGTTAGAGTAGAGGGGATCCCTTTATGTTGGAATTTCTTGTTTTTAGGAGGCAAAAAAAAATCTGGTCTGTCTTGGGATTTATCTGGTGTTTTTTAAAATAAAGTTTTAGTTTGTATGAGTGACTCTGTCTGGCTTTAATTTGGTCTGGTCTATTGAGGTCCGGTATATGAGCTCCGTCTAAAATAATGGCCTCATAATTTTGTTTAACAATTTTTTTTTGGTCAGATTTTTATTTAGGTGAGAGTGTGACCTGTGACCAACACTTGGGGCTTTAGAACTGTTTTTACTTATTATTATTTTGGGTTTTTGGTCTCCATAGGTCATTACAGGTTATGGTGTCTATGATCACGTACTTTTTTGAGCTTTTATTGTTTTTGTTGAAGAAAGGTAATTTGATATTTTATGGATGACTGTAGGTAAATATTTAAAAATTTTCACATAATATAGCACATCAGAGAGACTACTATTATGAACTTAAAATATGTAAGGAGGCAGGATATGTAAGGATAATATCAAGAGTTGGAAGTACGTTTTTTTAAGCCAGGTTCTCCATAAACTATGTCACTAAAATTAAAGAATGAGGCTGGGCGTGGTGGCTCACGCCTGTTATCCCAGCACTTTGGGAGGCTGAGGCCGAGGTGGGTGGATCACTGAAGGTCAGGAGTTCGAGACCAGCCTGGCCAACATGGTAAATCTTTGTTTCTCCTAAAAATGAAAAATAAAAAAAAAATATCTGGGTGTGGTGGCATGTGCCTGTAATCCCACCTACATAGGAGGCTGAGGCAAGAGAGCTGCTTCTTGAACCTGCTAGGTGGAGGTTGCAGTGAGTCGAGATTGTGCCACTGCACTCCAGCCTGGGTGACAGAGTGAGACTCCATCTCAAAAAAAAAAAAAAAAAAAAAAAGAATGAGACAAATGGAGAACCTATTTGTTTTACTTAAGTAGTCTGTTAATCTCTTATAACTGAATTTCTGTAATATCTGATGTATTTTATCTATATGTAACAAGAAATGTCAGCAATTGTACTTATATTATTTTTCTGTTTAGTCAGTAGGTAATTTAAGGTAGTTTTATTATTTAGTGTAACTTTAGCAAGATAATTTAAGAAGTCTATTGTGTAATCTTAGCCTTTGTAGTAAAATCTGCTATAGAGCCCAGTATGAGGGATAAATTTTTAATCATTGTTTTATTTTTTGTAAACCATGGAGGAAGGGATGTAATAATGATGTCTATCTAGAAAGGTGAAGGCTTTCTGGCAATTTTTTTAATAAGAGGAGTGCACTAATGTTTCGTTTTTCACTATGAAGTAACAAAGGTATTATTAAAACCTTTAGTCAATATTGGACCTTTATTTTTTATCTATCAAGGCATAAGTTTGTCTATGAATAAGACTGGCTGTAAAATCTTTTATAAATAAAAGTATATTTCACGGGTGCACATGAGTGTTCTTTAGTTTTGTTATTTATAGAGGCATAAGTAAGAAAAAAAATGAGAGGTTAGAGTCTCGTGATGGCAGAGAAGTCTTGATCTGTCATCTTGGGAAAGCTATGTGTAAGCTGCTGTCCATTGTTGGGGAGAAACTTCTTTGGTTAAGTTTACCTTAAGGGTTCTAACAGGTATACAGTTTTAAGCATCTGGAGGGGCCCTTCTGAGTTGTGAGATCATGAACCCAAGGTCTGAAGTCTCAAAGTTTTGCTGTAATGTGGGTGGTAAGGGCAGTTTTTCTTTGATGTCATTTTTAGAAGACTCTATCTTTGGGTTCTGGATCGTGAAGGGTTTGATTATATTTAGTTGGTGGATTAAGAACAGCTTTCTTTAATCTGAAAATATATTTTGGCATAACATGTTAAAGCCTTGCAGCGTTTAGTCGTATCAGAATTCAGGAGCGAAAGATATATGATGTTCTATTATTAGGGGCATAGGCCTTTTAGTGACTATCTTATAAAGGGCCAATTTATTTGGAAGTGGATTTGATTGTCATCAATCTGTGATATCTTTGACTAAGGCAATTTAGTTGATTTAGCTCCTTTGGTCTACTATTTTTGTAGCTGTAATGTTATCTAACTGTTTTACAATTTGTCTAGTGAAATAAGCCTCTATCGTTGGAGGGTTTTTTTGGAATGTCTCATGAGGGAAACATATTTTCTAATAATCTTATAGATATTGTCATATCATTAGCCTTTTTTTATGGGAAGGCTTCTATATAATTAGAAAACATGTATTGAAAATGGCAATTGAATGAAATCTCTCTAAAAGTGTTTAAATCACCCATTAGGTAGCAGAAATGTATTATATCTGAAGTTTTGATTATCCTTCTGGGATTATGAGTTTCATAAACCAAACATTGGTCATAAACCATTTTAGTAATTTAGAACAGTTGTTTTACTAATATATATATATTTATATATATATATATATATATCATTGGATTTTTTTTCATGATAAGTCACAGAGTGTAGAGCTTTTAATAATGGAAGTTTTAAGGACCAGATGGCCATCTTGACTTTCCATGAATCTATGCTTAATATTGGAATTATATCTTTTAAAATATTAATTTTATTTTTTAAGTTTATGTGTATGGAACTATTCATTAAATGGATTATTACAGGCCATTTGACTTGGTCCATGGAGTTTTTTCTTTAGTTTTTAAATTTTTTGTTATACTTTAAGTTCTAGGGTACATGTGCACAGCATGCAGGTTTGATGCATAGGTATACATGTGTCATGTTGGTTTGCTGCACCCATCAACTCGTCATTTACATTAGGTATTTCTCCTAGTGCTATTCCTGCCCCAGCCCCCAACCCCTGACAGGCCCTGGTGTGTGATGATCCCCACCCTGTTTCCAAGTAATCTCATTGTTGAGTTTCCACCTATGAGTGAGAACATGAGGTGTTTGGTTTTCTGTCCTTGTGATAGTTTGCTCAGAATGATGGTTACCAGCTTCATCTATGTCCCTGCAAAGGACATAAACTGATCCTTTTTTATGGCTGCATAGTATTCCATGGTGTATATGTGCCACGTTTTCTTAATCCAGTCTATCATTGATGGACATTTGGGTTGGTTCCAAGTCTTTGTTATTGTGAATAGTGCTGCAATAAATGTACACGTACATGTACATGTCTTTATAGTAGCATGATTTATAATCCTTTAGGTATATACCCAGTAATGGGATGGCTGGGTCAAATGGTATTTCTAGTTCTAGATCCTTGAGGAATCGCCACACTGTCTTCCACAATGGTTGAACTAGTTTACACTCCCACCAACAGTGTAAAAGCATTCCTATTTCTCCACATCCTCTCCAGCATCTGTCATTTCCTGATTTTTAATGATTGCCATTCTAACTGGCATGAGATGATATCTCATTGTGGTTTTGATTTGCATTTCTCTGATGACCAGTGATGATGAGCATTTTTTCATGTGTCTTTTGGCTGCATAAATGTTTTCTTTTGAGAAGTGTCTGTTCATATCCTTCACCCAGTTTTTGATGGGGTTGTTTGTTTTCTTGTAAATTTGTTTGAGTTCTTTGTAGATTCTGGGTATTAACCCTTTGTCAGATGGGTAGATTGCAAAATTTTTCTCCCATTCTGTAGGTTGTCTGTTCATTCTGATGGTAGTTTCTTTTGCCATGCAGAAGCTCTTTAGTTTACTTAGATCCCATTTGTCTATTTTGGCTTTTGTTGCCATTGCTTTTGGTGTTTTAGTCATAAAGTCCTTGCCCATGCCTATGTCCTGAATGGTATTGCCCAGGTTTTCTTCTAGAGTTTTTATGGTTTTAGGTCTAACATTTAAGTCTTTAATCCATCTTGAATTAATTTTTGTAAAAGGTGTAAGAAAGGGATCCAGTTTCAGCTTTCTACATGTGGCTAGCCAGTTTTAACGGCACCATTTATTAAATAGGGAATCCTTTCCCCATTTCTTGTTTTTGTCAGGTTTGTCAAAGATCAGATGGTTGTAGATGTGTGGTGTTATTTCTAAGCCTTGTATTCTGTTCCATTGGTCTATATCTCTGTTTTGGTACCAGTACCATGCTGTTTTCGTTACTGTAGGCTTGTAGTGTAGTTTGAAGTCAGGTAGTGTGATGCCTCCATCTTTGTTCCTTTTGCTAAGTATTGTCTTGGCAACGTGGGCTATTTTTTGGCTCCATATGAACTTTAAAGTAGTTTTTTCCAATTCTGTGAAGAAAGTCATTGGAGGCTTGATGGGGATGGCAGTGAATCTGTAAATTACCTTGGGCAGTATGGCCATTTTCACGATATTGATTCTTCCTATCCATGCACATGGAATGTTCTTCCATTTGTTTGTGTCCCCTTTTATTTTGATGAGCAGTGGTTTGTAGTTCTCCTTGAAGAGGTCCTTCACATCCCTTGTAAGTTGTATTCCTAGGTATTTTATTCTCTTTGTAGCAATTGTGAATGGGAGTTCACTCATGATTTGGCTCTCTGTTTGTCTGTTATTGGTGTATAGAAATGTTTGTGATTTTTGTACATTGATTTTGTATCCTAAGACTTTGCTGAAGTTGCTTATCAGCTTAAGGAGATTTTGGGCTGAGACGATGGGGTTTTCTAAATATACAGTCATGTCATCTGCAAACAGAAACCATCTGACTTCCTCTTTTCCTAATTGAATACCCTTTATTTCTTTCTCCTGCCTGATTGCCCTGGCCAGAACCCCCAACACTATGTTGAATACAAGTGGTGAGAGAGGGCATCCTTGTCTTGTGCCGGTTTTCAAAGAGAATGCTTCCAGTTTTTGCCTATTCAGTATGATACTAGCTGTGCATTTGTCAGAAATAGCTCTTATTATTTTGAGATACATTCCATCAATACCTAGTTTATTGAGAGTTTTTAGCATGAAGGATTGTTGAATTTTGTTGAAGGCCTTTTCTGCATGTATTGAGATAATCATGTGGTTTTTGTCGTTGGTTCTGTTTATGTGATGGATTACATTTATTGATCTGCTTATGTTGAACCAGCCTTGCATCCCAGAGATAAAGCCGACTTGATCGTGGTGGATAAGCTTTTTGATGTGCTGCTGGATTCGGTTTGCCAGTATTTTATTGAGGATTTTTGCACTGACATTCATCAGAGATACTGGTCTAAAATTTTCTTTTTTTGTTGTGTCTCTACCAGGCTTTGGTATCAGGATGATGCTGGCCTCATAAAATGAGTTAGGGGGGATTCTCGCTTTTTCTATTGATTGGAATAGTTTCAGAAGGAATGGTACCAGCTCCTCTTTGTACCTCTAATAGAATTTGGCTGTGAATCCGTCTGGTCCTGCACTTCTTTTGGTTGGTAGGCTATTAATTATTGCCTCAATTTCAGAGCCTGTAATTGGTCTAGTCAGAGATTCAACTTCTTCCTGGTTTAGTCTTGGGAGGATGTATGTTTCCTGAAATTTATCCATTTCTTCTAGATTTTCTAGTTTATTTGCATAGAGGTGTTTATAATATTCTCTGATGGTAGTTTGTATTTCTGTGAGATTGGTGGTGATATCCCCTTTATCATGTTTTATTGCATCTATTTGATTCTTCTCTCTTTTCTTCTTATTAGTCTTGCTAGCAGTCTTATCAATTTTGTTGATCTTTCAAAAAAAAACATCTCCTGGATTCATTGATTTTTTGAAGGTTTTTTTTTTGGTCTCTATCTCCTTCAGTTCTGCTCTAATCTTAGTTATTTCTTGCCTTCTGCTAGCTTTTGAATGTGTTTGTTCTTGCTTCTCTAGTTCTTTTATTTGTGATGTTAGAGTGTCGGTTTTAGATCTTTCCTGCTTTCTCTTGTAGACATTTAGTGCTATCAATTTCCCTCTGCACATTGCTTTAAATGTGTCCCAGAGATTCTTGTACATTGTGTCTTTTTTCTCATTGGTTTGAAAGAACATCGTTATTTCTGCCTTCATTTAGTTATTTACCCAGTAGTAATTTAGGAGCAGGTTGTTAAGTTTCCATGTAGTTGAGCGGTTTTGAATGAGTTTCTTAATCCTGAGTTCTAATTTGATTGCACTGTGGTCTGAGAGACAGTTTGCTGTGATTTCTGTTCTTTTACATTTGCTGAGGAGTGCTTTCCTTCCAATTATGTGATCAATTTTAGAATAAGTGCAACGTGGTGCTGAGAAGAATGCATATTCTGTTGATTTGTGGTGGAAAGTTCTGTAGACGTTTATTAGGTCTGCTTGGTGCAGAGCTGAGTTCAAGTCCTGGATATCCTTGTCAACCTTATGTCTTGTTAATCTGTCTAATTAACAGTGGGGTATTAAAGTCTCCCATTATTATTGTGAGGGAGTTTTTGTCTCTTTGCAGGTCTCTAAGGACTTGCTTTATGAATCTGGGTGCTCCTGTATTGGGTGTATATATATTTAGGATAGTTAGCTCTTCTTGTTGAATTGATCCCTTTACCATTATGTAATGGCCTTCTTTGTCTCTCTTGATCTTTTTTGGCTTAAAGTCTGTTTTATCAGAGACTAGGATTGCAATCCCTGATTTTTTTTGATTTCCATTTTCTTGGTAGATCTTCCTCCATCCCTTTATTTTGAGCCTATATGTGTCCCTGCACATGAGATGGGTTTCCTGAATACAGCACACTGATGGGTCTTGACTCTTTATCCAATTTGCCAGTCTGTGTCTTTTAATTGGGGCATTTAGCCCATTTACATTTAAGGTTAGTATTGTTATGTGTGAATTTGATCCTGTCATTATGATGTTAGCTGGTTATTTTGCCTGTTAATTGATGCAGTTTCTTCCTAGCCTCAATGGTCTTTACAATTTGGCATGTTTTTGCAGTGGCTGATACTGGTTGTATCTGCCTGTTTAGTGCTTCCTTCAGGAGCTTGTGCAAGGCAAGCCTGGTGGTGACAAAATCTGTCAGCATTTGCTTGTCTGTAAAGGATTTTATTTCTGCTTTACTTATGAAGTTTATTTTGGCTGAATATGAAATTTTGGGTTGAAAATTCTTTTCTTTAAGAATATTGACTATTGGCCCCCACTCTCTTCTGGCTTGTAGGGTTTCTGCAGAGAGATCCACTGTTAGTCTGATGTGCTTCCCTTTGTAGGTATCCTGACCTTTCTCTCTGGCTGTGCTTAACATTTTTTCCTTCATTTCAACCTTGGTGAATCTGACAATTATGTGTCTTGGAGTTCCTCTTTACTGATTTGGATGCCCTTTATTTCTTTCTCTTGTCTGATTGCTCTGGCTAGAACTTCCAGTATTATGTTGAAGAGGAGTGGTGAGGGTGGGCATCCTTGTCTTGTTCTAGTTCTCAAAGGAAATGCTTTCAACTTTTCCCCTTTCAGTGTTACGTTGGCTGTGGGTTTGTCATACGTGGCATTTATTACATTAAGGTATGTCCCTTGTGTGTTAGTTCGTTTTCACACTGCTGATAATAGCATACCCAAGACTGGGAAGAAAAAGAGGTTTAATTGGACTTACAGTTCCACATGGCTGGGGAGGCCTCAGAATCATGGCAGGAGGTGAAAGGCAATTCTTGCATGGCAGCGGCAAGTGAAAAAAGAGGAAGAAGCAAAAGTGGGATCCTCTGATAAACCCACCAGATTTTGTGAGACTTAATCACTATCATGAAATTAGCATGGGAAAGACTGGCCCCCATGATTCAATTTCCTCCCCCTGGGTCCCTCCTATAACACTTGGGAATTCTGGGAGATACAATTCAAGTTGAGATTTGAATGGGGACACAGCCAAACCATATCACCTTGTATGCCAATTTTGCCGAGAGTTTTAATCATAGAGGGATTCTGAGTTGTGTCAAATGCTTTCTCTGCATCTATAGGGATGATCATGTAGTTTTTGCTTTTAATTCTGTTTACATGGAGTATCATATTTATTGACTTGTGTATGTTAAACCATCCCTGTGTCCCTGGTATGAAACCCACTTGATCATGGTGGATTATCTTTTTGATATGTTGTTGGATTCAGTTAGCTAGTATTTTCTTAAGGATATTACTGTCTATGTTCATCAAGGATATTGATCTGTAGTTTTCTTTTTTGGTTATATCCTTTCCTGGTTTTGGTACTAGAGTGATGCTGGCTTCATAGAATGAATTAGGGAGGGTTTGTTCTTTCTCTATTTTGTGGAATAGTGTCAAAAGGATTGGTACCAATTTTTCTTTGAATGTCTAGTAGAATTCTGCTGTGAATCCATCTGGTCCTGGGCTTTTTTTGTTGGTAATTTTTAAATTACCATTTCAATTGGTCTTTTTGGACATCTAATTATTCCTGTTTTAACCTAGGATGGTTGAATTTTTCCAGAAATTTTTCCCTCTCTTCTAGGTTTTTGAGTTTATGTGCATAAAGGTGTTCATAGTAGCCTTGAATGACCTTTTGTATTTCAGTTGTGTCAGTTGTAATATCTCCTGTTTCTTTTCTTAGTGAGGACATTTGGATTTTCTCTCTTCTTTTCTTGGTTACTCTTGCTAATGGTCTATCAATTTTATTTATCTTTTCAAAGAACCAGCTTTTCATTTCATTTCTCTTTTGTATTTTTTTTGTTTCAATTTCATTTAGCTCTGCTTTGATCTCGGTTATTTCCTTTCTTCTGCTGGGTTTGGGCTTGGTTTGCTCTTGTTTCTCTAGTTCTTTGAGGTGTGACCTTAGAGTGTCAGTTTGTGCTCTTTCAGTCTTTTTGATGTAGGCGTTTAGGGCCATGAACTTCCCTCTTAGCACCGCCTTGGCTGTATCCCCGAGTTTTGATAAGTTGTGTTATTATCGTCATTCGGTTTGAAGATTTTTTTATTTCCATCTTGATTTCCTTTTTGACCCATCACTCATTCAGAAGCAAGTTATTTAATTTCCATGTATTTGCATGGCTTTGAAAGTTCCTTTTGGAGTTGATTTCCAGTTTTATTCCACTGTGGTCTGACAGAGTGCTTGATATAATTTCAATTTTCTTAAATTTATTGAGGCTTGTTTTATGGCTTATCATATGGTCTATCTCAGAGAAATTTCCATGAGCCGTTGAATAGAATGTGTATTCTGCGGCTGTTGGATGAAATGTTCTGTATATATCTGTTAAGTCCATTTGTTCCAAGGCATAGTTTAAATGCATTGTTTCTTTGTTGACTTTCTGTCTTGATGACCTGCCTAGTGGTGTCAGTGAAGTACTGAAGTCCCGCACTATTACTGTGTTGCTGTCATCTCATTTATTAGGTCTATAGTAATTGTTGTATAAATTTGGAAGCGCCAGTGTTAGGGGCATATATGTTTAGGATTGTGATGTTTTCCTGTTGGACAAGGCCTTTTACCATTATATAATGTCCTTCTTTGTCTCTTTTAACTGCTGTTGCTTTAAAGTTTGTTTTGTCTGATATAAGAATAGCTACCCCTGCTCACTTTTGGTGAGCATGAAATGCCCTTTTCCACCCATTTACTTAAAGTTTATGTGAGTCCTTATGTGTTAGGTGAGTCTTCTGAAGGTAGCAGATAGTTGGTTGGTGAGTTCTTATCCATTCTGTGGTTCTGTGTCTTTTAAGTGAGCATTTAGGCCATTTCCATTCAATATTAGTATTGAAATGTGAGGGATTGTTGCATTCACCTTCCTCTTTGTTGTCTGTATACTTAGGTTTTTTGTGTTTACTTTTTAATTTCTATTTTTGTTTTACAGGTCCTGTGTTATTTATGCTTTAAAGAGATTCTGTTTTGATGTGTTTCCAGGATTTGTTTCAAGATTTAATGTTCCTTTTAGCAGTTCTTGTGGTGGTGGCTTGGTAATGGCAAATTCTCTCAGCATTTGCTTGTCTGCAAATGACTGTATCTTTCCTTCATATATGATGCTTGGTTTCACTGGATACAAAATTCTTGGCTGATAATTG
Source organism: Homo sapiens (assembly GCF_000001405.40). Taxonomy (NCBI): domain Eukaryota; kingdom Metazoa; phylum Chordata; class Mammalia; order Primates; family Hominidae; genus Homo; species Homo sapiens. The sequence goes on from NC_000018.10 coordinate 10,180,741, forward strand.
TTTTGTTTGAGGAGGCTGAAGATAGGGCCCCAAAGCCTTCTAGCTTTTAGGGTTTCTGCTGATAAATCTGCTGTTAATCTGACAGGTTTTCCTTTATAGGTTACCTGGTGCTTCTGTCTCACAGCTCTTAAGATTCTTTCCTTCGTCTTAACTTTGGATAACCTGATGACAATGTGCCTAGGCAAAGATCTTTTTGCGATGAATTTCCCAGGTGTTCTTTGTACTTCTCATATTTGCATGTCTAGGTTTCTAGCAAGGCTGGGGAAATTTTCTTCGATTATTCCTCCAAATATGTTTTACAAGCTTCTAGAATTCTCTTCTTCCTCGGAAACACCAATTATTCTTAGGTTTGGTCGTTTAACATAATCCCAGACTTCTTGGAGACATTTTTCATATTTTCTTATTATTTTTTCCTTGTCTTTGTTGGATTGGATTAACTTGAAGACCTTGTCTTCGAGCTCTGAATTTCTTTCTTCTACTTGTTTAATTCTATTGCTGAGACTTTCCAGAGCATTTTGTATTTCTAAAAGTGTGTCCAAAGTTTCCTGAACTTTTTATTGTTTTTTCTTCAAACTATCCATTTCCACGAATATTTCTCCCTTCACTTCTTGTATCATTTTTTGGATTTCCTTGCATTGGGCTTTGCCTTTCTCTGGTCCCTCCCTGATTAGCTTAATAACTAACCTCCTGAATTCTTTTTCAGGTGAATCAGGGATTTGTTCTTGGTTTGAATCCATTGCTGTCCAACTACTGTGATTTTTGTGGGGTGTTGAAGAGTCTTGTTTCGTCATATTACCAGGGTTGGTTTTCTGGTTCCTTCTCATTTGGGTAGGCTCTGTCAGAGGGAAGGTCTAGGGCTGAAGGCTGTTTTTCAGATCCTTTTGTCCCATGGGATGTTCCCTTGATGTAGTACTCTCCCCCTTTTCCTATAGATGTGGCTTCTTGTGAGCTGAATTGTAGTGATTATTGTCTCTCTTCTGGGTCTAGCCACTCAGTGAGTCTACCCAACTCCAGGCTGGTACTGGGGGTTTTCTACAGAGTCCTCTGATGTGAGCTGTTTATGGGTCTTTGAGCCATGGATACCTGCGCCTGTTCCGGTGGAGGTGGCAGAGGGCGCAATGGACTCCGTGAAGGTCCTCAGCTTTGGTGGTTTAATGCTCTATTTTTGTGCCGGTTGGCCACCTGCCAGGAGGTTCCAATTTCCAGAAAGCATCAGCCATAGTAGTGTGGAGAGGGACCGGTGGTGGGCAGGGAAATAGAACTCTCAAGATTATATACCCTTTGTCTTCCGCTACCAGGGTAGATAGGGAAGGACCAGCAGGTGGGGTGGAGCTAGGCGTGCCTGAGCTCAGACTCTCCTTGAGTGGGTCTTGCTGTGGCTGCTGTGAGGGATGGGAGTGAGATTTCCAGGTCACTGGATTTGTGTACCTGGGAGGATTACGGCTACCTCCGCTGAGTCATGCAGGTTGTCAGGATAGTGGGGGAAAGCCGGCAGTCACAGGCCTCACCCAGCTCCCATGCAAACTGAAGGGCTGGTCTCACTCCCACCGTGTCCCCCCACCAACAGCCCTGAGTCTGTTTCCAGGTGGAGGGCAGGACAGGCTTGAAAAGTTGCCTCAGGCTACCTGCTTCCCAGTTGCGGGGGAAAAAAAAGGACTTGGTTCTTCCTCTGCCTGTGGAGTCTGCACCCTGGACTTGCACCCTCCCCCGAGTTCTGGCCAGGAGGCTACTCGCCTTGTTCAAATTGTTACAAAGTTCAGCTAGAGATTTCCTTCTTCCTGTGGTGTTTTGCCCTGCTCCTCTGCCCACCCTCCGGATGGATCCCTGTGGTGCCAGGCAGGAATGGGCTGTTGGGGACCCAGCGAACTCTCAGGGCCTTTCTGCTGCTTCTTCCTACCCCTGTATTTTGCTTGGCTCTCTAAATTGACTCAGCTCCAGGTGAAGTCGGAAACTTCTCCCACAAACAGACCTTCAGCTTCTCTAGTGGGGGGCGTGTGTTCAGGAGAGGAGGGTCTCCCTTTCCCACTTGTGCAGTTCAGGCACTCACAGTATTTGGGGTGTCTCCTGGGTCCTGCAGGAGCAGTTTGCTTCCTTCAGAGGTCCTGTGGGTCCTCTCGGGATTGCTGATTTGTTCTTGCAGTCGATCTGGAGTAAAAATTCACAATGTGAGTCTCTGCACGCTCCTCTGTCCGGAGCTGCAATCTAGTCCTGCCTCCAGTCAGCCATGATCTTTTTTAAATTTTCCTACTTGAAAGAACTATTAAATAACTTCTAAATTAGACAAAATTACATTTTCAACACTCATTTTTATGCCTTTATAATTTTTTTGCCAATAACACATAGTGCCTTTTAAATACACTCTGTATACAGTTTTTTATATCTAGTAGTTTTAATTATTCATATCAACTATAATTTTAACTCTTAGTAACTCTAATTTCTACACTTGATGTTAGCCAAAAGGCCAAGAAGTGATAGTAACTCTCTAATTTCTAATGAAAACCTAGGAAGTAAGTAATTTTGAACTGTTTTATGTTAGTATTTATATATTAAAAACCATTTCCTAATTTTTTAGAAGGATGTGTTTTCTTAATTTTTTTGTTTATTAATAGATCTATATGTATTTGGCTTTTCTATACTATGTAAAAATAAGATGCTAAAGTATATAAACTTAAACTTATGTTAATAATTAATGTTTCAGTATTTTAACTTAGAAATGACTCAGATATTTTATGATTATTTATTACTTAATTTAACATAATATGACTTAAATATTTTAAATTACCAGACAGAATTTTGAAACTGTGACACAGGTACCCTCCCTAATGTCTTCCCCAGTTATCCCAGGTCCTGAGTACCCATGTGGCACCCAGGATGGCTATGAATGACAGAGCCCTTCTGGGTCCTGAATTTATATATCAGGTATAGAACTTGAGAGAGGACAAACCTGTGAAGAGGATGTCTAGAAGGTTTGACTCTCTCAGTATGGCCAGGAGGCAAAGTTGGGCCAGGGAGAAAGGGGCCATATTGGGTTTGACTTTGTTTTGCAGCTGGTGGTCAAGGTGCCAAGGACATGTCTCCAGGCCTCATTATGGCCACCTGTCTAGAGCCTAGAATTTATAACCTCAAACTAAAGACAAGCTCACAGTAAGATGTGTGTAAGGCTTTGGGGAGTCTAGCAGCCAGTCTTTTTCTTTAGTGAACAAATTAAGCATTAACAATATTATAGAAGCAGCAATTTTATTGCCTTAAAATATGTAGAGGGGACAGTATAAATCTGTTTAACCCATAGAACCAGGCAAAAATATTTTTATTATATTTAACTGACAAATTTGAAGCCGTTTTTATTTTATTAGAATTTTAAACTTACTTAAAATTTTAAATTAGCTTTATTTACCAAGTATATATAAATGTGATATAACTGTCATACACACACACACACACACACACACACCCATAAGATAAATACTTAGGCAGAATCAGATCTTATAGCTTTTATAGAGAATTTTTATTTGTTGTCTTTTAAATAGTTTTTTTTCCTTTTTTTCTTTTTCTTTTCTTCTTTTTTTTTTTTTTTTTTGAGACAGAGTCTTGCTCCGTCACCCAGGCTGGAGTGCAGTGATGTGATTTTGGCTCACTGTAACCTCTGTCTCCTGGGTTCAAGTGATTCTCCTGCCTCAGCCTCCTAAGTAGCTGTGATTACAGGCGCCCACCACCACACCTGGCTAATTTTTGTATTTTTAGTAGAGGTGGGGTTTCACCATGTTGTCCAGGCTGGTCTTGAACGCCTGACTTCATGATCCGCCCTTCTTGGCCTCCCAAAGTGCTGGGATTACAGCCATGAGCCACCACACTGGCCAATAGTTTTTTTTTCTGTTTAGACTATACATCCTTATACATTTTATCATCTTGAGTATTTGTTAGCAAGCAACCCTAAATTTGTATTTTTAAAGGAATGACTCTTAAGTGAAACAAAGTTGATGTGGTTTAGATGTTTGTTCCCTCTAAATCTCATGTTGAAGTGTGGTGATTTTTAATGTCGGAGGTGGGGCTTGGTGGGAGGTGATTGGATCCTGGGGGTCGAACCCTTATGAATGGTTTGGCACCATCCCGTTGGTGATAAGTGAGTTCTTGCTTAGTTAGTTCACATGAGATTTGGTTGTTCAAAAAAAAAAAATCTGGGACTTCCCCTTCTCTCTTGCTCTCTCTCTCTCTCTCACTATGTGATATGCTGGCATCCCCCTTCACCTTCCTCCATGACTGTCAGCTTCCTGAAGCCCTCACCAGAAGCTGAGCAGATAGTGGTGCCATGCTTGTACATTCTGCAGAAGTGTGAACCAATTCAACTTTCTTTCTTTATAAATTATGCCTTTATAGGAATGAAAGCCTCAGATATTCCTTTATAAGAATGTAAGAACAGCCAAATACAAAGACAGAAAATGTTTATCTCAAAAGTACAGAGCTGAGATGTTAGGCTCAAATATTGTATTATAATTTGTTCAAATTAAGGAATGAGAGTATAGGTAAAGGCCCAGGTAAGACAATATGTCAAGGAAAAATACCTCAAGTAAAAGTAAGACTAGTTATGTAAACTTAAACTAACAGTAAGAGGTTTTAGTTACTCATTTCTTCCTCTCTTTTTGATGCAGAGAGGCAGATATCTTTATAACTGAATTTTTTTATAGATGTGAATTTTTTTAAAAAAGGGTTTGAAAATGGCCACCTTAATGTTGTAAGCTGTATTTTGGAGGCAGATTTAGTTTAATAGGTGGTCTTTTTAACTTAGTTATTATTTTTTAGCTAAAATTATTGAGCTTAAGGTGGAGCTCATTAAAGAATAGGGCAAAGAAAATATTTTCTACGTCTGGACTCAGTATGGACAGCTCCGAAAAATAAGTATGCCTGTTCTACCTGAGGGTCTATCTTTTATAAATATTTTATCTAGAATAGCCTTTTAAAAAGCCTTTATAGAAGGATAGTAATTAAGCCAAAAGGCTAGCAGATTTAAGTTTCTAAATTAATTAGTCAATTAAGATTTTAATTTGTTTTTTATAGTCTTTTGAAAGAGGCAATAAAAATATTGAAAAAATTTTAGAAGCTTCTACACATTAGTAAACATTTTTGGATCAGTCTAATTTAAGAACCCTTATTTTTAAATGTATTTTTTAATGTGTAGTATTGTTTATTTGGAATATTGCATTCTAATTTTACATTATTTTTAGTAAGATTTTGTCTTTTTTGTAAGTGTTTCTGGTTTTGGGGGGTCTAATGCTTATATATGTGTGGGTAGTTGTAGATGGAAGGGGGGTGTTTTGTTTTTTAGAATTTAAAGATCTCATTTTACATTGAATTTTGGCTTTGGCTCTCAGATCACCTTTATTAACTTAGCCAGTGATTTTTCTCTACCTCACCATGCAAGAAAAAAATAGGGGTGGGAAATAGAACACAAACACCCCCGTGAAAGCCCCCCCACCCCAATTTTATTATTCACTGCCAGTTTCTGTCTGGCCCAGTTGGACATCTGAGGCTTCTACATGGATCTAAGCCAGTTAATTATCAGATCTATCCCATCCTGGACTCAGTCCAGTTTTTATTGGGACTTTTCAGCCCAGTTTGAATAAAAAATTTGTTCAAACTCAAAGAGCTGAAAACACAAATCCATGGAACCTCAGAACCTGAGAGAGAACTTACCCATGATTCCTAGCTTCTGTGAGAAGGCAGTGAGCACAGTGGGTCTGCTGAGTACCTCACTTGGTCGCTCAATGCTCCTGGGGGTCACTGGAAGTTAACTTTCAAGTCTCACTTCTGACACCATTTGTTAGACAAATTAAATTTAACAGAGTTTAATTGAATAATGAATGATTCACAAGTCAGGCAGCACACCCCTTGTTACCCCCTCTTCCAGCCCCACCCAACTAATTAGAATAGGTTTGGGAGACTCTGGCAGTGCTGTGTGGTTGGAAAGGATTTATGGACCGAAAGAGGAAAGTAATGTGCAGAAAATGGAAGTAGGGTATGGAAACAGCTAGATTGGTTACAGCTTGGTGTTTGCCTTATTTGAATGTGGTTTAAATAGTTGGCGACCTGTGAATGATTGAAGTCTGGCTTCTATCATTGGCTGAGACTTGGCTCCTTGTTACAAGAGCACGTTACACCTGTTTACACATGCAGTTAGGTTACAGTTCACTATATATGGAGAAATGTTAGGCTGAATTTAAAATATATAAGGAGGCAGCTTTAGGCTAACCAAATTTAACAGTAGACAGCAAACACTGAAGGCCAAGTCTCTTGACTTACATTCCAATTTCTTTCTACTACAACCCAACAGTCTCTGAGACTCTACATTAATAGCAGTCTGGCCTTCAAGTTATTAGAGCATTAAATGTCAGAAGCATGCTGTCCTAAACATGGAAAATCTATGAGCTTCCCTTTTACCTGTAACTATAATCCCATTGCACACAAAAGCTGCTGCATTTGATAGGTGAGAAAAGGTGTAGAAACTGTGGATGTACCTGTAGGACTCAGCTCCTGTAGGGAAGCTGTCTCTGGCCCTCTAAGGCTGAATTAGGGACATTGCCTATGTGGAATGAAGTGCCCCAAGCTCGCCCTTGTTGCAGAATTTACGTCACTGCTTACTTATTCTCCCCCCTTCTAGAATGTGAGTTTCTGAGGACACAGTCTGGCTTGTTTATGATTTATTCTTAGAGCACTTAGTGTTCAATAAAGAGGCATCAAAAAGATTCAAAAATAGGACATCAAGAAACCTGTGATATAATACTGTATAAGATTTTTCTCATACATGCTGGCCTTTTAAGAATAATGTCTGGCTCTTAGACAGTGTTTACTGTGGCCTGGGCATTGTTCTAAACTCTTTCCTGATGGAAGCCTGTGGCTAGTGTGCATTAACTATCAGGTGGGCACGATCACCACCCCTGTGGCCTAGAGAGCTCAGCAGTTGACCCAGTGTGGCCGAGCTGGCTGGTGACGAAGTCAGGGTGTGAACAGGCTGGCTCTCGCATCAAAGCTCTTGGACTCCTACCAGAAGGCAATACCTGATCAAGTGAATCCACACAGTAGCTGCTTGTGTTTTCACACCTGAGAAAAAGCATTTCCACTATGTTAGCACCAGTACTTTGTCCAAGTGAGGACAGAGTGGGGCTAAGATTACGCTTGGGGACTCTTAGCTGTCATCAGTGGATTGTGTGTGGGGTGTGTGTGTGTGTGTGCGAGGGGTGACGCCAAGTTTTGGTGACCAGTATCTCCCAATAACCCTCTCTCATGACCATGTTTGGTGGATCTCCAGAGCCCTCAACTGATAGTTAAAGATATTAGAAATAACTTCTTCTCAGATTCAAATAAATAAAATCAGAAATGAAAAAGGAGATGTCATGACTGATACCATGGGAATACAAAGGATCATTAGACACTATTATAAACAACTATACTCCAGTAAATTTGAAAACCTATTAGAAATGGATAAATTCAGCCAGGCACAGTGGCTCATGCCTGTAATCCCAGCACTTTGGGAGGCCGAGGCAGGCAGATCACGAGGTCAGGAGATCAAGACCGTCCTGGCTAACACGGTGAAACCCCATCTCTACTAAAAACATACAAAAAAATTAGCCGGGCGTGGTGGCAGGTGCCTGTAGTCCCAGCTACTCAGGAGGCTGAGGCAGAAGAATGGCGTGAACCCGGGAGGTGGAGCTTGCAGTGAGCTGAGATCACGCCACTGCACCCCAGCCTAGCCTCGGCGACAGAGTGAGACTCTGTCTCATAAAAAAAAAAAAAAATGGATAAATCCTTGGATACATACAACCTACCAAGACTGAACTAAGAATAAATAGAAAACCTCAGCAGACCAATAACCAGTAACAAAGTTGAATCAATAACAAAAAGTCTCTCAACAAAGAAAATCCCAGGACCAAACAGCTTCACTGCTGAATTCCACCAAATGTTTAAAGAACTAATACCAATTCTTCTCAAACTCTTCCAAAAAATTGAAAGAGTTAGAATTCTTCCAGACTCATTCTACAAAGCCGGTATAACCCTGATCCCCAAACCAAATAAGACCACAGCAAAAAATGAAAACTTAAGGTAGGGGGCAATAAAGCCTTGGACTCTGATGTTCTCTCTGAACCCCAGCTACAAGGAAATGCACTTTAAACATTTAAATCCACCAAGGTAAAGAGCTTGGCTTTGATACTGGGCAAAGTTCCTAGGGCAATGATTAAGTATGGACTCCACAATCATTGGGAGAAAATGGGAATTTTGCCCCAATAAGTCATCACCCAGATGCCCACCCTCCCTTCTTTCCCCTCTCCCCATCCTCTGTCCCTCTATCTTCCTCTAGGAGAGGGGTAGGTTGCCACGACAACACCAGAGTTAATGGCCCCATTTGGCCAGCCTTAAAGCCCAGCTCATTCTGGCCCAGGGACATCTCATTGGGAAAGAGATTCTGGATGTTTGACAAATGCTCAATTTGGCTAATAGAACCTGTGTATTTACTTGGTGCAAATTAAACAAGTCTGGATGTACAAGTTTCATTGTCCAAAGGGAGAAGGAGAGATGATTAGAGGAAGGTAGGAGGAGGGGAAGAAAGAAGGGGAATTCCAGTGGCCAGAAAAGTTTCCGATGCCTGATTTGTCCTGTGTCAGGGTCTGCCTTCATCACGTTACCAGGAGCTGGCTGTAGGAAAGAAAAAACAATCCCGAGACGACGAGACTCAAATCAAATAGGCCTGATGACAAGAGTCTCAATGGCACAGAGGTCCATTTCTATCCATCCTTATTGGAATCATACTAAGTGAGTCTCACAAGCAGGCTCCCAACAGGCTGACTGTGAGTTTCTCTACCAAATGAGACTGTGACCGGGGCCCAGGCTGTGCCAGCGTCCAGAGGGCTAGTGCTGTGGACTTATTCACACGTGCACTTCTTGACACTGATGTGTAAGCCAGGCCTGCTGTCACACTGGAGTTCCAGATGCTAGCAAACCAAGAGAAAACCTAAATCAAATAATTCCATGCAGTGATTAGTGCCGTAAGAAGGTCCTATAATTAGAGTGGCTTTGTGGCTGAGCAGAGGGGCCGGAGAGGAAGTTGGGGAGGAATGCTAGCTGGGCTGCTCCGGGGTCCTCTCTGAAGAGGGGACACTGGAGCAGAGCTCTGAATGGGGGGCTGTCTGTGCAGCCTCCAGTGGGCTTGGAGGCCTGATGGGCTTCAGCAGTGAGGGGCTGATGGGGAGCAGGAAGAGACTGGCAAGAGGCTTTTCCTTAGGTGCCGAGACTGACAATGAAGCAAGGCCTCTGGGGCCTGGACAGAGAACACAGCCTCAGATGGGCTCAGGGCTGGTAGAAGTACAAGAGAGGGAACATGGGCAGAGTTGTGTCCTGTGGATGACATCACTACAGGCCAGGTGGACACTGGGGACGGGGGCAGCTGAGAATGGGTGTTCTCAGGGACACAGGCACTGATGACTCACCCTTGCCCCTTTAACCCAAGGTTGCCAACCCTGTCTCCATCCACACCCATCAAGACTGTGGGACCAGGGCTATGGATGTCCGCTTGTGGGCTCAGGCTGCCTCCTGGAACCAGATATAGAATGGCCTCCGAGTGGGACCGCCCATGGAGAACAAGGGGAAGCGAGGTCGGGCACACACGTTTCAGAGGTTTCTAGCTTTCAGCCTACATGCCTTGTGCAAGTCTGTGTCATGTGACAGAAAGAGTTAGAAGCCCTGGGTTCAAATCTCACCTGTGCCACTTACTAAGTGAACAACTGAATGAGTAGTTTCTCCTAACTGATCCATTTGTAAAATCTGGATAAGAGAAGTAACACCAGGATCGCAGTGTGGTTCTGAATATCAACAAAGGGAGGCAATGCAAACGACAATGAGTGGTCAGGAGCAAAGAACTATGCAATGTGAAGCATTAATTACACTCAGGTTCACAGAAGACAGGAACCCCCGAAAGAAATGCATCTAAATTAATTTAGTTTCTGTAGGTGTGGACAAGGCAAGGGAAATAACTGACTTCTGATTCATCTTACCACAGAAGAGCTGGAATAGCTCCTCTTGATTCCGCAAATGACCCTTTCCCAGGGGAGCTGCACTCCCTGAGAGTCTGCATGGGCCTCTGTCACATTATATAGGGATTTGCAATGGCAGGAGAGTGGCCCTGTGGTTTTCCCTCAAAAGGAGTTGTATGGAACACACTCAGTGTCTGCCATGCTTTCTATGGGAGAAAGTGGTTCTTCCTTGTGATAACTCCGCTCCACAAGTCTACCCACCACTCCCTCTGAGGGATGCTGCCTGGATTCCCTTTCCCAGTGCTTGCTCGCTCCTGGTTCCAAGTCTTCCACTGCTTGTTTGGAGCTGAATGGTGCCTCTGACCCCCCATTCATGTGATAAAGTTCTAACCCCTCATACCTCAGGATGTGGCTGTTTTGGAGCTAGGGCCTTTGAAGAGCTAATTAAGTTAAAATGAGGTCCATGGGTGAGCCCTAATCAGATAGGACTGGCGACCTTACTAGACAGAGACACACACAGAGGAAAGACCATGGGAGGACACAGGGAGGAGACGGCCATCTGCAAGCCAAGGAGCCCTCAGGAGAAACCAGCTCTGCCAACGCCTTGATCTCCAACCTCAGCCTCCAGAATTGAGAAGTACTTTTCTGTTGCTTAAGCTGCGCGGGATGTGGCGCCGTTACATCAGCCTCAGCAGGCTAGCCCACCATGCTGTTTCTCGCCTGGCCTGCATTGTGGTACTGCGTCCAGAGTTGGTTCCTGACGGTGGGTTCCTGGTCTCGCTGACTTCAAGACTGAAGCTGCTTCTCGGTGAGTGTTACAGCTCTTAAAGATGGCACGGACCCATAGTAGTAGTAAATTTTATTGTGAAGACCAAAAGAACAAAGCTTCTACAGCCTGGAAGGGTACCCCACTGGGTTGCTGCTGCTGGCTGGTGGGTGGCCAGCTTTTATTCCTTTATTTGTCCCTGCCCATGTTCCATTTCTGCCCTGTCAGAGTGCCCGTTTTTCAATCCTTCCTGCGATTGGTTACTTTTAGGATCCTGCTGATTGGTGCGTTTTACAGAGCACTGATTGTTGCATTTTACAGAGCACTGATTGGTGCATTTTACAGAGTGTTGATTGGTGCATTTTACAACCCCCTTGCTAGCTACAGAGTGCTGATTGGTGCATTTTACAATCCTCTTGTAAGACAGAAAAGTTTTCCAAGCCCCACTCGACCCAGGAAGTCCAGCTGGCTTCACACCTCTCAGTACCACTGAGGCTGTAGTCTCAGAGAGAGGAGACAAGGGGGAACGCACTTGTTGGTAAAAGCCACAGTGTGAATCCTGCTGAAATCCTACCTGGAAGCCCAGTGTGGCTCAGGATAAGTTACTGAACTTCTCAGTAGAGAGGGAGCCTGTCATGGCTCAATAGTGCCCCACAAAGAAATATGTCTGTCTCCTAACCCCTGGGACCCGTGACCTTATCTGGAAGTAGGGTCTTTGCAGGTGTAATTAAGTTCAGGATCTTGGAATGAGATGATTGTAGATTTAGGGTGTCCTTCTGAGAGAAAAGGGAGGGGATAAGACATCAACGCAGAGAGAGAAGGCCACGTGGAGACAGAAGCAGAGATTAGAGTGAGGCGACAACAAGCCAGGCTTGCTCAAGGACTGCCAAGGATGCCAGAAGCCACCAGAAGCAGGAGCAGACTCCCTCGGAGCCACCAGAACGAAGCAGCCTGCCACACCTTGGCTCTGGACTTCTGTCCTGCAGAACTAGCAGAGAATACATTGGGGTTGTTTTAAGCCATCTAGTTTGTGGTAACTTCTTACGGCAGCCCCAGGAAACATGCAGACTTCACTCTTTGTGTGGCTGTCCCAGAGCCTGCTGCCCTGGATGGGAGGCTGTGATGTGAAGCTCAAGCTCTTGGCTCCAGAGCCAGACCCAGGCCCTGATCCTGCCCCCTGGCCCAGCCCTGAGACCTCTGAACCGTGTCCTGTCTGTTTCCAGTTTAGTAACACCTGCCTCACAGGTTGCTGTGAGGCCTGGATGGCATGTGGTAGGTACTAAATAGACAGCAGTTAGTATTATTGGCTTATTACCATGAGACTGCCAGCTCCAAGCTATTTCTACACTATCTGTGGCAACAGGAAGAGGAAACTCTGTTTCATTTTGTTGCCCTGGATCTTTATAAATGACAGGTAGGCATCTTAGTGGACGATTGTTCTCCATAAGGCATTTTATTTTTCACTTTGCTACACCATTAAGAATATGTCCTTAAAATTGTTTTTACATGCATTTGAATTTTAAAAATTGCTTCTTGGCTGGGCACAGTGGCTCATGCCTGTAATCCCAGCACTTTGGGAGGCCAAGGCGGGCGGATCACCTGAGGTCAGGAGTTCACGACTGGCCTGGTCAACATGGTGAAACCCCATCTCTACAAAAATACAAAAATTAGCCTGGCATGCTGGTGCACGCCTGTAATCTCAGCTACTCGAGAGGCTGAGGCGGGAGAATCACTTGAACCCAGGAGGCGGAAGTTTCAGTGAGCTGAGATGGCGCCTTTGCACTCCAGCCTGGGTGACAGAGCAATATTTTAATTTTCTGGGGAATCATAATATTCTAGTTTCATATTTTTATGAATTCAAAAGAGAGGAAATGATGATGAACGGATGGGGGAGTTTTGTGTGGAAAATGAAGAGATTCATTACAATTGGAGATGAGAAGATCAGTTAGGTCATTTTGTCCGATGTGAGAAGATTGCTCCTGGATGTTTGTGAACATTTTGTCTCATTCTATCCTAAGTGACTCAGCTAATGAGCTTTCCATAACCTGACGTTGGAAGAAGTGTCCAGAAACCTAAAAGGTTTCCCTATTAGGAAAAATTGTTCTTATTCCGATTAATTTTCTTGTGGCTCTGTGTCATTAGGTGAGACTCTTCATGCTGCCACAATGGTTACATCCTCCCACAGGAGAATCTAAAGAATTGTAATTTGTGTTTCACAGATGTTGCCTTGTCATAACTTCCAAATTGCTTTCCCAGATGCCTCAGCTCCTTTTGATTTGCTAATTGCTTCTCACTTCCAGAAGGCTAGATTCAGAAGTTTAGGTGATATTATCTGTAGTTCACAGCCTGGTGCTCAGTGTCCAAATCTGAATAAGGATGATATCATTACTGGAATAATCTAGTGATGAGGGGTCTAGTGATTAAAGATTCTGCAGTCAAAGTCAACTTGGCATCTCCTGAGCTTCATGACCTTGAGGTGGTTACATGACCTTGAGGAGGTTACATGACCTCGAGGTGGTTACATGACCTCGAGGAGGTTACATGACCTCGAGGTGGTTACATGACCTCGAGGAGGTTACATGACCTTGAGGAGGTTACATGATCTCTGCAAGCCTCACTTTCCTCATCTGTAAAACAGAAATAATCATAAGTTAGGAGTTCCCTCTCAAGCTGTTATTAGGATAAATATATGAAGCATTTAGTACAGGGCCTGACCTAGTAAATGTACCATGAATGTCAGCTACTATCATTATTGAAAATATAATTCAAAATCTTTAGAGGCCATGCCTGTTGTGGGGTGGGGAGAGGGGGGAGGGATAGCATTAGGAGTATACCTAATGTAAATGACGAGTTAATAGGTGCAGCACACCAACATGGCACATGTGTACATATGTAACAAACCTGCACTTTGTGCACATGTACCCTATAACTTAAAGTATAATAATAAAAAAAAATCTTTAGAGGCCATGGAGAAATTTACAATAGATTTTGTTAGAGTTGGGGTAGCAGCCAAGAGGAGAAGCTGGCTGACAGCATTGGCCATCCTGCTTGCCTTTCTCTTTTTCCAGTTCTTTTCCTTCTGTTACATAGAGTGGATTGCTTCTTCTGAAGTAGCCACTAGTCCAGGCCAGCCCAGAGGATCTCAACCCAGACTGGCATCTCCTTACCTGGGATCCTCTTACCAGCATCTAGGAGCATGCAACTTTGTCCACATCATCTCGATGGTTCCTCCCCTCTAAAGCTTTCAGATCAGTCACATGCTCAGCCTGCCCCCAGAGGCAAATCCGTGCAGTTTGCAGTTTGCTCCACATGTTCTGAGGACTACAGTCGGCCAGTTGTCCTCTCTGCAGGGAAAGTAGCAGCTGCCCCTCCCTTCCAGTTTAGTGGTCCTTGCACCACTGGGCTGGGGGAAGTTGTCTTTCTCTCCTCTCCTCACTGATACCCTCTGCTATTACGCAGATGTCAGTGCTGTGTAAATCCTGGTGCCAAAGCTCCTTGTTAACCCATGCTCTGATGCATCTCTGCTTGAGGACTCCAGGTTGAGTCCAAACAGGGGTGGGGCAACATCCTGGGGCACTCAGGGAGTTCTTGTCCCCAGCTCCAGTCCTGTCCTCAAGTGAAGATGTGGTCTTTCCTGCTCTCTGCAAGGTGGAGAAGGGCAAGGACCCACCTTGACCCTAGCAGCTAAGTGTTTTTAGACTTGGGGGCTGGGACCAGCCCTCGGTCTTTAACGAGAGGCTCCTTGGTCCTTCTTGCACAGGAACCTCAGCAGGCCTCCCTCCCGCAGTCCCAGCCATGCTTGGACAAGCGCATATCTGCAGAGGGCTCACTACTTCTGTGCCCACCAGCTCTACTGCTTTCTCCTTACTAGGGAAAACCTGCTCTAAGCCTGTCTCATTCAGGGCACTTGTATCAGGAGAGTTGGCCTCCATTTATTGCAACAGATTTTTAGATTTTCCTGGTTGCAGTGCAAATTAGATAGCCAAGAAATATCTGAATCCAGGTGTAGGCAACTCACCCCCATCACACCCCATCATTAAGAACACCATAACCCCAGGTTCTTGCTGTGGCAGGCTGCTAGCTGCAAATCGTGGTTACATTCTTGGTATTGAATTGGATCCTGATTCATTCATTACCGAGTAAACTCAGTCTTACCTCATTATGGCACTGCCTTTGGCTAAATCTGTGATTATGTTCTTTGTAATATGCCAGCCTGGTTTTGGTTCCATTATGGTCTTCTAGTCCTCCCCTACTATTAATGTGCATTCTTGCAAGAGAAGTCATGGTAATTAACACCTTGGTTACCTAACCTGGCCAGAGTCCAATTCCTAATGGAATACTTAGGGTTGAAAATATATTAGGAATATGCTTTTGTATTAGAAAAAAATGAATGCTGCTTTCTCACCTTAATCTTCAAAGGCACAGATATTCATCTATGAATGAACAAAGCACTCAGAGCAGTCTCTAAAATCTAAGGTGTTCCCACAGTAGAAGCTCCTGTATTCATCTGTCATGTGGTGGGGCAGCTCTTGATACAAGCACCCCGAATGTGCTAGGGTCAGAGCAGGATTTCCCTTCAATGGTGAAGGCAGAGGAGCTGATGGGCCAGATCGGGTGTCTGGTTAGGCCTCGCCTTCTGGTTGATAGATGGTGCCATTTCTCTGTGTCCTCACGTGGCAGAAGGAGCAAGGCCACTCTCTCAGGCCTCTTCATAAGGGCACTGCAGTAGTCCCTCCTTATCCATGGGGGTTATGTTCCAACACCCCCAGTGGATCCCTGAAACCTCAGATAGTACCAAACCCTATGCAAAAACCTTCTGCAAATAGCAACCTGTCCCAGCGGTGCTGGGAGCCACAGGCGGTGCCCAAGTGGATTCTGAAGACAATACAGGGGTGGGTGGGGGAAGGTGCTTTGGGGTTTCACCTCCCTTTAATCAGGGCAGGTCAGCTCTTACCTAATACACACGCACACACACACACACCTCTCTCTCTATATGTGTGTGTGTGTGTGTGTATATATATATATATATATATATATATATATATATATATATGTTAAAGAAAGTTTGAATACCACATTGAATTCTGTGAACTCTGTGGAGTCCTGACTGCCCCACGTGTGAGCAGTGGCCCCTAGGGATGAATCCTTGTGTACATATCCCTTGTTTGGAGACTTCACAAATGATAGTTCTCATTTGTACCTCAAATGTATATAGGCACTGTTGTAATTGGTAAATACAAATTAAATGAACGCCCACTGAGTTCATAATGGCTTTTTGTTGTTGTGGTCATCTTACACATCTTCAATCAGTGCACCCTAAAGGTAGAACTCCCACCATGGAGAGGGCATCAGCATATTTGTTGTTTAAGTGGAATCTTCAGGATTGAAAAGAGTGGGAAGTCCTGCCTTATGTTATTTAACTCTCACACCATTCAGGTGAGCAGGTCATTGTTCCACTGAGCAGTCTTTTGTTCAGTTACTTCTGCTCCACTATTTTGACCAGACAAATCATCATGAGCCATGTTACTGGCTGCCCTTGCACAGGATGGGTCTCTCCTGCCAGTCTGCAAGGTGACTCGATTTGGTGAGCAAACATTCCCTGTACCCTGTCCCTGAAGGTTCTTGACCGAGCTTCTCTTCCATCTGACTGAGGCACTTAAAGAACGGATCTAAAATAAGACATAAGACGGGCCCTGGCAAGCTTCCCCTCCCACCCTTGGTCACCATTCTGGGCCTCCCGAGGAGAAGTGGAAGGGCGTTTCCACGGTCCACACCCTCATGGAGAATTAGATCCGTTTCCTTCCCCTCCCTTGGCCTTGGAGTCAGCTGGAATGTGGGCGGGAGGAGTGGACGGTTAATGCACACTCCACCAAGGCCACCTCTCTGCCTGCAGAGCTTCATGCAGACAGGCAGCTGGCTTTCTCTAGAGTAACTGGAGACATGAACCCACTTCCGAGGGTCGTTCTTGAGTTCACTTACAGAGAATCGATCCTTACAGGTGACCTTCCCGGTAACATACACATTCAGACCTTCAGAGCCAGTTTTCATTCTAAGTTTACTTTTATTTCTACAATATGATGAATGGGAACTTCCTGGACATCTTTTCCTGCCTTGTTCTTTGGTGTCTTGGTGGCACTATGAGGTGAACTGGTGCTTGATCAGAGATGGACTGCTCCATTGAATCCCCAGCTCTGTCTAGAAATGTCCTGGTAAGAAGAAACACTATAAAACACCACATCAGTTATCTTATATTTTTCTAGAAGAAGGTGGAGGGGCAAGATATGCAGAGTAAGAAAATATATTGTAAGCACCTACTGTATGTCCCTAAATATAAGCCAAAGGAGGTGGTGGTGGCTGAGATATTTGACTTCAGTAAATCAGTGGAAACATATTCCCAAATTTCCTTCAGGTCAATCATTTTTCTCTTTTTCCATAAAGTAGGACATTGTCTTAGTCTATTCTGGCTGCTATAACAAAATACCATGAAATGGATAGCTTATAAATAACAGAAATTTATTTCTCACAGTTCTAGAGACTGAGAAGTCCGAGATTAAGGTTCAAACAGATCGAGTGTCTAGTGAGGCCTGGCTTTCTGGTTCATAGATGGTACCTTCTCTCTGTGTCTTCATGTGGTAGAAGGGGCAAGGCTACTCTCTCAGGCCTCTTTCGTAAGGGCACTGCAGTAGCCCCTCCTTATCCATTGGGGTTACGTTCCAACACCCCCAGTGGATGCCTGAAACCTCAGATAGTACCAAACCTTATACACACTATGTTTTTCCCTATGTACATATACCTATGGTAAAGCTTAATTTATAAGTTAGGCATAGCCAAAGATTAACAATAACTAATAATAGAATATAACAATTATAACAACATAATTGTTATAATACAACAAAAGTTATGTGAATGTGGTCTCTCTCTCTCAAAATATCTTACTGTACTGTACTCACCTTTCTCCTTGCGATGATGTGAGGTGATAGAATGACTGTGGGATGAGAGAAAGTGAGGCCTTGAGATGTAGCATTAGGCTACTATTGACCTTCTGTATCCCTGAATCTGTGTAACCATCCCTTACTTGCAGTAAATGGCTCGATGTCACTCATTTCAGGGATCCCTTGCTGAAATCTTTGTGTGGCCTGCGTGCTTTCTGGTGCAACACGTTGCCATCAGTTGGAACATGTTTCTGTTTGTGTCTTCCACCCACACATTTAATGCCTTTTTCATTGTCACTAAGCACTTATCACACACTTTGGTCACTTTTGCAGCTTCTAGTGTGACAGCAAAACCAGCATGAATTTCTTTTTCCTTCTTCACAATTTCCTGGGCAGAAGGATCATTCTTACCATAGAATTTAGCGACCTAACATATGGATTTTTAATCTTTCCTTAAGTCGAGAACTTTCACCTTTTCATTTGAAGGAAGCAATTGACAAGCTTGGCTTTGGCTTGTCTGAATTGCCGGCATCATTGCTCTTGGGCTTTGGGGCCATGATCAAGTGAAATAAAGGTGACCTGAACACAAGCACTGCAGTACTGTGACAGTCAATCTGAGAACGGAGACTGCTACTAAGTGACCCATGGTCTGGGATTGCCTACAGTGTGGACACAGTAGACAGAGGGAGGATTCATGTCTGGAGGGATGGTGTGAGATTTCATCATGGCATTCAGAATGGTGCTCGATTGAAAACGTAGGAATTGTTTATTTCTGTAATTTTTCTTTCAATATTTTTGGACTGTGGTTGACCATGGGTAACTGAAACCCTAGTGGGGACTACTGTAATCCCATTCATGAGGCTTCAAGTTCCTGGCCTAATCACCTCCCAACAACCCCACCTCTTAATACCATCACGATGGGATCTGGGTTTCAATATATGAATTTTGGTGGAACACAAACATTGTGACCATAGCAGGCAGGAAGTAGTAAACTCCAATCATAATTCCAGATATTCTTTTATTTCTGATAATTTCTAATGAAACTACTTCTTGCTACAAACACTGATTCCCAGGCAGAGTTTTCTATCTTGGTTTTCAAAGAAGTGCAACATGTTCCATGTACATCCCAGGACATTCTAGTTCAACATGTATCATGTGTACATAATCTGTAAATAGCTCCAGAAAGACATTTTCTCTGTCAATAAATAGTAATAATGTCAAAGTGATTTGGAGCTCGTTAGGCAATTCCTTCTAAAGAGTGATGGAACTGAGGCCCAGAATCTGAGTGATCATGTTCATACTCAATCTTTAAGAAACTGTAAGGAAAATGACTTGGAACCACAGAAACCAAAGGAAGAAGAATGAGTTTTGAATACAGCAAGAGGAGTTTAAACGGAGATTCCTCCCCAGTATTGGAAGAGCCGTAGCATAGAACCAACTTCACTGCCTACTGGTGAGAGCATGACTTGCACCCATGATCAGGATGGGCAAGTGCTTTAGTCAGTTGCTTTTAATAATGGGGGGAAAGCCTATTTCTTTTATTCCAGTCTTATATTTATGTAGAAGACACAAGATTTTCATGGAAAAACATTCTTCCTAGAGAACACAAATGAAAAGTGTACCCGTGGCTAAAGAGTTCAAATGAAGATGGCTTATGCAAATCCAATGATAATTTCTTGAATGATGAGCAGAACAATTAGGCCAAAACTCACAAGTGTTGAGAATTTGTTGTTCACTCTTGAAAAATAAACCAGGTCATTGTGTTTCCAAGAAAACCTGGGAACTAGAAACAGTGTATAAATAGGCCACAGGTGAAGGATACCATTTGTTTTTTAAGATCTACAGGGGAAAAGAGCATCAAATATTAATCAACAATTTTATTTTAGCTCAGTCAGGGAAATGAACAAGAAGCTGTTTTGCTGGACTGGGGCTGTGTGCATTGAATGAAGGCTGCTGCTCTCATTCAAGGTGTCCTGGAGTACCTCACCGGCCTGGATGCAGAGGTGGCAGAGCACACAGGGCTGAGGGCTTCTAAGGAGATGGGAAGCAGGTGCAGAACCACACTTTCATTCTGCCAGGGAGAGTCCTTCTCATTGCTCTGGGGGTGGGCCTTGTGGTTTTTCTTGACCCTCAGTGCTGATTTCCAGTGAGCTGAATGAACACAGTCCTTAGAGGGCCTGGGGCTCCAGGGTGTCCCAGGATGACCATTCCAGGGGGCAGAGTTGGAAAGACAGTGGCACCTGTTGCTGGCACATTCAGTCTGCCCCTCTGCGATTCTATTCTCCTCCACTTTGGTAGCTGAAATGATCTCTTCTCTTCTAGTTTCCCTGTCAAGATGATTCTTAAAACAGCCCATAGCCATCATGTAAGCTTGATGCAAATATAAATTAATGAGTTCCTAGGACCAGGCATTCAGAACTTCCAGCATGGGGAGGGTGTGTGGAAGGGGACAATGCCTTGGAAGTTCCAGAGAGCAAGGTTTATTGCCATGTAGATTTCTGAATGAGTCCTGCCTCTCTGAGGAGTCTGGGTTCTCTCCAAGAATCCTTGTCTGACCAAGACCCTGATAGAGCTCATACCTTTCACAGTACAGAGTCCAGCGTTGACTCAGGCTGGCTGTGGACTCTGAGATGGTCCTGTTGGGTTCAGATCTCCAAGGCAGCTCTGGACCTATAAGGATGTGGACGGGGTGTCTGCGCTTTGCCAGCTCGGAATAGCAAGGGATGAACCCACTCAGTGAGGGTATCAGCTCCACAGCTGAGAAAGAGAGGCCCTCGAGGGGGTGCGGAGGTGATGGTTTTGGCTTCTCTGGTTTCTGCTTCCCCATTCCAACACCTTCAACTCAGTCAACCCTTTCCAGGGAAATTTAGAAGAACAAATGGAGCTGCTACCTACTCACTTCAAAAGAGAAACGTTTCTTTTATCTTCTGCGGTGAGATTAGGACGCCAGTCACATTTACTTGTGTCTGAATACTTTAAACACATTCTTGGGAAAACATAAACAGGATTTATATGAAATGCTTTAATCCCCCCCATAGAGCAATGAACTCTTATGAAAGGGCACCAGCCATTCTAGAGTTTGGTGCCATAATATTTGCTGATGACTGTTTCTCACCCTTGAATTGGTAGTGGCCTCAATTCAAGTCATAAACATCTCCAGAATGCCTTTAAATCCAGGGCCTGCACCAAGGGGAACTGAGATATGCAGGAATGGTCTGGGGCTTCAAAGAGCTCGGGATCTCACATTTTAATAAGCAAACTGCCATTTTTAATTTTTAATTGCTCTGACCTCTTATCCTACTGAGTCTAAAATGATTTTCAGCAACTTCCTTCTAAGATGTCTGCTATCCACATGCTTCATAAAAAGAGAAGTGTGAATGTAGTTTTGGCAGGTTGGGTCATCTGTCAGCATGAGGGCTGGGATGGGGACTCTTGTTCCTGAAATACGATCTACCCAGAGGTCTTTCTGCATAAGGCATTCTGCCTGTCAGTCCTTTGGAAAAGAAAATGAGCTCTTAACACATCCATTTGGTAAAACTGAACTTTTCTAGCCTCATAGGATTTAATAGGAGAGTGACTTTCAATGTCATCTGCTCTGATTGGCTTGTGGTATCGATGAGGAAACTGGGATCTAGGTAGGTCCCAGGCACATGCAGAATCTCCCAGCAGTGTGGTTAGGTGCAGCCTTTGGGGAAAGCAAGATATGATTGCATCGTAAACCCAACATCAGACATTGCAATTACAAATTGCACTTTATGCATCATCTCAAGGGCCAGAGGAAGGTCATCAGTTTACAGAGGTCGTGGTAGGAGGAAAGACACAACACACACACATGCACACACCCACCGCCTCCCAACACTCACACACTCACACATGTAAATGTGTGCACATCCTTTTACTTTTACAAATAAAAGGGAAATTGGAAAAAGGAGTGTCACCTCCAACTTTTATATCCTTAGAAGGGAAGGCAGGTACTATAATACAGTGACTTAAAGTATCCGAAATATTTGTTTTCTTAAAAATCACTCAAGTTCTTAAAAATAAAGTGGAGACCAATTTAAAAGTCAGGTGTTACAGAAGAGGAAATGACTTAAATATCTATTTCTCTTTCCTATGAGTTAATGTCTCCGTTGTCCATGTTCTATTATGTCTTTGAAAATAATAACTCTGGCTGTTTATTTTTGTTTTATTTATTTATCAACTTATTTTTTGGCTGCGCCTGTCTGGCCTTCCACGGGGGGCATTCAGGATGGACCTGTCTGGAAGAGCTGCAGGGAGAGCACTGTCTGCTTTCTGCATTTGAATGAACATCAGCCAGAAACCCACAGCCCCGGAGTCATCTATTTGTTTTTAGAGTGTGGTCATTATTTTTCTGATAATGTGGTCCACGTCAGCCCAGAGGCTTTGGCTCCCCGCATCCATAAAGAGGGATCCAGAGTGCCCCAGTAGCGTTTTTTCTGTTCAGCATGGGGCCTCTGAGGTGCCCCTGGTTTCCAGTGATGAAAAGAAAGCCAGGGGGCCCTACCTCACAGAGACACAGTTCTTTGGGCTTTGTCCTCGGGGCTAAAATATAAATCACAACATGTCATGTAATGTAACTGGACAAGCCTCGGAAAGGTTACCCGTGGGGTGCTGGTGTGGCCGAGCCCCTACTGAGAGGGAAGGGCTTATCTGCCTTAGTGCTGGCCTCTCTGTCGCTTCAAATGGGAGTTAAAAGCAACACTCTAAGTGGATTAGACCTCCAGATTAACTTGAGTATCCTGTGTTGAAAGGCCTGGATTTTACTCTCCCCTGAGACCTTGAGGATTTACTAAGGACCTGTATTTCCAAAACTTCTACAGCAGCTGCCAGGCAGGCAATCCTATTGTTGAGAGATGGGGGCAGGGGGGAGTGAGAAGCCCCTCCTCTCCCTCTGATTTGGCCCCCTCACTTTGCTCTTTTGCAGAACCATCGCTGCTCCTGACCCCTTCTTCCATCCAGATAATCAGGCAGGCAGAGCGCTAGCAACACATGGCACAGGAGTTAGAGCCTGGCTTTTTCCTTGGAAGGGTGGTGCACTTCCTAGAGTGGGTAGGTCAAATAGTGAAGAAAGACCTACCTGGCACTGGATGCTGGGGTGTCAGAGGGCTTATGTATACAGCACCTTTGACATAACTAACTCCATCTTAGAAAAGACTCCATTTCATTTTTTTCTCAGGGCATTTTGCCAACAAGGATAAGATGTTTTGTTTAATAAACAAATAAAAACTAAAGACTGCATCCAACCACATAAGGACACAGCAAGCACACTCTTCCTCTAGCAGTCCTTACCAGAAGACTCTGTGTCCATCAAAGTCAGGCCTGCAGTGGCCTGGAACGGCCATCCTAACTGACACCATCTTCCGATCACCCACGATGACAGTGCGGGCATCTGCCTTGGAAGACTCTGCCCTCTTTCTTGCGAGACCGATGGACCATCAGGCCCAGGCCAGGACTCTTGTGGTCTTCTTCACTACCCCTGGACTGCTTCATTAACTCTTTCTCCTATTTCTTTTTCCTCTGATGTTAAATGTTACTTTGTTTATTGTGGAATGTTTAACCTATAACATTTATATATTGATTAAGTATACTGTGATGTATGGTTTGCAGTATTGACGGACCTGTGAAGTGGCTTGAGCCTGTGTGCCCACAGCTCTGAATCCCAAGTGAGCGGGACCTGCTAAGGAGAATGCCTCCTTGGGAACTCCATGTAACCTGTGGCTTTTGTGATTAAAATAGCATCAATAAAAGCCTGGCATTGTGGAAAGACCAAACATGTGTCGACCTGGTTATTTCTAACATTGCATTGCTCATGACAGCTTGTCTTTAGGAAACTTCTAGGGTTCCTAAAGTCTCTTGGTAAAAAGGTTGGAGGAATTCATTTGACATTACGGTCATAACAAAATATGGCATTGTACAAGGTCCCATAACTCATGACTGCCCTGATCATGCTAGTTTTCATGAGTGGAATGAAGTGGGGGGGAAGGTTGCATCCAGGGGCTCTTTAAGTGAGACTTTCTTTCTTTTTCTTTTTTCTCCCTGAGACGAAATCTTGCTCTGTCACCCAGGCTGGAGTGCAATGGCGCAATCTCTGCTTACTGCAACCTCCACCTCCTGGGCTCAAGCAATTCTCCTGCTTCAGCCTCCTGAGTAGCTGAGATTACAGGCACCCACCACCACGCCCAGCTAATTTTTGTATTTTTGGGAGAGATGGGGTTTCACCATGTTGGCCAGGCTGGTCTCGAACTCCTGACCTCAGGTGATCTGCCCACCTCGGCCTCCCAAAGTGTTGGGATTACAGGCATGAGCCACTGCACCTGGCCTCGAGTGAGACTTTGTAGGCTTCTGTAGGTTCTCTCTGTCATGGCAAAAACCTGAAGAGGAAGGAAGGGGACTTTACATTACTGCTTTCAAATGTGAAGGGCACAGGTGCAACTCACCAAGACTGAAGTTACTTGCAGGACATCCTGAGGGAAGAAGAGGCTTTTGTTGATTGCATTTTTTCCCCCACAATTCCTACTGAAAGGGCAAAGAATGGACGTGGCACTCACATTCATTAAGTTTCTACTGTGATTCAGGTGTTATAGGGACTTTCCCTGTGATTCCGTCGTGTATCCTCACAGCATCACTTGAAGTAGAGAAAGTTGAGTCCATTTTATAGATGAGAAGGATCTCAGTTGCGATAACTCAAGGAGTTTGCTGAAGATCCCTACTAATAGGTGGCTAAGCAGGATTCGAGCCCTAGAGTGTCAGATTTTACCCAGGTCTGACGGACTGTGGTTATGACCTCACTGTGCACTTATCAGACTAAGGATGTGGATTTTCCACTTCAGCCGTGGAGTCCACATTTGGCTCAGGGAACGCCGGCTCTGTCCCCACCTCTGCCTTTGCACATGGTGACCAGCTGTGGCTCTCGCCGGGGAAGAGATGGAGTGGAGCCAAAACTTCACATCAAAGACTCACAGGGAAGTGTGCACTGCTTCTTCCCGGATCTGGCCTCAATGGCATGCTTTTGGAGCTGTAAAAAATTAACCATGGCAAAAGGATTGGGGGAATCCTGTTGTGGAGGACAAAAACTGTTTTCCCAGCTTTGTCCAATCCAATTACAAATGGTGACAGGTAGGTAGGTAGGTGGTGGATAGTAAAAAAAATTTCAGAGGTTTCTTTATAGTAAGTTCTCAGGGCTTTCACTGAGAAGTGAAAGAATCCCTGACCAAACAGTAAAAACTGCTTAAAAATAAAAAAGCAGCGATCAAAGCAGTAGAAATTCTTAGTTGGTTAGCAGGGCCACGGAATGGGATAATTTAACCTATTTTTCAAAGAATTAGAATAGTATAAAATATACTTAACACAATCTATGGAATATAATCACTCAGAAACAAAAACCTATTGAGTAAACTCATTGTACCTTATTGTGCTTTGAGTAACCTCAGAGCTGCACAAGACTGCCAAGAGCTTTTAGTCCAGTGCGGAGACAGACATTTGAACAAGCACAGTCCCGAACAATTAGGACTACAGTTGCACTGTGGACCAATTCTATAGGAACAGAGGGGGCTGGAGGGTGGGGATGACTTTGATATTGTGATATTTTCGCTGAATGCTGAAGAATGACTGGGATGTCAGCAGGCGCAGCAGAGGGAGAGAGCATTTCAGGCTGAGAGAGCAACGTATGCAAAAATGTGAAAGCAAGAAGGGGCCTGATGTATTTGGTAACTGGCTTCAGGGCCATCATCCTGAGTATACGCGATCATACCTGATCATTCTCTCTGTTGCCAATGTAGAACATAGAATTCCAGTTTATTAGATGACACAACAAATTTTAATATAGGGTATTAGGATGCACAGATTTTGGATTTAAACAGACTTGGGTTAGAATCATGGCTCTGTGACATCATTCATTCATCATTCATTCATTCAGATACATAATATGCTTGGTACTGCATAGACTGAAATTAGTTAAGACATAGCATATGCCCTTAAAGATCTGCAAGTGCAGAAGTGGAGTGATGTGCAGATAGATACGAGGTGATGGGGAGGGGTGCTTTCACAGAGCCTATGTGAAGGCAAGTGGTGAAGTCAATGACTTCGAGAAGGTGGTTCCTGACCTGAGTTGTAAGCTTGACTGAGGCTAGGAGATAAGAGGAGGGTAGGAAAAGAGTGGGAGGGGAGTAATACAAAGACGGGGCAGAGAAATGAGGATGAGGAACAACCTCTGTTCAGGAGGAACAGCAAACAAGGCTATGTCCCTGGAGTGCAAGGGGCGAGCGGGGAACAGCAATAAATGAAGTCAGGTGAGCATGAGCAGGAGCTCTGTGAAGCAGGTTAATGGTTTCGCTGTGGCTGAATATTGGTATTACCCTAGAGAGTTTTAAAAAACTATGAACGTTCAAGCCCTACTACAAAAGATCCTGAGTTAATTGGACTGGTTGAGGCCGTGTTGCTTGTTTTTTAAGCTACCTGGGTAACTGAGGTGTACTCACAGTTGAGAACTGCTGCTGTGGGAACTTGGAGGCCATTAAAGAGTTTTAGAGTTTCTAGTAAAGGCACAGCACAGTCAGCACTGAAACATAGAAGCAACCTTCTGATGGAAGTCTGGAGGAAAGGTGGAGTGGGAGGTAGCAATATAAGGGAACACATTTAGGAAACCATTGTCCACAGGAATGGACAACTCGAGATTACAAGGGCCTGATTTAAGGCAGCAGTTCCAGGAATAGACAGGCAGGAATATTTGAGAAATATTGAAGAAGTAAACTCAGGCCAGGCCCGGTGGCTCACACCTGTAATCCCAGCACTTTGGGAGGCTGAGGCGGGCAGATTAACCCTAACCCAGGTTAATCCTGACCTAAGGTCAGGAGTTCATGACGAGCCTAGCCAACATGGTGAAACCTCATCTCTACTAAAAATACAAAATTAGCTGGATGTGGTGACAGGTGCCTGTAATTCCAGCTACTCAGGAGGCTGAGGCAGGAGAATCGCTTGGCAGAGGTTGCAGTGAGCCGAAATCGTGCCATTGCACTCCAGCCTGGGAGACAAGAGGAAAACTCCATTAAAAAAAAAAAAAAAAAAAAAAAAAAGGAGGTAAAATCAGCAGGAGTTGATTGATGATATTGCTGGAGAGGATGATGAGAGAGGATTCAAAGACAATTCCCACACTTATTGCTTGAATTTCTGGTAGGATGACAAATAAAATAGAAAACACCCAGTTAAATCTGTATTTCAGATAAACAGTGTAAGTATACCCCATGTGATATTTGAAACAAACTATACAAAATAAAATCATATCCCCATTTGAATCTGACAATCCTAGCCTCCAAGGTGGAAACATCAACTAAACAGAGAATACAGGAGTAGGGAATGCTCTGGTGTTGTGTTGATGACATATCCAGATTTGGACTTGTTATCTTTGTAATGTGAAGGTGGAGACAGCCAGTTGGCAGCTGGATGTTTAAGTCTGAAGTTTGGCAGGGATGTCCCGGCTGAAATCATCCGTATATTTTTGTAAAAATTGAAACCAGCGATGTGGCTGAATTTTCTAAGGCACACTAGGTAGAGTGAAAGAGGAGTAGTAGCCCAGGGTAGAACCCAGCTTTCTAGGTGAATTTGAGCAAATCATGTAATTTCCCTAAGCTTTAGTCTCCCATCTGTAAAATGGGGAATAAGGAAACACATGTCATAAACTGTCTTAGTCCATTTTGTGTTACTATGATGAAATACTTAAGACTGGGTAATTTATAAAGAAAAGAGGATTGTTTTCCTCACAATTATGGTGGCTGGAAAGTTCCAGAGCATGATGCTGTTATCTGCTTGACTTCTGGTAAGGGCTGCTGTGCTAAGCAGAAAGGCAGGTGGACATGTTCAAAGAGGCACACACAAGAGGCTGGGCTTAACTTGTAACAACCCGCTGTTGGGAGCTAATCTAGTTCTGAAGGAGTGAGAACTCACTGACTTCTGTGAGGTAGTGTTAATCTACTCATAAGCGTGGTGCCCCATGACCCAAACACCTCCTACTAAGCCCCACCTCCCAACACTGCCATATTGAGGGTTAAATTTTAACATGAATTTCTAAGGGGAAACTCAAGTACAGTCATGAATTCCTTAATGATGGGGATATGTTCTGAGAAATGCATCATTAGTCTATTTCATCACTGTGTGAATATCGTAGAATGCACTTACACAAACCTACATAGTACAGCCAACTACCCACCTAGGCTTCAGGGTATGGCCCATTGGCCCTGGCTACAAATCTGTACAGCAGGTTACTATCTTGAATACTGCAGGCAGCAGGAACACAGTGGTAAATGTTTGTGTATCTAAACATACCTCAATATAGAAAAGATACAGTATGCATGTGGTATTATTATTTTATGGAACCACTGACATATATGTGATCTGTCATTGACCAAAATGTTGTTGTGTCGCACATGACTATATAATACCATGTAAAAGACTCTAGGTACCTTGCCTCGTTTTTACTTTCATTATTAACATAATTCTTGTCATCAATATCACTTAAATAGGTCATAAAACCAGTAAGGAAAAGATAAATCAGCGTATGTAAAGACAAATAAGTCAAAATATTACCAAAATAATATTCTTAATAAGACATAAAGGTGAAAGACAATGAAAATAAAAACAAGGTCTCCAAATGCGCATTATTTTCTGTAGTTCAAATAATAAGAGAAATCAAAAGGGTGAATCCTCTAATACAATAATCTCAATTTTTACCACACTCAGCCAAAAGGCTGAGAAGCGATTCTCAATTTTTACTGAGTTTATTTTCCAAAAGATGCAGTAAAGAACAATAATTTGCAATCCCCAAACCACCTACCAACAATGTCTTTAACAAAAAGTTTATTTTCTTTTTCTTTTGGCTTTTGGGAAGCAAATGTTTGAATATATAAGTAATATTATTTTTCTACAGCAGGAGAAAGAATGTTAATTGTCTGAATTGACCTATAACTGTATACACGTTGGGCATATGCATGTACACACACACATGCACACTCGCACGCACACATGCAAGCACACTCGCACGCGCATATGCACATATACATCCCTGATCTCCCTTCAGACTTGTCCGGACATGTTGACCACACAGTAACTCACTGTTCTGTACATACAGAAAGAAGTGGGACCACCAGGGCTTTTCAATCTTGTGCCAAAGGTGGGAAATATATGCCCCAATGAAAAGAAAAGAGAACAAGAAATATTTGGAAAAAACGCAAGAAACTAATTCATCAAAGGACTCCATCTAGCCCATCTTGCATACAGTAAACAGGTTTAGAAAACTCTATCTTGTCATATCTCAAACAATTATTTCAAGCTTCTATTTAATAAACATTTCCTGTTTGTACTTTAAATGTGTAACATCCCTACCCATTTCATCTGTCAGTCAAATTGCCAACATTTATTAAGTAACCTCAAAGTGCCTAAAACGATTATAACAAATAACTGTCAAGGAATGCAGAAGAAACACGACTTAGAGCCAGGCTCTGAGCTTCTGAGTTGAGAGTGGGGGCGGGAATGGGAGAAAGAGGTTGAGTTTAATTTATGAAAAGTTTCAAGATCCCTCCATACTAATGCATAGAGAGAAACACAGAAGACACAGGTAGCAGCGGCTTCCTTCATTAGATCATTTGATCATTTATTTAATGCCAATAGGCATTAAGACCAACCCGGAGTTTGGCCCTGTGAAGGGGAACACAGAGGCAGACAGGCAGATAACCGACTTCCTATTATGCAGTGTGGTAGGGCTCTACTTAATGAAAAGAACAAAGTACTAAGAGAGAAGACCTTTGGATTAATTCTGCCTGGGTGGGTACCAGAAGGCTTATACTGAATTTTCCAGTTGGTTGCTCATATAGTCTTGAATTTAGAGGATTTTTTTTTTAAAAAAAAACAAGCCCATTGCCTGATTTGTTATGGTTCAATACTCTTCCGGCAGAGTTAGTCCCACCTCCCCTAGGCAGCCCCCACACTTACTTCACGCCTCCATTATGGTGCAATTCTTTGTGTCTGTCTGCAGGGCTACCGCTGAAATCATGGGTTGTGCTTCATTCCTGTCTGCCTTCCCAGCACTGAGTACAAGGCATACAGTGGCTGTTTCTTACACATTTTTCTGTTTGAAGGAAGGAATGCCAGTGTGGAACTACTCCAGAAAAGAAGAGTCCTTAGGGTGGTCCCTTGAAGTGGGAATTCTTCCCCTCACCCTCTACCCCTACGCACACTTTCTTTTTGCTAAATGAAGGACAACCTAGATATTTGGAAGTCCTTGGGGCCAGAACGTGTGATACGATGAGTTGTCAGTTCCACATCTTTGCTGGGCAGGGATAGCTAGGGTAAGAGGAGAAATGAGTTGGATTCCAATGACAAAATGATGGCTCAGCAGAGAGTAACAAGCTTAACCAATGAATTACAATTGCAAGAGGGGTTTCCTATTATTTCACACTGTCATAAACCATTGATAGGCCCATTAAGAAGGCCTCAGCCCAATTGTTTAATTCTCAGTTCATGATCAGGATTCATTAAGAAGCCATCATTATATCATAAGCCAAGAGGCCATACTGTTGCTCTTCTGTTCTTATTCTTTTGTCTTTTCCTATCTAGGGCTCTAAACATTCTTCAGAAACACACAAACAAACAAAATGTAATGAAGTAAACAGCATTCAGTAAGGCACATAAAAAGATAAAAAAACAAACATGCCAGATTTCCTTTCGTAAAAACTGGTTTAGAAAGGTCCGATTTGAAAAACTCTTTGGGAACTATCATCACATGTCAGTAATCATTTCACTTTGTTTAACAGAGAAACAAAACACACTTTTGGTTTAATTAATAAAGCAGCATGGAAGAAAATGCTGAAGAGGAAGAAAGGTGATGATACAGACTCAGATCACGTTGTACTTTCTTTCTTTCTGCATAGTATGTCTGTCTTCTTTAATTATTCATCTGATGTAATCATAACAACTGTGTGTATGGAACCAATAAAAGATTTCCAAATATCTTCAGATCTGCAGTTTATTCTGAAGTCCAGATATCATTATCATTTGCTCTGTGCCTCTTTCTTCATGGAGTCAAACTTGTGTCTGGCACTTTCCAGACTTCTAGACACAATTAAACAATGGATGTCAGGAAAGGAAGGAGTGAGAATCTTCCACGTGTGTCTAACCTTCCCATGCTCACAGACAAAAACGTTAGTTTTCATCTTGGGCCAGGCCCTCAACCTCAGTATCTTTTTCCCATCCCACACATTAGCATTGGGAGAAAGAATAAAAGGGAAAAAGAAGACGTAAAATACCAAGAGCAGTTTTCCCACTGCGGAAGAGGCCACCATGACAGAGGAGGGCTCTTCCTGCCATATTTGTAGTGACCCTCCTTTTGCCTATAATAGGTTGAATGGTGGTTCCTGCCTCCGGTCTCATCCTTCTCCCACTTACCCTTCCTGTATCACTGCCAGCATCTGTACAATAGGAAAATATCCATTCTCAGTCCCAGTTTAGCCTCCTGTGAGTCCTCATCAACTGTAGAGCCCAGGCCAGCCTTTTTAGTTGGTGACCTCACTCCCAACCCAGCATCCAACCCGTCTCCATGCCAGCTCTTCTCCAAGGTGCTGTCCTTTTATACAAAATCCTGCTCCACATTCTATTCCAGCCTGTTGAAATGGTTTCTCCTTTCTCTCTTGCTGGTGATAATTTTTTCTAGGCCCTGTATGAGTGTCTCCTGAAGTCTGTCCTTTAATCTCTCCCCCTAACATGTAGCTGGCCCAGACAGCAAAACGTAAAACAAAACAAAACCCTTTTCAGATAGAGCAGTGAGGGGCTATTGCTTATCTGTTGTGTGCGTCTAATTAGGATCCTAGAATTTCAGTTTTCCAGATGAGACAGGGTCTTCTTTATCCAGGTATCTATATCAAAATTACCTTGATGGGTTTTGTTAAAGGAATACTTGATTAAGAAAGCCAAGACTTTTTTTTATTCATGAATTGTTGAAATAAATAAATAAATGAATGAATAAGTTCATAAATTCATGGTTAAAGCTAATCAAGAAAAAATACATCACTGGCGATAGACTCATGTCAAATCCTCTGAAACATTTTAAATAAATATGTACATTCAATTTGGAATTGAAAAATGCCTATTGCCACCATTAATAAGAACATTTTTGAATTAAAAGAAGTAATGGGCCAGGCGTGGTGGTTCATACCTGTAAGCCCAGCACACTGGGAGGATCACTTGAGCCTAGGGGTTTGAGACCAGACTGGGCAACAGAGTGAGACCCTATCTCTACAAAAACAAAACTTAACCAAGCATGGTAGTGCA
This sequence comes from Homo sapiens, assembly GCF_000001405.40. Lineage (NCBI taxonomy): Eukaryota > Metazoa > Chordata > Mammalia > Primates > Hominidae > Homo > Homo sapiens. Next base: position 10,212,789 of record NC_000018.10, read on the forward strand.
CACCTGTAGTCCCAGCTACTTGGGAGGCTGAGGTGGGAGGATTGCTTGATCTTGGGAGGTTGAAGCTGCAGTGAGCTGTGATCACACCACTGCACTCTAGCTTGGATGACAGCGTGAGGCACTGTCCCTAAAAGAAAAAAATAAGGAAGACACATTCATTTATATACTCTCTACATGTATGTGTATATATATATAAGAAATGTATGTGTGTGTATGTGTGTGTATATATCTCTTCCTTTGGAAAACATAAAACCATTATTTTAAAGTTAATCTTATGACTTTTTAATTATATATTCAACAAATTAAAGTTTACTAGCTTCCAGTTGTGTTCAAATTATTTATGCAGATCTTGATTAGTTAAACAAAATTTACCAGACGGGGAACATGATTCATATTTATAAAGGCAAAATGCAACTAAATTATAGTAGTTTTTTAAATATCCAACTCTTCAGAACCAAACTTTCAAAATCAGGTTTCTATTTTTATTTTTCAATAAAAAGTTTTGAAGATTTTAACTGACCCATGATTTTGAGAATACTATGGAGTATTAACACAGATAAACTCATTTCAATGGATACGAATTAATCAAAGGTTTGTCTGGACTATTTTCATGTCCTCCCAGGAATTCTACAGTAATGGTAATTTTTTTGTTCCTTGCAATGAATAATTCAACTTTCTCAGTTACTATATCTTTAATAGTCATTCAGAAATAATTTAAGATTATGTGGCATTTGTCAAACAAAGGAAGACTGATAAAACCAAGAAAGGTAGTGATCTGAGTTAATTATTTTTCTGTTTGCTCTAAAGAAAAGCAAACTCTTTAAATTCTTACAGATATCACTCAGCCACAAACCACACCCCTCAGAAAACACACAAGAAATCCATAGCCACTTAAAAACACAAAACCAACGTGAAGCAATCCTGATGCTTAAGAGGCAAAGCTGCTTGGTTCCACTTCCTGTTTCTAACTGTTGTTGACAGAGTACGTGACATGTGATTTCTGGCTCAGTATACTACAACAAGGGAATCATAGCCTACAGAAGACCCTTGAGAAACACAAAACGGTGTGGTTGCCCTGTGGAGTTTATTCACCTGGGGTTTGTCCTCAGCACCTGGGAAGCATCAGGAATACACCAGCTTCTCAGAGGCAGGGGATAAAAACAGTCTTGTGAAATATTCTCCTTCTCCTTCCCAAAAAAGTACCTGTGGAAGCTTAAAATAATAATTAAAATAATCTCAGAAACCTTGAGCTAAGGCTGGATTCAGAAAATTGTGTACACTCCTACATGTACACAGAACTTAGAGACATCTTTCTCATCTCCTTCCCAAGAGAAATAGATCTGTGGCTATCAGCACTCATTAATTAAATTAATTATTTATCATACCTTCAACAGAATCAATTGTCTTTTATAGAAGTGAAATCTTCCAAAATCCAAGATAAAATGAAACCATTTTTAATGGCTGTACATAAATATTGAAGTGATTTTTGTATTCATTTAGGGTAGCTCTCTTGCTTTATGATTCTCCTGTGTTAGTGTCACTAGGCATTTTTTAAAGCTCTAAAATATTTTCCTATAATTTGCATTTATACTATAAATAAAAATACATTTCAATTTTTGAAATAGAATGTATTTTATAATCATTTCCATCAAACAAATGTTACAGCTAAATTCTAAGTCAATTAAAAATACTTATGTAGAAGATGTATTATAAGCCTCCATGAGAAGTTTTGAGACTAGTCAAGGTTTAAAGTGTGACCCCAATAATTAAAAGGTCTTCAGTCAAAGTCACGTGAGGTCTCAGAAATCGGCCAGCAAAAATCCTTTATAAGAAAGGAGGCTGAGATGCTGTTGACTTTTAGAGCTTATTTTCACATCAGCAGAAAAATCCCAGAAGGTCATGTTAGAAAAGGAAGAAAAAGAAACCCAATGTCATAACCCAATGTCAAGACTCAAGAAGTCTTGAGCTAGGAATGAAATAGGGGACCTGGGTTTTGTTGTACTTCTGACTCTTAATAGTGTGTGATCCCGGCAAGTTAGCCAGGGCAGGCCCCAGCCCTATCACCTCTAGGGTGTGTGACCTGAGAAGAGTTCTTTGGACTCTGTGCTTTCATGTTCTGGTCTGTGACACGGGTACAGAAGTGCTACCAACTTTGAAATTGTGATGATCGAATAATGCATTTCAGGAAGAACCTTCAGCAGAGTGCTTGACATAGAGCAAGTAACAACATATGGGCGAAGAATAATTTCCCAGGTCAAAGGAGCCTCTTGGCTTTGCTCCTCTGACCTGGGCTTCCGGGCCTCCTGTTGGTTCGGGCTTCATCTGTGTTAGGATGGCCAGGGAAGTCACCTGTCGGTTCGGGCTTCTTCTGTGTCAGGATGGCCAGGGAAGTCACCACGTGGCTTCACAGGTGCAGAATACAGGGGTAAGGTGATATTTACATGGGTTACAGGGTTTTTAGGATTGATAGGATGGTATTTGTGTTTTAGGGAGTTAATGAAGGTATATGTGAGGTAACTCTGTAGGGAGAGACTGGGGAGGCAAGACCTGTGAGACTGCTGCAGCAGATGTGTAGGAGAGGGTGGGTAGAGATGAGACAGTGTTTTAAATTGGATTCTAATTAGGTATGGGGAAGGAGGGAGAGGAAAGGGGCTCCCTCTGCAGTTCATGCTCCCACTGTCACTAGATGTGTTTGTCACATCCCTGTTTACAAAGCCTTCTATGGCATCCTGTTGCCCATAAGATAAACAGCAAGCATCTTAGCATGGCGGGATCCAGGTGCAGACCTTTTGAGCCACCCGCTGCCCCCAGCCTCCATGGACATCGTCTCAGTCACATTGGGTTGTTCCCTCCTCTCTGAGCTTTGCCCAGGCCACTTCCTCTCCCAGAGTGTCTCTGATGCCTGTTTCCTTCTTCTCGTCTGGTAGAATTCTCGTCAGTGTACATAATGCAGCTCACACCTCACCTTTTGATGTGTCCCCACTCCCATCCCCTCACTGGGTCAGAATGAATGGATTTGCTCTGCCGATACTTTGTTCATAGAGATGGCTGAGCCACATTAGAGGTGGTGAGATAGGTGACTTTCTCATATCAGATCATAAGGTCTTCAAGGACAAAGGGATGATCATATCCATCTGTGCATCTTTCCATAGAGCCAGAGCTTGAGGAGTTAGTAGAAGGGAAGGAATGGAAGTCTGGCCCTGGAGGACAGGCCTCATGTAAGAAGGGTGGACGATGGGTGTCCCATTTCCTTAATGGACTGGGCAGTGGTGGTGGTGGAGGGGCCAGGCTGAGAGAGTGTGAAGGAAAGTGTGAGGGTAGAGCAGGTACAGCAAAGTCCAGGGGTCTTAGAACCCCGATGTGCAGATATATCCAGGGATGAGGGTCATTTGCAGGTAGAAAAGACGAGGAGGAAGAACTTGCAAAGGCTGTTACTGGGGAATATGTCTTGGGCTCTTGGAAGGCCCTAAAGGTGAAAAAGATCCCCTGGAGGAGTCCGGGACGGATGGGACTGATTTTCTTTCTAACACGGAAACTCCCTGTAGCTGGCCATGGCATTCAGTAATCCATGGGACATTTCCCATCTGTTTTGTACTATAGAAGTGGCTTCTACAGAAAACATCAAACATAATCTTTTTAAAGTGCAACATTTAAGTTTTAATTGTGTATTTGCATCTGAGTGTCTCTTTGATATTTGACTAAAGTAGGTTATAAGATACCTATACGTTCATTTATATTTATATCTATACCTCTATTTATCTATCTATATCCCTATAAACATCTACTCGAAATCATGTGGCAATAACCATTTTCTCTTCAATTTTATTGTACATCAGATCAGAATGGCTTTGAGCCTAGAGTCCCCAAAGGCTTAAACTATTTATTGCTGTTGGAAACCACCAGAGTTAGGATTATATTCAAAAGAGTAACCTTTTCTTTTCTTTTGGGTGGGTGAATAGGATGACCCAAAAGATTAAGTTCTAGAACATTTAATTCATTTGTTTCTCTCTTTTCAGAACTCATGGTGGCATGTTGCTGGAGCTGTAAGCTCACATTATGTTTCAAAACAGGCTGGTGACCCAGACCCTTCACTGCCCGAGAACAAAGCCCAAGCAAATCACAGCTGGGCAGTTACCCTGTGTGTGGTGTATCAGCCCAAACTCTGAGGCTTGTCTTAGGCTCCGGACAATTGCCAACAGTGTTTACTGCTATTTTGAAACATCAGCTGGCACTCAGGCACCTCACATGCTGTTTTCTCTTTGTTGTAGGAAAACATTATTTTCCCTCTAGGAGTGACTTGCCATGTGTCAGAACTCTGCCCCAGTTTGTCTGGTTGAGAAATTTGGACAGAGAAATGGGAAATGAGAGGGAGGAAAGAAGGCAGAATGGCAGATGGGGTAGAAGAAAGAAATGCCTGTTGATCCATAGTTCTGCCTATGTAGAACCCTGCTACAGTTTGCGTATGGTTTGTTCATCCCCACCAAAACTCATGTTGACATTTGATTCCCCAATGTGGTGGCACTGGAAGTGGGGAATAGTGGGAGATGTTTGGGTCATGAGGGTGCATCGCTCATGAATAGAGTAATGCCCTCCTTTGGGGAGTGAGTTCTCACTCTTGTGGGACTGGATTAGTTAATGTGAGAGTGGGTTGTGCCTTCTCATGTTTGCTGTCTTGGCAGCCACCCTCTTCCTCTTCTGTCTCCTACCATGAGATGAAGCAACATGGGGTTCTAATAGATAATCTACCTGATCTTGGACTTCCCAGCCTCCAGAATCATGAGCCAAATAAACACTTTTATTTATACATGAGCCAATCTCAGGCATTCTGTTATAGCAACACAAAATGAACTAAGACAACCCTTCTTTAGTACTATCTTAATAAACCATGCTCAGTGCCTGCCATGTCCAATCTCAGTATTAAAAGAAAAGAAGAGTAGGTGTCTTTGCAGGAACGATATCTGGGTCCTGACTCAAAGAGTATCTTGCTGCTATTTTGTTGCTGGGTCAGGTGGGGGTGGTGGCAGTGGAACCACAGCCTTGGCCTTCTTACTCCAGGCATTTGAGGCATTGGTGGTGGGTCTGTGTGGGTGTTTGTACCTTATCCTGTGCTGTCACCACGCCTGGTTGCTGCCCCTCTGGCATTGTGCTGGCATGTCAACCTCTGAGCCTTGCTTGCACTATTCTCTTTACCTGAAATGCCCTGGTCAGCCCTCCATTTGTTGACGTTTGAAAATCCCTTAAAGTCAATCTACAATGTCTCCTTCCCACGGATTTTTCACCTCAAGTGCCGTAAGAATTAATCTCTCCTTCATCTGTGTTTCCAGACCATTTCCTGTACATCACTTTTTGTCACAGGGAATTACAGTAGGGAATTCCATATGAACTTGTTTATTCTATCATAAACCCTTCTTGGATGGAGATCATGGGATGTTTTCATTTCAATCTTCAGCACCAAGCACGCTGCCTGGGGCACAGGATTTGTGGAATGAATTGCTGTTCAAGGTTAGTCGTTCTTGCTTACTCCAAAATAGTCTGCTATTTTCTTGATTAGTCAGTTGTGAGCAGAAGTAATGTTGTACACTGCATATTGATAAAAACAACAAAGGACTAATAATTATCATTGCATTGGTTGAATCTGACATTTTCCCCACTTGTTCTCCATCTTTCTCAAGCTAAGAATTTCAAAAAAGCCCGCAGAACTGAAAAACTTGTACAAAGGTTTTCTCTAGACAGGCTCTGGCACATGTTCTACAGCAAGGTGCTCACCTGACAGGCTGAAAGAGGAGGGAGGCTCCTGTTCCATCAGGCAGATAAGCCCACTATACCCCTGCCCCCAACTGGTAATTACAACTAAGGCTCCTGGGCAAAATACAAAACAGTGATTTGAGGATTTTGAGAAGTAAACAAGAACAGGCAGATTGCAGAGTGGAGTTAAAACTTGGAGAAATGACCTTACACAGCAGTGGGTCCCAGTCATGGAGTCCCTAAAACTTTAATGGAAACTCCATCCTTCTTGCTAGAGGAACTAGAAAAGGGATCCCCCAAAGATTAAAAAGGGAGCAGATAATTGCGGAGGAAAAAACCAAGAGGACCCCTTCTAATTCTGTGTATGAATCCACACAGCCTCACCCCTGAACTACCCATGCAAAGGACAGACACAAACCGGTGAGTGTAACCAGGGTACTAAATTCCTGCAGCTGTTGTAAAAGTTTCCACAAACTTGGCGGCTTAAAATGACAGAAATTTATTTTCTCACAGTTCTGGAGGTCAGAAGTTTAATTTTAATTTTTATTAATTGTACTTCATCAATATTACTTTTTTTCTTCCAAAGAAAAACTGTAGTTTTTCTTGTTAGATATCAATTTTAATTTTTATTAATTGTACTTCATCAACATTATTTTCTTTCTTCCAAAGAGACAATTAAGGGCATGCAAAAGTCTCCTTCAGAGTAGGAGAAAATATCAAACAAAGGTTTTGTGTAGAAAGTATATTAGAATTCCTATATATCAATTATAAAAATACAAACAACTCAAAAGAAAACTATTTGGACACTTAGAGAAGAAGGTTTGTAAGACACTTACAGATGCCTAGCAAGCACATGAGATGATGCTGAACATAATTTGTGTCAGGTAAAGATCAATGAAATGTAAGATGAACTACCATTAAGCACCCATTAGATTGGCTGCAATGAAAGAGACTGAGCATTCTAAGTGCAGATGAGGATGTGGAGCAACTGGAACTCTCATGCACTTCTGGTGGGAATGTAAAATGGTACAATTACTTTGGAAAACACTTTGGCAGTTTCTTTAAAAGTTAAACATACCTATCCTATGATCTGATCCACCCAGTCTTTCCATTTCTAAGTCTTTTCAAGAGAAACAAAAACATATGTTGGCACAAAAACTTGGGCATGAATGTTCATAGCAGCTTTATTTGAAGTAGCCCCAAATAGGGAGCCACCCAAATGTTCTCTGTAAGGGTAAATGAAAATGATTTTCTCCATTTATAAAATGTGAAGAGACTGTTTTCCTTTCCCCTCTTTTCTTAGTGTCTTCTTGGAGACATAGTGAATTGGGGTCCTTTTTCTGACCTTTGGAATAGAGAGGTACCTCTTAGGGATTGAGCCCAATCTCCAGTGTGCCAAGACTAGCTCGGTCATGGAGAGCCTAACCCAGCAGTGCTAGAGGAATTAAAGACACACATAGAGAAATATAGGGTGTGGAGTGGGAAATCATGGGTCTCACAGCCTTCAGAGCTGAGAGCCCTGAAGAGAGATTTACCCACATATTTATTGACAGCAAGCCAGTGATAAGCATTGTTTCTCTAGATTATAGATTTACTAAAAGTATTCCTTACAGGAAACAAAGGGATGGGCTCTGGCTAGTTATCTGCAGCAGGAGCATGTCCTTAAGGCACAGATCACTCATGCTATTGTTTGTGGCTTAGGAACACCTTTAAACCATTTTCCGCCCTGGGTGGGCCAGATGTTCCTTGCCCTCATTCCAGTAAACCCATAACCTTCAGCGTGGGTGTCATGGCCATCATGAATATGTCACAGTGCTGCAGAAATTTTGTTTATGGCCAGTTTGGGGGCCAGTTTATGGCCAGATTTGGGGGCCTATCCCCAGGATGTCCCCCTTCTTGTTTTTCCAAGGCAATAAAAGCAAAGGCAGCTTTATTGTGGTGAGCTACTTCTCTCAGGAGTCAGGATCTTCATCTGCAGACTTCAGAAAGACAAACAACACAGATTAAAAGCACAATCATCATTGAAATCATAAAGCCTCCAAGTGTTTTTTATCTATTTTATTGGGTTACTAGCTGCTAATCCATCTGCAGCTCCTTCAAGCACTTCAGTTCCTGGCATTAAGGTCAGGTGTGCCTGGGATGCTTTAAATATTTGTTCTTTTAATTTTGCAATATCCAAAGACAAGTTTGTAGAGTGTCCTTCTAGACGCTTTTTCATTTTTTCCCAAATTTTGATCTTATTAAGAGCCATTAATAGTTTCCACAAATCCTTATGTTTAGCTGCTACAACAGGCCATATCATTTGAGGTTGAGGTGCCACTATACCACCATGTTTCCAGATAATAGGAACTCTTGCTGTATTTCTTACCATTTCTACCATCTGACTGTTTTGTTTAAACCAACTGAACATAATGTGGCTGTGTCATGCAGACTGAGAGGTGCAATTCAAGCTAAACATCCCCTTAGGGGACTAATCAATAATGATTCCATATGAATCATTGAGCAGCACCTCTGCCTGTTCTGCAATTCAATCTTCCCAAATGAGTATATTCATTATTTCTGGCCAGGTCCAATTCTGTTTACAAATAGGTTTTTGAGGGGGATATGCCTCAATTATAGGAGCAGATTTATTATGGTAAATACTGAGATCAGAAAGCATGTGTAACTGTGTCATAGAGTGATTACATCCAGGCATTATTGCCAGCCAAGATTGATAAATATGCCCAATAAGTATAATTGTTCTCTGTGTCAGCCCTTGTTGAAGGAATACTCATGGCAATGGTGATCACTGCTACCATAGCTATCATTAAATTACTCATTGTGACTGGCTGTCCCACTTTCCTCAGGTTTTCTTCCACCATCTGTGACAGCTTCCTGATCTGTCCCCAGGTAGGTGGCTGTGTTTGACGGATGTTGCTCGTGACAGTTGGGGTCCTCCTCAGCGTCAGTCTCAACATGGCTGCAACCAGGGGATTCCTCGGGATCCTCCGGGAATCTCTTCCTCAGCATTTAGCTCATGATAAGGTTTCAGGTGTCTTGATGGTATCCGAATTGGCTGTTGATTCTGGCCTGGAGAAACACAAGCATAACCTCTACCCCAAGTTATTATTTTACATATTTCCCAACTTTTTGTTATCGGATCTCTCCACCAAACCAGTTGTTCTGCTTCTGTCTTTGCAGCTGGTTTCTGTAGATGATGTTCAGCTGCTGATAGCATCTGGCCTTTAGGCAGGCTCAAAAAATTTAAAGTCAATAATGCTAGACTAAATTGTGTATGGGGTGTCCTGTAATCCCTATTTCCCCCTTTTTGCTTTTGCAACTGCTGTTTCAGGGAGAGATTCATTCTTTCTACAATGGCTTGTCCTTGAGAATTATATGGGATACTAGTAATGTGTTTAATATTCCATATAGAGAAAAATGTAGCTAGAACTTGGCTAGTTTAGTCTGGGGCATTATCTGTTTTAATCGAAGTTGGAATGTCCATCACCACAAAACACTGCAAATGGTGACATTTAACACAGGCAGAAGACTCTCCTGACTGGAATGCAGCCCAGAAAAAATGAAAAAAGGTGTCCACACATATGTGTATATAAGCTAATCTCCCAAACGAAGAAACATTTGTGACATCCGTTTGCCAAAGAGAATTAGGTTCCCATCCTCAAGGATTAACTCCTCCTGTAAAAGATGAGGAATGCACCATTTGGCAAGTGGGGCATCGCTGGATAATAGCTTTAGCTTCTTTCCAGGTAATGCTGTATCTGTGTTTGAGACCAGAGACACTAACATGGGTTAAATTGTGAAAGTGTCTAGCATTAGATATTGCAGTAGCAACTAGGCAATCAGCCATTTGATTCCCTGCAGTCAAAGGTCCTGGAAGAGGTGTATGAGCCCTAATGTGAGTGATGTAAAAAGGTTGCATTCTACTCCTGACTGCTGTTCGCAATTGGGTAAATAAAGTCATCTGTTGTTCATCTGTGTGAAATCATAACTGAGCATTTTCAATTAATTGTTTGGAATGAACCATGTAAGAAAAATCAGAAATCACATTAATAGGCATTTTAAAAGCAGTCAGTACCTCAGTTACAGCTACAAGCTCCACTTTTTGAGCTGAAGTATAGCGTGTCTGAAAAACTTTACATTTCGACACAGAATAAGAAGCTTTACCATTACTAGACCCATCTGTGAAGACATTTTCGGCACCTTCAGTTGGTTTAAATTTAGTTATTTTAGGGAGAATCCAATTAGTTAATTTCAAAAATTGAAACAGTTTCGTTTTAGGAAAATGATTATCGAGAATATCCACAAAGTCAGCTAAATGGGTTTGCCAAGTAAGACTATTTATAAAAGCTTCCTGTATTTGTGCCTTCGTGAGAAGGACAATAATTTTTCCAGGATCATATCCATGTAATTCAACAATCTGAGTTCTCCCATTTCCTATCATAGTAGCGATTTGATCCAAATAAGGAGTTAGAGTCCATGAATTAGTATGTGGAAGAACAAGCCACTCTACAAGATCTTGATCTTGAACAATAACAGCAGTAGATGAATGCTAAGTTGGAAAAGTTGGCAAATCTAGAATCTTCTCTGGATCTATTCTATTTATTTGAGCTTTATGGACTTGCTTTTCGATTAGCTGCAGCTCTGCCTCAGCTTCTTTTGTTAATTGCCGAGGGCTAGTGAAACTAGGATCTCCTCTGAGGATGGAAAATAGATTACTCATGGCATAGGTAGGAATGCCTAGGGCAGGTCATATCCAATTAATGTCCCCTAGTAATTTTTGAAAGTCATTTAATGTTTTCAGTTGATCCCTACATATGGTTACTTTCTGTGGCACAATGGTAGTGTCATTTACTAAGGTCCCCAAATAGGAGTAAGGAGTAGTAGTCTGAATTTTTTCAGGAGCTGTAATTAAACCAGCACGAGAAATCGAGTTTTGCAAGTGATCATAACACTGGAGTAATATTTCTTGAGTGGGGGCAGCACAAAGTATATCATCCATATAATGAATAATGTAACACTGTGAAAATTTTTTACAAGTAGGTTCAATTGTTTGTCCTACCTACATAAGTCTGGCAAATTGTTGGACTGTTTAACATGCCTTGTGGCAACACTTTCCAATGAAAACGTTTAGCAAGCTGCTGGTTGTTTACTGCAGGAATTGTAAATGCAAACTGTTCACAGTCTTGCTCAGCTAAGGGGATGGTAAAGAAACAGTCTTTTAAATATATGACTATTAAAGCCCAATTTTTTGGAAACATAGCAGGAGAAGGCAGTCCTGGCTGCAATGTCCCCAGAGGTTGTATAACTGAATTAATGGCTCTTAAGTCAGTTAACATTCTCCATTTACCTGTTTTTTTTCTTAATTACAAAAACTGGGGAATTCCAAGGGGAAAATGTTGGAGCTATGTGTCCTTTTTCTAATTGTTCAGTAACTAAGTCCTCTAAAGCCTCTAGGTTCTCTTTACTTAGCGGCCATTGTTCAATCCAAATTGGCTTATCTGTTAACCATTTTAAAGGTATAGGTTCTGGAGGCTTAACAATGGCCGACATCAAAAATGGTATCCTAAACCTTGGCAGGAACTTTGTCTTTCCACTTGAAGTGGTTCCTTCAAACTTTGCAAATTTTTTCCTAGTCCCATACCAGGGACATACCCCATTTCATGCATCATATGTTGACTTTGAGGGCTATATAATTGTTCTGGAATTAGAACTTGTGCTCCCCATTGTTGTAATAAATGTCTCCCTGGTAAATTTATAGGTACAGAAGTTACAATTGGTTGAATAATCCCAGACAGTCCATTGGGCCCTTCACAATGCAAAATATAACTACTTTGGTATACTTCAGGGGCTTTACCAACTCCAACTATGTTAAATTGAGCGGGTTGAATTGGCCACATGGATGGCCAGTGCTGTAGAGAAATGATTGAAATGTCCACTCCTGTATCTACCAAACCTTTAAATTTCTTTCTTGAATAGTTATTTCACAGGTAGGATGTTTATCAGGAATCTGATTCACCCAATAAGCTGCTTTACCTTGTTTATTTGTGCTTCCAAATCCTTCTGTTCGTTTAGTTTCACTTTTCCCCATTTCCACATACAGCACAATCAGGAGCTGTGCTATGCGCTCTCCTGACTCTGCTTTCCAGGGAACAGAAGTAGATGTAACAATTTGAATTTCCCCATTGTAATCTGAATCAATGACTCCTGTTTGTACTTGCATTCCTTTTAAATTTAAACTAGATCTACCTAGAAGTAATCCTATCGTCCCCACTGGCAACATCTGACTGGAGATAGCAACATTCTTTAATGGTCCCATTACAAAAGGAAAACCTGGTCCATATTGATTAATAGCTTGTTTAAATTCTCTGAGTAATTTAAAAGGAAAAGGCTCAAACATAGCTGTAATATTTCCCTGTTGATCTGGGGGCATGTATTCTAACAGGGAACTGCCAAGCCTCTAAAACACCCTCTCTTCTAGCTTGCTGGATTCCTGCTTGAATAGAACTGAGAGCAATTGCTCAAGGTGCTGCTCGAACAGTCACTGGGGCAACTACTTTTTGCCCAGTGTCCTCCGGAAAAGAAAGATCTGGAGGGTCAGGCCACTCTTTTTCTTCAAAATAAGGAGGGGATGCAGAAGGGTAGGGATGAACCTTTTCCTCCTTTGCCGCTTTAGCTTTAGCTGGCAAACAAACCTGCTCTGTCACCTCTTCTGTTACTTCATTATACTTTCCTTCCTCTTCATCATTAGTGTAAAAAGGTTTCAAGGTGGAATGAACTGGAGCCCACACTTGTGTCACTGTTACCCTGATGCTCCCAAGCTCTCCTTCTTACTCACCATGCAGATTGCTTAAGAGTACTCAGGTGTCCTCCAGCTTAGCTCCACGTTCTCCAACCGTCGCTGCATTGACCCTTCAATCCAGGTTCGAGCCCCCATGTTGGGTGCCACTTGCTGAGACCAGCTCGGTCATGGAGACCTTAACCCAGCGGTCTAGAGGAATTAAAAACACACACACAGAAATATAGGGTGTGCAGTGGGAAATCAGGGGTCTCACAGCCTTCAGAGCTGAGAGTCCTGAACAGATATTTACCCACATATTTATTAACAGCAAGACAGTGATAAGCATTGTTTCTCTAGATTATAGATTTACTAAAAGTATTCCTTACAAGAAACAAAGGGATGGGCTCTGGCTAGTTATCTGCAGCAGGAGCATGTCCTTAAGGCACAGATTCCTCATGCTATTGTTTGTGGCTTAGGAACACCTTTAAACCATTTTCGGCCCTGGGTGGGCCAGATGTTCCTTGCCCTCATTCCAGTAAACCCACAATCTTCAGTGTGGACATCATGGCCATCACGAACATGTCACAGTGCTGCAGAGATTTTGTTATTGGCCAGTTTTGGGGCCAGTTTATGGCCAGATTTGGGGGTCTATCCACAGCACCAGTGTTTTAATGTGAGGCGGCTCCTCAGGTCCAGTCAAATAAATGAATCTTGCGAATTAGCTCAAGGCTTTCTTGCAGGAAATGTACAGGATACTGTGTGCGGAGTGGTCATTTAGTCTTGACGACAAGAGAACTTATTGTTCTTTCTTCTCACTTGCTCCAGAAAAAGTGCCAGATTTCCTCCCCTCCCCCAAGCCCCCCCGCCCCCTGCCCCCCCAAGCTTTGTAGTCATTTTCAGGCTGCCTCCCATACATGTAAATATGGTAATACTTACTCAATGATAAAATGTCTTTTTTCCCTCTTCTATTGGTATGGAGAGATCTTTTTCTGTCCAGATTTTTTTATTTCTTGAACAACACCAGTGGGTGAATAGATAAACACATTGTTGTCTGCTCATACAATCAAATGCTGCTCAGCAATAAGAAAGAATGAATGATTGGTTTATTCAACAACATGAATGGATTTCAAAATAATTATGCTCAGAGAGAGAAGCCAGGCACTACAAAGGACCTGGCATAAAAGGATAGTTACATTTTTGTAAATTTCTAGTAAATGCATACTAATCTATAGTGACAGAAAGCATGTCAGAGATGACCAGAGAACAGAGAATACAGGGAGAGATGGATTACAAAGGGGCACAAGGAAACTCTCAGGGGGTTTTTATTAAAAAAAAAGTATTTGATTGTGGTGATACTTTCATGGGTGTATATGTGTGTGTGTATAGGTATGTATGTATATGTGTGTATATATACATATGTATATATTAATCAAATTATAATCTTTAAAGATGTGCAGTTGGTTGTACATCAATCACACCCAAATAAAGTTTATAAATAATAAAAAAGGCCTTTAACCTCTTTTTTTCTCCCAGAGAGTGGGTCTCCATCTTCCAAAGTTCCAAGGGTGATTTTGATCACCAGCAGAGGTGAGGGAAGGCACACAGTCACAGGTGATCACAGGTAACCTGCACCCTGTACGCCAGAGAGGAGACTGTGGCCAGGCTATGGAGCAGCTGGGGAGAGGGTGACATCTGAGACAAGGCCAGAATGGGGGTGGGGACAGTCCTGGGGCAATAAGGAACAGGAATGGGGACAGCCATGGGACCAGGGTGCTTCTTCTCACACACTCAGAGAAGCGTGGGACCTGCTGTGGTCCTGCATATGGGGCCTGAGCTACTTCAGATGGTTTTAAAAAGAAAGAGTAATTCTGAAAGAATGAAAAACTTGGAATACTCATCTTTCTCTAGGTTGTGCCAGCTGTTTTTTCATTCAATATATTTGAATGAAATTCTTACATGAAGTCTTTCAAAGTATTTTTTCTTCGATGCTGGAAAGATATGATTGCCTACAAGTTGTGATTTCAGGAGTGTGGGAAAGAGGTCCCTGCTTCAAACTGCTGTCCCCACCTAGCTACCAGGAGCCTAGAAAGTTACCGTTGCAGCAGCTTTACTCCAGCAGCTAAAGGCTTTTAGGGAACCACTTGTTATTGTTTTTTAATTACAGAGGTGACAGAAAATCAGCGGTTAGTCCAGAAAGACAGTAATTTAAAACAGAAAAACACTAAATTCAACCTCATTCTTGGTCTCTTTCAGAGGTAGCAAAAATTTCTAATATTAATATTTGTTTATGTCCTTCAAACATTTTCTATATATTTACAAAATATAGATTTGCGTAAGTATATTGGAAGTCAGTGCCTCGACATAGGTGTTGCAAATATTTTCCCAGCCTGTCGAGTTTCTTCTGACTTTGTTTTCGGCATTAAAGTCAGTGTCACCACTATCATCATTTGTTATGCAGATGTTTTGCATTTTTATACAAATTATTTATCACTGTTTCTCTCCATGGCCTCTAGGCCTTGTGTTATGCTTACAAAGGGCTTCCAGAATCCAAAATTACTTTAAAATCTACATTTTTCTTCATTGTTTGGTTTTATTTTACATTTAAAACTTTGATCTTGGCCTGATGCAGTGGCTCACACCTGTAATCCTAGCACTTTGGGAGGCTGAGGCAGGTGGATCACCTGAGGTCAGGAGTTTCAGAACAGCCTGGCCAACATGGTAAAACCTCATCTCTACTAAAAATACAAAAATTAGCTATGCGTGGTAGCACATGCCTATAATCCCAGCTACTCGGGAGGCTGAGGCAGGAGAATCGCTTGAACTCAGGAAGCGGAGGTTGCAGTGAGCCAAGATGGTGCCACTGCACTCCAGCCTGGGTGACAGAGCAAGACTCTATCTCAAAAAAATTAAAAAAAAAAATTAAAAAATTAAAAAAAAAAACTTTGATCTATACTTTATTTGGGTGTAGGGACTGGGGTTATTTTTTCTTCTTCTTCAAATGGCTCTCCCGTTATCCCAGGATTTGTTATTGAATAATTCCTCTTTCCCTCTATTTGAAATGTAATCAACATATGGTCTATTTTTGGAATATTATGTTGCTTCCATGTCTTCATTTATAAATTCTTGGCCTGGGGCCCAGCTGTCTTAATGATCATCTGTGTAAGGTGTTGACCCTTGGCAAAAGCTGAAGAGCCCTCAGCCAGAGCCTCCCCTTGCCTGGGTCCATGGAGGCTGCCTGCAGTGTCCCCTCCTGCCCTGCTAACCACTCTGTTGTGCATTCTCCTGGCCTCAGATCCCTGAAAGCAGAGTCTGACCAGTGCAGCTTATCCTATCTCTGATCTGCTTAGGGACCAGCTGTTCTCAGCCTGGTTAAATGCACTTGCCTGCTCCACCTTCTCAGGTGGAAACACAGGGATAGAGCTCACCTGGTTAAATGCACTTGCCTGCTCCACCTTCTCAGGTGGAGATAGAGCTCTTCCTTGCCCACGTGGGCAAGGAAGCAAAGTGCTGAGGGTACTGCAGTTGTAAATCAGGGGAAGTAGAGGCAAAAATTCATGTCACTTGAGGATAGTGTAATGATAGCTATCACTGTTGAGGGACAGGTGATGGTCAGACACTCTTTCTTTCCTGCCTGCCTGCCTTCCTAGATAGGGTCTTGCTCTGTTGCCCAGGCTGGAGTGCAGTAATGAGATCATGGCTCACTGCAGCCTCAAACTCCTGGGCTTAAGTGATCATCCCACCTCAGCCCCCCAGTTAGCTGGGACCACAGGGGCTTACCACGACAACCAGCTAATTTTTGTATTTTTTGTAGAGACGGGGTCTTGCTGGGTTGTCCAGGCTGGTCTTGAACTCCTGCTGTCAAGTGATCCTCTTGCCTCAGCTTCCCAATGTGCTGGGATTACAGGTGTGAGCCACCGTGCAGGCCTCAGATCCTGGTCAGTGAGGAGGTGGATGCTCAGAGTACAGAGGACCTGGAACCCAAATCTGCACCGGTCTCTGTTGGGCTCTCACTGTGCCTCAGTTATCTCAGTATTTCCCATCACAGAGCTCTTGGACAAGGAATAGCCATACATTTCTGTGAGTTCTGTATCTTATGACTACTACCCACAACCACAGTGGAATTCATAACTGGGGGAGGGGAGAGGGCTGGAACTCAATTTTCTTTTTTTAAATGTCTGTAAAAATATTCAGCTCAGTGCCAGCAATCTTGAGAGCAGGTTCCAAAGTCTGCATTTGCAGACAGGTGCTGGCTGCAGAGCAGCTTCACAATCCTCTGGGGGCTTTCTTAAAAAGAGTTTCCTGAGCACCTCTGGGAATGGCGCATTCACAGATGTGGGGTGGCTCTGGGTTTCTGCATATTCATGAAGGGCCCCAGGTTATTCTAATTTGCAGCAACGTGTGGGCACCACGGCTCTGAGGGGTGTATGGGTGACTTCATTGACTGGAAATGGCCCATCTCTTTCTCCCCCTCCACTTCTGCTTTCCTCAGTGGGCTGCTGCCTAAAAACCCCTCAAAGGAGTACAGCAGCCCACAGCACACAGAGCACAGATGCAAAAGGCCATTATTCTTGCACTTCATTTCTGTTTCTTTGAACTAAATCTTTGAGGTCCATCAGAATGCAAAATTGCTTGGGAAGATGCAGTGAATTGAAAAAAGAATCTGCACCATTCCACCCACTGAGAGGTGAGGCCTGTGTTCCTACCCCTTGAATCATTGTGCTGCGTTGATATACAGAATACAGCAGAAGCGATGCTGTGCCTGGTTCTGAGACCCGGCCTTAAGAAACTTTCAGCTTCTGTTTCCTGTCTCGTGAATCTGAATGTGGATCTCAGCTGCCATGCTTTGAGGAAGCCCAAGAAGCTCTGTGGAGCAGCCTAAATGGGGAGGAGCCCAGGCATGCAGCCCAAATCCGCAGCTGAGCTTCCTAGCCAACAGCAAGCACAGTCTTACTGGCCATGAGAGGGAGCTGTCTGGGACATGACCACCAGTTCCTGTGAGTCATCCCAGCTGGTGCCACATAGATTAGAGATGAGCTGTTCCTGCCAGGCCCAGCCCAGATCACAGATTTATGAGCAAAATAAGTGGTGGTTTGTTATGCAGAATGGATAACTGGAATGGGGAAAGCAGTTATTCAGCATATACTCTTTTTTTTCTTAGACAGAGTTTCACTCTGTCGCCAGGCTGGAGTGCAGTGGCGCGATCTTGGCTCACTGCAATCTCTGCCTCCTGGGTTCAAGCAATTCTCCTGCCTCAGCCTCCTGAGTAGCTGGGATTACAGGCACGTGCCACCACACCCAGCTAATTTTTGTATTTTTAGTAGAGAGAGAGTTTCACCATCTTGGCCAGGATGGTCTTGATCTCCTGACCTAGTGATCCGCCCACCTCAGCCTCTCAAAGTGCTGGGACCACATGTATGAGCCACCATGCCCAGCCCATCATACTTTCTTTTATCCCTGTTTTACTGCTAAGCAGCCATGTGATTGTGGGCATGTTACCGATCTTTTCAAACCTCAACTTTCTCTATTGTAAATTCAGTAAACTGGATTAAACAATGGAGATAAATAATATTCAATGCTTTTGTGAAACTTTTTAATTTTTACTTTTATTTGAATGAGGGGTTGGTGAGCAGGTTTGCATAGGAGGTAGAGAGAGGGATGGACTTTTGTTCTTTTGGGTGACACCCACCCCACTCCACCACCTTTGGGATACATGTGACTCTCCTGACTCTCATCCTGCACATGACTTCAACATAGAATTTTCTATAGTACATTAAAATTGTCTCTTTATATTCTTCTAGAGCAAGGGTCATGATTTATTTCTCTTTATCTCCCTAACACCTAGTACCCAGCTTAGTAGATAGTGGGCACTTGATACGTGTTTGTTGCATGAATAAATGGATATAATATAGATGGGTAGTGATATGGTTTGGATTTGTGTCCCCACCCAAATCTCATATCAAATTGAGGTGGGGCCTGGTGGAAGGTGATTGGATCATGGGTGCAGATTTTCCCCTCGCTGTTCTCATGATAGTGAGTGAGTTCTCATAAGATCTGATGGTTTAAAATTGCGTGGCACTTCCCCCTTGGCTCTCTCTCTCTCCTGCTTCTCCATAGTAAGACGTGCTTGCTTCCCCTTTGCCTTCCATCATGATTGCAAGTTTCCTGAGGCCTCCTTGTCATGCTTCCTGTTAAGCCTGCTGATCTGTGAATCAACTAAACCTCTTTTCTTCATAAATTACCCAGTCTCAGGTAGTTCTTTATAGCAGTGTGAGAATGGACTAATGCAGGTTGATTTGGAAAACAGATGTATGAAGTGAAAACCGTCAATAAGAATGGAACCAGAAATTCTAGCTCAGTGATTCTCAAGAACGGAATAGTGAGATAGTGGCCAAAAACTCAAATTGGAACTTTATCATTGCATGAGTGGGTTTTTATTCATAACATTTGTTTTGATATTTGATACACTTTGAAGGAGGAAATGAGATTTCGAGTCACATATAGGAAGCGTGTGTTAAAAAGAATTTGAGACACGATGTTGTAGCTACTTCATAATCTGCCTGGGCCTGGACCTATAATCACTGCCCCCTGCCTCTCATGCAGAGACCACAGTGTTACCCAGATAAGAATTTCAGAACATCTGGAAGGAAACCTGGGGCAGGCAATCTCAGTCACCAAGGTGCTTTAAACACTCCGAGGCAGATGTGGAGCTTGGCCTGAAATAGGTTTAATTCTTTGGTGCCGTTGAGGACTTTCTGGGGTGCTCACTTGGCCTGGGACTGCAGGGAACCCTGTAATTAGATGTTTGGGATCCTTGTGCTACTCCTGCCCTAGAAATGAAGTTGGCTGTAACCATCCTGGAAGGGCAGCCAGAAAGGTTCTCATTTGTTCTGCTGAGGGGTTGAACCTACTTAACAGTCCAGGGATTTCCTGTCTTGAGAGTAAAAAGGTGTAGCCACGCCAAGTATAATTAAACACTTACCCTCAGATGCTTTTCAGATTTTATTCACAACACCAACATGTGGTTTGTGTCCTGCTGGGAATTTAAGGTTATTGCACTGAAAAGGAGTGGGATTTTTTTTCTTCCCTGAAACCTCTTGCTTGTTTCTGAGCTGTATGGTTTTCAAGAGGAAGATCTGACTATCGAAATAACTTCTGAGACACCGTATTTTCTCTCCTCCTGTTTCTTTTTTTACAAATTGAGAAACTCAAGATTTAAGGCTACAGATAGTTTGGTATTTCTTTCCAATTCTTCCAGAAGTCTGTCCACCCTTCTCTTCCATGGGCTTGTACTTCAGACTTATTAAGGAGTCGTAAACACCCCTTTCCTTCTAATACCTAAGATGAATAAATACACATTCATTGTCTATCCTTTACTCTAGACTTAAAGCATTTCAGACTATTGGACTTAAAGTATTTTTTGTTCTTATGCCTCTTATTTATTTATTTTAGTTGACAGATAAAGATTACATATGTTTACTGTCTGTAACATGTTGCTTTGAAATAGGTATACATTGTGGAATGGCTAAATTGAGCTGATTGACATAGCATTGCCTGACATCCTTTTGTTGTGGTGAGAACACTTAAACTCTAGTCTCTTAGCAATGTTTAAAATAATACAATGCATCATTATTAACTATAGTCACCATGTTGTACATAAAGTATTTCTGTTATATCTGTGTTTAATATTACCTTCTTCAAATTATGTTATCTGATCTTGGCTGGAAATAAATGCAATTTATTTATGTTAACCATAAATACAGACCCATGTCTATAATAAATAAAAAAAATGGATCTCAGGAGAGCAAGAGAGGATGGAGAAGAAACAGGTAACAAATAAAGATGTGTGAATTGTAAACAAATGACACCAGAGTTGAAATGCAGAAATTTAGGGTTAAGTGAGACAAAAGAGGAATTTGTGTAAGTCAGGACAGGCTGGGTTATGCTGTGATAACAAACAGCCCCCTGATTTCAGTGCCTGAAAGCCGTGAGGGTTTCTTTCTAATGTATGGAAATTTCACGGTGGCCTGGGTGACTCTAGAGCAGACACCACCTATGTCAGGAATCGGCCCAGGGGCCATCTGCCTCATGGCCTGCTTTTGTAAATATAGTTTTATTGGAACTGATGCTCCTTTGTTCATGCATTATCAGTGGCTGCCTTCACATTGCAATGGCAGAGTTGGTTGGTTGTGACAGAGACCAAATGACCCTAAAGCCCAAAACCTTCAGTGTCTGGCACTTTAAAGAAAGAGTGTGTGGTTCCTGCTCTGTGCCACCTGCATGCCACCCTCCCACCAGTACATCGTCCACGCTGCAGGGGCCAGCGGTGTGCTGTGCTGCAGGAGATGCATTGCTCTGCTCGCCTTCTAGCAGACATGCATGACCAAGGCCCAGTTTCAACTGTGTGGGGAGGCGACATCTTCACACATGCTGGCGGGAGAAGGAGAACTGGATTATCAGTGATCTAAAGGAATGGGAAGACCAGGGACTTGAGAAGTCAGGATTGGCTGCAAACCTCAGTGGAGGCCTTTTCGGGAGGCTTTGGGGTGTGGAGTTGAGATTTTCAAAGATGAAGACTCCAGGGCCTTCGAGGGAATCTCATGAATTGTTACCCCTTGTTCCTACCCAATTTTTGATCCAGTGGAAGAGTGAGACGTGACAGTCAGCTGACGGAGGATGAAAGGCCACCTATGTTACCCACAAAGCAGGTGCTGAAGAGTCCTCATACTGAGTCCTAGAACAGATCCACGCCCATCCTGACTCAGGCCACACTGCATGGCAGGAGAGAGAGATAGAGAGAGGAGTAGAGAGAAGGAGGAGTAGAGAGAGGTAGAGAGAGAGCTAGAAATAAGGATATAGAGAGACAGGAAGACATAAAGAGAAAGAGACAGAGACATAGATAAAGATAGAAAAGAGATAGAGACATAGAGATAGAGAGACAGGGAGTTAGAGAAAGAGATAGAGAAATGTAGAGAGAGAGAGCGCAGAGGGAGATGGGGCTTCCTGGGTGAACAAGCAATAGGAATAGGTAAGCCTGACCCGGTGGGTTGGGAAGACCTGGCTGGGACAGGTGGGCTGAGGGTGCTTGTGCTTCACCTTCCCGTCTGCTTTGCTCTCCCAGGTTCCTCACCCTGTAGGCTCTGCCAAGGCCTGAGTATGATGCTGTGGGTGATTCACTGCCCAGAACGTCATGAGGGCCTGGGTCAGGACCAGCCTGGTAGGTTGAGAGGAAGCCTTCCTTGCTTCTGGGAGTCCTGGCTGGGAGGTGGCATGCAACCTTGGGGGAAACTGGGGGTCACTGGGCTGGGTTTTGCCATCTCCTCGTCTCTGGGCAAGCTAGCTGTGAAGAGTATGTTTTGGGGCTCTTCTTTCATCCATTTTGACAACAATCTTTAGGAAGATTGCTAAAATGTGTCCTGGTTAAAGCAGGATGTGTTTGCAGCCACACAATTTTAAACATCTTAAAAAATTAGCCACAAGTCTATAGAAAACCTTTGCATTGATTGTTCCATTTGATATTTTTCAACTCAGAACATTAGAAAAAAGGGCAGGGCATCTTTCTTACAAAGGACAATGAGTGAAATTCCAGTTTCCCCCTTTGATAATAGCACTTGTCTTGTCAGTGTATATTCTTTTTGACTGTTTGCAAAACCACTTAGAGGGCCTTCGAGGATGCACAAATGGACATGGTCTTGGTGAAGTTCCCAAGTCTTGCACAATCCTATATACACTCCCACACAGAGTGTGTTGCTTGAAATGCCTGCTCACATGTGGCATTTAGAGAATATCTGAAGTAGTTTACATCCTTTTTGGCCTCGACAAAATCCATAATGCATTTTCCCAAGCACTTTGCCCCTTCGTTTTTCAAGTGATCTATTTTCTCAGGGAAATGCAATCCGTATGTTTCTGACTCCTTTACACTTCACTCATCAGACTGCTGCTTGCTAAGGCCTGCTGGCATTCCAGAGACCTGAGGACACTGCCATGAACTTTGGGAGGTGTGGGGCACTCGGGGGCTGGTCTTAACACAGAGCTTAATCATCCACAGACAAACCAAGACTCCTCTTCTCAATGTGTAAACTCAGAAATGTATTGTCTTGGACCAAACGAAATGTATCTATATTTCCCTAAGATTAGTGACAAATCTCTAAACCCTCATAAGGAGTTAATGAGAAAAACAGGGGTAAATTTCACCCCCTCCTGCCTCTCCACTTCCATTTCCCTTAGAATAATTCAAGTGCTCAGGGTTGGAAATAAATTTGGGGAGACAGATGACTTTAAGGAATTCTGACTTCAGTCAGATTATAAAGGCCCAAGCTGGTCTTGGGTTCAGCTGAAGTTGGGCTTCTGCCATCGGCACCACTTTCCCTCTACTTGGGGAAGATGAATGTGCCTCATAAATGAAGAATAAACAAAACTTGATTACCTGGGAGCCAGCCCCTCACTGGGAACCCAGCCAGCCCCTGCACAGAGTTCCGATCTGGTTTGATAAGTAAAAGGCAAAACCTAGTAAAATACTCTGACATCAGAGATTTCTTTAAAACAAAACCTGCTTCCTTGCAGGGGTTGATGCCCATCCTTGGTCCACATGGTCCCCAGGTGTGCTGTAAATGCTGATCTATGACAAGGCTGCAATTTCAGAATGATTGCCCCCGGCTGCAGCAAGATCCTTCACCATCACAGAAAGACTCGATTTTCTTCAGTTCTATGGAGGGCAAATAAAAGCATGCATATATTTTAGACACGTCTTTCACATGGAAGATGGAAACAACCTGTATTTCCTGGTTAAAACAAACTTAATCCCCCAAATTCAAGTCACTATAACATACCACAGCCTCCAATATTTTTAAAATAGATAATAAAAATCACTATTTATTGATGGCTTATTATGAGCCAAGAACTTCATGCACATTACCACCTTTAAGCCTTCCAGTCACTTCAAGAGTTGGTGTTATCTGCATGGTACAGGTTGCAGCTCGTGATGGCGTAGTCAGTGAGCAGTGACCCAGGTTCAATGCTTAGACCATCCAGGGCTCACATCTACGTTCTTTCTTTCGCACCCTGTGTCTCCCAAGATGCTTTTAGAGAGGTATGCGTTGCTTCATCTAAATTCTGCTTCTGTTGGCAAAGCAGGTCCAGGTTCTCTTTTCAGGTAACCATGTCTCAATCTTCCTCTCCAGGTTAATCCAGGGTTACCCTGGACACCATGCTCAGCATAGAGGTTGGACTTTTGGGTGGATCCAAGAAGAAATGGTGGAGAAACTGTCACCACACTTTGAGAAGTTTGAAATTTCCCTTAGACTTTCCTAAAAAGTGATTTTGAAGAGGCAAGGGGTGGGGCCAGAAAGCAGGGCCCCCCCCAATTCTGGGAGCGAGGCACGGAAGGATGGCACATACACCCACCTGCTAGAGGAAGCCTCCAGCCCAATGCTACGTCGTCCGTCTGTCTGTA
This sequence comes from Homo sapiens, assembly GCF_000001405.40. Lineage (NCBI taxonomy): Eukaryota > Metazoa > Chordata > Mammalia > Primates > Hominidae > Homo > Homo sapiens. Next base: position 10,236,761 of record NC_000018.10, read on the forward strand.
GATGGGAAATAACCACTGCAGTTTCCCTGGGTGGCCCTAAGGGTTAAATGAGAGAGCGCCTGCCTATCACAGTGCTTACTTGTGGCCACTTGTTCTGTATTAGGTAAATCTGGACCTGTAAACAGGTGAAATTTGACAAAGGACATGTGCTTATCATCATGGAGTGGCCATTGTGGCTTTTCAATATGGCAGTATTGACTGAGGCTGGTCTGTGGACTGGCTTCCGGACGCGATCCTTTTCCTTTCTTCCTGTGCTTGATTGACCTCCATAGTAGAATTATACTGAATTCAAACACATCCCACTGCTTACAGTCTGAAACTACCCTGCAAAATCAAGCTGAGTCCATCTTGGGGCTGGTCCTCAGCCTTCATGCTGGTGGCCGGTCTGGAAGCCCTGGAAGGAAGCCTCTCCCTCCGGCTTCTAGGCCTGTTCCAGAAATAGATGCTCACGTACACATGCTCCAGAAACGCAGACCCGAAGACAATTTTTTCTGAAGACTCTTCAGCTTCCTAAAATGTGCCTGGGTTTTGAAAGAAGGTAAAGAGATGGTTTTAATCTTGGCCAAACTGAGGGAAATCGTCACAATGAGACCATGACTTATCAGTGCAATTGTTTATCAATAGTAAAATAACTCAAAGAAAAGTTCATGGCCAGTGTTAGGTGTGGGGTGCATACTTGGTAAGTGCTGACTGTGTGTTCACGCTTTGAAGAGGCCAGAGGCCTCCAGGTTTGCCCATCTGGGATTAGCATGAGCTGGCTTCCCTCGCTTGGGGGGAGCACTTCGGAGGCTGCCAAAGTGTGCTCTCTTCCAGGCCTCATTACAGACTCACGAGGACTGGGTGAGGCCATATTATTATTCTTCTCTTCTAGAGGAGAAGGAAGAGGCTTGAAGGAGATTGTGAGTTGCCCAAACCAGTAACAGCAGTGGCAGAGCCATGGTGAGACAGCCACGATGGTCATTACCAGCAGCCACAAGAAGGGCAATATTTATCAAGCTGTTTCGTCTAGCCAGCACCATGGTGGGTCAGCCCTGTGAGGAAGAGCAGCATTCCCTGCAGACCAGGAGGCGGAGTGCAGGGTGGTGGGAATCTGCTCAGTGAGAGGCGGAGGTGGGGCTGGGAGCTGGGCTCCTTGCTCTCCACACCCCCACTCTGGACACCTGCCCCCAGTGTCTTAGCTTTCTCCCCATGGCCCTGTGAGTCTCTCTTCCTGCTGAGCCAAGGGCCCTGCAGAGGCTCTTTCCCATGTATTGGTGGCACATTCTGATGGCTACTTCCAGCTGGAGGACACCTACGAGGACGGAAAGTTGAAGCAACAAAAGGATTTTGACATTTCATTCTAACTGGGAGAGGCTGAACCAACAGATAGGGGTGTGTGTGTGTGTGTGTGTGTGTGTGTGTGTGTGTGAAAGAGAGAGAGTGGGAAAGAGACAGAGACTGAGTCTGCCATCCCCTAAGATCTCTGAACGTGTGTACTCTAGCAAGTGTGACTGTCTCAAAGCCTAGTTGTAGCTTCCATTGCCCAGCAGCCTTACAGATGACAAGAGCAGGCATGGTTTGAAGACATGAAAAGTAGCCACGCACAGTGGCTCATGCCTGTAATCCCAGCACTTTGGGAGGCTGAGGCAGGCAGATCACAAGGTCAGGAGATCGAGACCATCCTGGCTAACATGGTGAAACCCCGTCTCTACTAAAAAATACAAAAAATTAGCCAGGCGTGGTGGCGGGCGCCTGTAGTCCCAGCTACTCGGGAGGCTGAGGCAGGAGAATGGCGTGAACCGGAGAGGCGGAGCTTGCAGTCAGCCGAGATTGCACCACTGCATTCCAGCATGGGCTACAGAGCGAGACTATGTCTCAAAAAAAAAAGAAAAGAAGACATGAAAAGCAACATGATCACCTCACTAGAGTGAAGAAATTAAATGGGAATTAAAATTCCCAGAACCTAGGACCCTGTTTTGTCAGCGAGAAAGTCCCACCTTAGCCCTGACTTCAAAATATGAATTGATTGATTGGTGTTTAGTTACAGGGCTCTTGTGCAGCGCTTTGATCTTCTTACAGGAGAAGAGTAACTTTCCACGATAAAAGATGACTTCTGATGACAAGAAAATCTATCAGCTCCCATCGTGCTGAGCTCTCCATCCTCTGTCTGGCATTCTTGAGCACGGGCTTCCCGATGGGGTCCTTCAGAACTGAAAACCTGGGGAGACGTGTCTGGAAGACAAGGCCCGGGCAGCAGGAGGCAGGCAGCAATCCTCAGAGTCATTTTAATTTTCATTTGTAGCAAGCATAAGGTAAATGCATGGTCTTGTTATCTCCAGCCATAGGTACTGATGTACACCGCACACAATCATGTTTTTCCACGTATTTGGGCGAGTTTGCGGCTGAGATGAAGAAAAGCAGGAAGGGCGGTGGGGAGGAGGAGGAGAGGAGATAAAAACACAACTTCTAAGGCTCCTTTAAATTGTACCGTCTTGAGCATAGAAAAGCCTGAATTATGTAAAAGCTGGCCAGATGCCCACATCTGGCAACAGTCAGATTGTTTGGTAAGCAGGAGGTTCTCCCAGCAGCACGCAGAGCCGGGTCCACTCTGGAAAGAATGTGGAGTCTGTGAGAGGTTCTTGGGACCTGGCGGCCAGACGGCCCTGCCAGGTAGGAGGGCAGCGTATCTGGTCACTTGACCTCGTGTGCAGGTGAGATGAGTGACAAGCTCCCTGCCAGGCCTTTCTTAGAATGGTTCAACCCCAGGCTTGTTTCTGTGTGAACTAAAAACCATGCCTCTGCTGTGGTGTCAGACTTGGAAATCACATTTTTGTTCAGGTCTTCCAAAGGTTCTTAGGGGGAATGAGACCCTTTCTTGTGTTCTCCTGCTGCAACTTTAGTCCCCTGACTCCTATAGACTGCTACCTGCCAGTCCCGAAAGCCATGCCAGAGCAGCATCCCATGTAACCATTTTCTGTTTGCTGCTATTAGGCCCTGACACTTCTGGGGCTCATGGAGACCCTGAATCGGGGAACTGAGAGCCCAGCCACGCTTTGCTCCATGTGGGTTTTCCATGCTGGCTGTGTATCTTCCAAACAAGTACTAACCTGGCCTGGTTTCTGCAGTTCAGACCTACCAAGCCAGTTGAGGTAAATGCAGAAATTAAAGTGTGCATTCTTTCCTTAGAGGAACAAAAGAAGAAAACACGTTAAGCAAACACCTCGGGAACTGTTTAACGCAAGCCCACGGCCTGGCATTGCATTCTGGGGCAGGATGGTAGTAGCCACAGGCAGGAACACACCACGCAGGCTGTGCCTGCGCATGGAGAAACCATGGCTCTTTCAAAAAAAAAAAAAGGTCTTGAGGCCTCTTTGCAAATCCAGCCCTGAAGTATCTGGTATGATTTAGATTTGTTCATAAAAAAACACAGTTGGTTTCTGTTAAGTCAACAGCATTTGAATTTCGGCTCAGATATTCAGTGCTAGCAAGATCCTTTATGATTTCTCTCTGTGCATGCTGCATTTTTCAATGTCTGGCCAGCTCTTCTGTTTTCTTCTTTCCATAGAGAGGAGCAGAGGAGAAAAGAAGAGAGAGGTGGGAGCTGCGAGAATACATATGTGAATCTTATCTTCACTGCTAATCACATACTTGCATGCTTAATGATTTAGCTACTATTTTAAAAGACATCCTCTGTATTTCCTCTTTCCTATGGTTACCATTTCCTATAAAAAGTGGTTTGGAAATTTGACTTAAGCTTTAACTCAGTGGACTTAACCCCACAGGGACAATTTTCAGTGTCTCAGTAGGAGATCTGGCCCCATTGGTGAGCCCCACAGCCAGCCCATCTCAGAGGAAGCCTCCTCAGGGACATGAGCCTGACAAATGTCGCCTGGGTAGGCAGCAGGATGCAGAAATGCAAGAGGCATTTGACACACAGTGGCCCACGTCTCCATTCTCCTGTGTCTCTGGATTATGGACATCTCTTAAAAACCGAATTCAGTTTAACCTTACATCTAGGAGTCTCAGAATCTTGCTCTAGAAAAGCTAGAAAAAAAAAAACAATTTGGAAAGTCCATGAAGAGGACAGCCAGGCATGCAGCATTTGTTGCAGGCCAGTCTTCCTTGCAAATGGCATTGGTTGGGATTGGGGGTTACTGGGGGAGTTGAAATAATAATATAAATAATAAAAGTAACTCTTTCTGCTGGATACTTGCTTGAACTGAATACTGGTCTAGGTATAGCACATGGTTTGTCTCATTTGCCTCCAATCTTGGGAGACATTTTCTTAGACATCACTCTCAACCAGACAAAAGAGAAGTAACGCACTGTGTTAAGCCAGGACTGATCTGGGTGGTCCTCTGTATTTGCAAACTATGGGCCCGCAGAGGGGTTGGTGCAGATTCATAAGCCAAAAAAACAGTCATTAGAGCATGAGCCTTAGAATGAGATGGAACTGGATTGGAATCTTGGCTCTGCCATTTATTAGCTATGAAACCCTGGGAAATCATTTAAACCTTATTTTCCTCATTTATAAAATGGATAAAATATATCATGGGGTAGTATGAGGATCCATTGATAAAAAGCACATAAAATGCATAGTATGATGCTTGGCCAATAACAGGGGTAATGTCATCACCATTATTACTCCTAGGAAACATTATTAGGTGGTTTGAGCCATGAATAAATAGATTTTTCCAATATGGTCCTTAAAAAATAAAAAGAATCCAATTAGTCATCTAAAATCTGTCCTCCTCTAACCCTCAATCACAGACTTGGACTCTGACACTTGGCATCTTAAAAATGTGCTTGGTCTGCCCCGGGGGTGCCGGCTCCCTGGCAGAGCACACCTGGGGAGTAGGTGTTGAAAGTCACAATTTAGCATTTCAACTGCATCTTCCAGATAAAGCACAAAGAACACATACATTGAGGGCACCTCAAACCAACACATGACCAGTAAGCTCAGAAATCACACTATGAAGGTGGAGTTTGACCTCACAAAGTTAAAACTGGGTCTTTGGCAGGAGTCCCTTGCAAAGCATGGGAAGAATTTCCTTTAAGGCAATCCACGATGGAGCTGTGGAAAAGAGGAGAAGGAAAGCACAAGACCAAAAGCTGAGCTGGGTGCTTATTTGGAATTTTCACTAAAATAGAAGAATTCTGTTCAGTAAAATCTCTTCATGACTTTATAGTGTGACCTATTATTATGTAGAGTTTTTGAGCTTATGATGAAAGATGTGTGCAGCCAAGAGGCAGTGTCAAGTCATTCCAATCTCCAGAGCGATAGTGACGGTAGAAATAATTTTATATTCCTTCTAAACTCATTGATTTTCGAGATGTTGCTAAACATTGTGATGCAATGGTGTACACGAAAACCTTCAGGTTATCTTAGAAAAGCTTCTCCCAGATCCTCCAGGTTGGCTGTGAAGGAAGGGGCAGCGGTAGGTAGGTCTGAGGTTGATGCCTCCAAGATTCTCCTCTCCTTAGATAGGTCTCTCCTCATTGCTGTGGCCACATCGTGGCCTTAGGATATGTTACCCGCCCTGACCTCTTCCTGGGGAATATGGACACAAACGCTTTTCTTAATTCCTAATGGTATGGTAGAGAACAGGGTGTAACATTTAAGAAGGCTGGATTAAAAGTTTAGGTTTCATAGAAGAAAATCAAAGTGTAGAGACTAGCACATCACTGTCTCTGGAATTCCCTCCCTTCCAGAAGCCCAGCCAACCAACACAGGGGTGAGCAGCTTAACTTAGAGCCCCTGAAGGGCCCCCACATCACAATAGAGGAGCCCAAAATGTATGGAGTCATCCAACACACACAGGGGTTCAACATGTATCTATGCCTAAAAAGATATGGGCAGAGGGGTGGAGAATGTGGATTTCCTCCAGAGCTTCACAGTTTATTTATCAAACCATATAAGGAGCATTTCTTCTCTGGAGGAATTTAAATAAATGGACTGAAGCCCAGCATGGTGTCTCACACCTGTAACCCCAGCGCTTTGGGAAGCTGAGGTGGGAGGGTCACTTGAACTTTGAACTGAGGAGTTCAAGACCAGGCAACATAGTGAGACTGCATCTCAGCAAAAAATAAATAAAAAATTAGTGGGGCATAGTGGTGCGGGCCTGTAGTCCTAGCCTCTCAGGAGGCTGAGGCAGGAGAATTGCTTGAGCCCAGGAGGTCGAGGTTGCAGTGAGCCAAAATCATGCTACTGTACAGTCTGGGTGACAGAGTGAGACCCTGTCTCAGAAAAAGTGGGGGTTGAAAATTTTGCCATCAGCTATAATGTAAAAATTATTCCGTAGAGTCTGAATTAGGATGCAGATGACAAAGCAGTCCTGAGAGCCGGAGGCAGCTCAATTGGCCAGAAAACCAAATCAGGCCTCAGCTAGACCCTCATGAATCCACAATAGAGCTTTGTTCTTTGGCTGCCAGAGCCATAGAGATCTATTTCAATAATTAGTACCTTTAAAGAATGTCTGAGAAATGCCAGCAGCGAGTATTTTCCAAACAAAGAAGGCAAATTGCCTTAAGTCCCATGCAAAGGGGTTCAACTAATTTGAGCTTTTAATTGTTTGTACTTTTATGAAGTGAGTAAGTGTGGCATACATGGCCAATTATTCCCCAATGTTCATCCTCCCTTTTGTTCTCTTAGCAATAGGGCCTCCTGAGGTTTTTCAGGGCATATGGTTGCCCAGATAGAAACTACGTTTCCCAGCATCCATGGAGCTGGGTGTGGCCAACAGGATGGGAGGGGGAGTGAAGTGTACAGACAGCAGGTCATTCCAGTCCTTCAAAGGAAGGGAGGGAAGCCCCAGTCAAGCAGGTTCCTTTCAGCCAACCTCGTCCATGCAGAAAGGAACGTCACGCAAGTTAGGGGCTCCTAACCTGGTTCCTTTGAGCATTCATGAACTTGGCTGGGAAAAATACATTTTTACTTTCACGCTATCAAAAGTTCAGCATGTCTTTCATTCTTGGATGTAGGAAGTAGACTTCTATGATTTTAGCAGAACCTGTGACTTTTACCGCTAATAGAATTAAGATAATTTCATAGTGTAATCCAGTTATTGCCAATATCCTGAAATGTTGTTTACACTCGTCATATTTTCAAGATTACAACTGCTGTTAGACATGCTGCAACACCTTGTTAATGTGCTGGTAAAGCAGCACATAAAATTAAACACGTAAGATTATACAGGAAATTAATCTCATTGAAATACGGTTATTAATGTTATTGGTTTCCTGTGTAATCTTATGAGTTTAACCTTATGCACTTAAAAGTATTATTCTGAAATCGGATCCATAGCCTTTTCCCAGCTGTTGAAGGGATCCATGGTACACACAGTCCTCCCTTGCCCAGGAGACAGGAGAAGACAAGGTGAGGTGATCTGGGTAGCAGAGAATTTCACAATTACTACTTTGGGAAACTTTCTTAGCTTGTGCCCTGATAATACAGGGCACAGCTAAGCTTTCAAAGCTCTCCAACTAGCACAAGGTTTGTGTGAACATTGAGAAGGGTGGATACTGGGGCTTGGTTTGCTTAGCCATCATCCCATCTTCCTTCCAGCTGCAGAGCTTGGAAAGCTAAAAACGACATTTCTACTATGTCTTACAGCTGAGGTATGAGATGTGGATTACATTCCATCGGATTATTGTACTGGTGGGAGATTTGTAGGAGAGAAGTGAGGTGGAGCTATTTTTCTGCTTCATTTTGGCTGTTTAACAGGAGCGATGTAGTAGAGATTAGATTGCATTTGTTTGCTGTGTGTTTGCCAAGTGGCACTTGCAGCGTTCTCGATCCAGCGTCCTGGGTCCTGGTCTCCCAGAGTTCATTGTGGTGCAGGCAGCAGAGCTCCAAGGGGCACCTCAGGGGCCCAAGCTCCTCTCTTTTGTCATTTCTGCCGCGTTCTAGAAGTTGCTCCTGGCTGACCAGCCATGAACGCTTAGCCCTTGCAAGAGTTTTGTAGCCACCCAATTTCCTATGTTAAGTTCTTGCTGAAAATATCTGGTGTGGTTTCTGTGTGTTGGGGGCTAGTAAGGGGGTGTCAAGGGGTGTGTATGTTTGTCTTAATGAGCGCACCTGATAAAGAGAGTTTAGTCATTTTTCACGGAAGGAGAGCATTGCTTTTTTCAATCAGCAGTGCAGTTCAGTAGAATCGTATTGCCTGACATTTGACCATGCTTCACCCTTGATGAACGTGTGCTCCTCGTTCAGCCTTCACAGCAGGCCTGTGAGACAGGCAGGGCAAATCCTATTCCACAGGTGAGGAAGGAGGGCACCCACAGATGAACCACTCACCACATGTCCTGCTTAGGTGACAGAGAGGTAGACAAATCTTGTTTAGACCTGGGCTTTTGACTCCTGACTCCAGGCCTCATCCAGCCAGTACTGAGAAAAGGCCAACTAGAAGCTTTCAGTTCAGAACGAGTCCCATAGCCAGGACAGGACTCTGCCAAACAGCCGCATCTGGTGCTTTTTTCATATCTCACAATTCCATGGGAGATGTTAGTGGCCAAATTGTCTAACAAGGTCACTTTAAAGAGGTTAAACTGCATGTACATTGTCTTCCAAAATGGTTTCTGTTAGTCCGCATGCAGGTCTTCCTCCCTCCTGGCTAGTGTATTAGGAAGACACAAAAGAGGCAAATGCTTTGGGATGAGCTGCCCCTGCTTTACTGGTACATGCCCCTGGATTCTCCTGATTAATTTCTGTTGGCTTGTTTACCCCTCAGGGAAGCTGCCAAACACTCTTTTCCTGAAAATATTTTTTCCAAGAACTTCGCTGACACTCCTCTGTAATCAGCTTTGCCGAGACTGTGTCGTGTGTCCAGATTCTAGAAACTTGTATTTGGCTCAAGGTAACTCTGTGCAAAGAGAGTTCCAAGATGCTGGGCTTGCAAGGCCTGGCGCCTGCATATTGCCGCTCTGCCCTGGGGGCTCGGTTCTCCTGGATGCTTCTGCAGAACATCTGGGGAGCATCACAGGACACTTTTAAGGGATGGGAGAGAAGGTCATCTGGAAAGGGCAGATTGGCCTGGCCGAGACATCAGATGAGGTCTCTGCAGGCTGCAGCGCCTGTCCATCAAGACTCATTTAGTAAGCACTCTGTGTGCAGAGAACATAGGTGACCTCAGGGGATGCGTGGAGTGCACTCTTACTGGGAGAGACCCATTGTGACAATAGGATCATTACAGATGGAACAGAAAATAACTCAGGCAAGCCAGCTGCAACGAGAGGCAGGGCCCAGCGACAGCGCCTGGGTGGGGCCTGGAAGAGTCTCGGTGCCAGGGCCATTTGTCCCCTAGGTCAGACTGCGGTTTCTTGTCTGTAGGATGGAGAGGCTGGCCTGGTGAGGTCCAAGGCCCCCTCCCAGCTTTAATGGTCTGTAATTCCAGCCTTCCACTGGGAAAGGGCAGCAACAAGACAGGAGCTGCAGGCACAGGTATCAAAGTTAAAAGTGAACATTTCACTTTCCCCCAGCTCCCCAAATAAAAGTGGTTACTCCAAATTCAGAGCCAGCTTGCACTGGAGAATGGAGATGGTCACAGAAAGGATCTGATGAAGGCCTTCAGGCTCATACCGCAGTGCTAAGGGGCTGGCTTTGCAGAAGACGTTTCTGGCTTTCATGAACATGACCTGCTGCTCCTGCCTGATAATTGGGTTGTTCCCCTCCCCGCCCAAACCCTACCCCTGGCTTAAGGCTTTCCTGGGTGATGTAGCCGTGCTTTCGAGGCCCCTCATGCACTGACAGTGAGGTGAAGGAGGGCTCTCAGGACCGCAGGGTTCCCTGGATGGGAGGACAAAGGGGCAGTGGCCCCAGGGGTCTGCAGGCTGGGTCTGTGGCGGGGTCTGCCCAGAGCTGCCAGAACAGATGGGCGGACTGCCCAGCCAGGCCACAAGGACGCCAGCCAGCCTGGGGCTCGTGCACCCACAAGACCCATGTGGTTCCATTCCACTCAGGTCACTTTTCGATAACAATGCTGTTTTCTTCTGTTGTCTGGGGTGTGTGTGTGTGTGTGTGTGTGTGTGTGTGTGGTGGTGGTGTTGTTGTTATTGTTTTTAAAAATTCACGTTTCCTGTGCCCAAGATTTCCAAAACACCTTCCGCAAACTGCTCATCCCAGATGCAGTGTCGATTGAAGGCTTCCCCTACTTGCGTGCCCCCTACTTCCCCGTCTGCCACCCCAAGCAGAAGCTCCTAGCAGGCTCACAATGAGTTTTATTTTTCAGAGCAGAACGCGCTTGAGAATACCTCTGGTGAGATTGCAGTGGCTTGAAGAAGGTTTTGTTTTGAAAGGGAAAAACAACCAAGGGGAAAAGAGTGGAGACTTTTAGAGTGAGATTTCGGAGGCTCAGAGATGCCAAATGAGAAATGAGAGCTTTGGAAGGGTTCTAGAGAGAAATGCAAGCTTTCAGCTACATGGCATGGCATTTGCGGAGTACAGAGCACGTGCAGCCCCTAACCACGGGCGGGAGAGGAGCTTCTCCGTGAACTGCTCTCCACGCCTCTTTTATTAGTTAGACGAATTAGCTGCTGCGTAAGAAGTCTAAGACAGAAGGCACTGCTATCGAGAATGAAGCATTATCTGACATGCTTATGTCTATTTTATTCTGGGGCTCATCAGCACCCCACACTCCTCCCAGGCCGTTTCAAAGAGAAGGCACTACCTGGGGAGGCTGGCTCTGCCTCATCTGCGGCACGTCTCCCATTCCTCCGCCCATGGGACTCAGCTGCAGCAAGCTTCACACAGCACTTTACAGACTCCATCCGGTGCACTTCACAGCTGCGTGAAACTGCAGGCCCCAGCCTCCCTGCTCGGGGCTCCTCTTATCACTGCCCATCCTTGCCAGAGCAGCTGGGGTGTCAGCACGGGGCTGGGAGAGGAATATGGAAGAGGCTGGGAGGAGCCTGAGAAAGATGGAAAGGGTGGGGAGGAAGGAAACCCGGGCTGACAAATGCCACCTGCCTAAGAGGGTCCGCGTCCTAGGGAGGGTTCTGCTGTCCACTCCCTTCCTGAGCACTCATCCCTGGGGGTTCCTGCGTCTGTGTGAAGACAGGGAAAGGCTATCTTGGCTGAGGACTGTTGTGTGGTTACTCTCAGCCACAGAAGACAGCAAGAATGCGAACACAGCCGCCAGCAGGGGAAGGGGGCCCCCATCTCTGGCCGCTTGCGCTCCTGCTCACCTGTGCCGTGAGCGTCTACCCTGTTAGTGGCCCCTCTATGCACGGCCTAGTGCTCACTCTCTCTGCCTGTCTCTGTCTCGGTTTCTTTTTTTCTCTCTCATCTCGAACATACTTTCCAGCCATAAGCCTTCCTTTGACACCTCTGCTTCCAGCTGGGAGGCAAACCTCGGGGAGAGTCTGGCCAGGGTCTGGAGGCTCAGTGCCCTCTCTCCTAGGCTCCTGGGAACTCTATGCTTGATGAGGGGTAGGGCGAGTCACAGTTGTCCTTGTGGCTGGTGGAGAACTGACTTCAGCAGCCCTCACTGTCCCTCACCCCGAGTGCATCCCAAAGTCTCAGCTGAAGAAAAAGAAGTTGGCTGGGCACGGTGGCTCATGCCTGTAATCCCAGCACTTTGGGAGGCCGAGGCAGGCAGATCATGAGGTCAGGAGTTCGAGACCATCCTAGCTAACACCGTGACATCCCATCTCTACTAAAAACAACAACAAAAAATTAGTTGGGAGTGGTGGCCCGCGCCTGTAATCCCAGCTACTCAGGAGGCTGAGGCAGGAGAATTGCTTGAACCCAAGAGGCGGAGGTTGCAGTGAGCAGAAATGGAGCCTCTGCACTCCAGCTTGGGTGACAGAGGGAGACCCCATCTCAAAAAAGAAAAAGAAAAAAGAAGTTGGAAATTTTGCTTTGATCTCCATTCCAACTTCACCTACAACCCTTTCATGTTGTCATCTTTGATATCTGTGCCTACATCTCATTTGGCTTAGAATCTACAGAAACACTGAAATTCATAACGGCTAAGAGTGGCTGGGTATTTTACTATGTACCCGGCAAACAAGGGTTAAGATAATTTAGGCAAAGTGCACAAAGTCACTGGCTGGTCAGTGGTGGAGCCAGCATCGCCCCACAGCCTGGGTTTTTAGGCACTCCAGAGGACAGAGAATATGGAAAATGATGCAGGTAGGAAGCTGGTGAGAGACACAGAGAGCCCCAGGGAAGCGGTGCTCAGTGCCCTGCAGACAGGTGCAGATAAGGTTCTTTTTCCCCATGCCATGGCTGACCTAAGACACATGCACCACTACGAGAGGCAGAGACTTCTCAAACCATACAGCCTGCATTTGCTGGAATATCACTAATTTCAAACATTCTTTCTTGTTGCCAGACACTTCCAATGTGACTCTAAAAATCAAGTCAATGTGAGCGTAGAGATTTTGGAAGCTTGAGCCATCTGTCAAAACATTGAAAATATCGTTCAAGGACAAAAATTCATATATACAATTTCAGAAAATGAATTTTCTTCCCTCCGTTTCCCATTGCCAGCATGTAGGTTAAGTGGAGGTAAGGAAGATGGAGCTAAGAGAGAAAAAATAGTTTAAAGAATTTAAACAAAATCACCAGAGCATTTCAAATGCAGTGTTCATTTTAACTGAAATACAAAGCCGGCAGCCACCCTCCAGTTTGGTTCCAGGACCTCTCTGCAGGGCCCCTGCCTACAGCCAGCACCAGATGGAGCTGAGTGGCCTCCTTCAAAGTGGCCATCGGGAAGCCATAGTGGGTTCCAGGGCCCTTGAGGAGGGACGTCTCCTTCCACTGGCAGATAAGGGTATTGCTGACCTTGCTTACTCAGGGGCTGGAAGGGATATGAGACTTTGCAAAATTCTGCCCAGAAAGTTCTTGTATTCTGGGGTGTGTGGATCCCCAGAGTCTGAAATGCTTGTGAGTACTTTGCTGTCTTAGGTAAAGACTAATCTTAGGTAAAGACAGCACTTTGCTGTCTTAGGTTCGGAAGGGAATTAATCCCACCTAAAGATAGTTTGCAGTACTGCTAGCGCCTAACTTCTGGGAGCTCTTGTCTTGCTGAAACTAGAAAGGCTATTTTGGGCAATGTGCAGTGAAGGTAGATGTGGAAAGAAAATGGAGCCAGCTGATTTGAGTTTCAGGCCAAGACTCGCAGTTTGATCTTCTGGCTCTGTCTCTTCCAGTGACTGGCTCAGGGGGCTACATTGAGAACCTCCTGTGAAGTAAGGGCTCCTGGAGGAAGGAGTGAGCATGACCATTTGGGGCTGACTCAGTCCACTTGAATGACTTGTCAGTCTCTTGGAAAGGCAGAGTCCTTAAACATCACTGTGTCCTTTGAGACAGGGCCCCCTGACTTCACATATCTGTCATCACACTGCAGTTGTCCACTTCCCAAAAGCCTCTTTTATTATTTTCTGTTGTTATTTTATCTTTGTTTTTAATTTTTATTTCCATTTCAAGGGCCTATGTGGAGATTTATTACATATGTAAATTGTGTGTCATGGGGGTTTGGTATACTGATTATTTTGTCACTCAGGTAACATGCACAGTACCTGATAGGTAGTTTTTCCATCCTCACCCTCCACCCAGCCTCCATCCTCAAGTAGGTCCCAGTGCCTGTTGTTCCCTTCTTTGTGTTCATGTGTCCTCAGTGTTTAGGTCCCATTTATAAGTGAGAACACGTGGTATTTCGTTTTCTGTTCCTGCATTAGTTAGCTTAGCAAAATGGCCTCCATCTCCATCCGTGTTGCTGCAGAGGACAGGATCTCATTCTTTTTAATGGCTGCGTAGTGTTCCATGGTGTATATGTACCACATTTTCTTTACCCAGTCTACCATTGATGGGCATTTAGGTTGACTCCATGTCTTTGTTATTGCGAATAGTGCTGTGACAAACATAGGTGTGCATGTATCTTTATGGTAGAATGATTTATATTCCTTTGGGTATACCCAATAGTGGGATTTCTAGGTTGAATGATAATTCTGTTTTAAGTTATTTGAGAAATCATCACACTGCTTTCCACAATGGCTAAATTAATTTACCCTCCCACCAGCAGTGTATAAGTGTTCCCCAGAAAGCTTTTTTTTTTTTTTTAGTTTTTCTAGCAGCCTTGCACAGACATCAGCTGTTTGGATCAGTTCCCTCTAGACTTCCTCTCATCATTGCAGTTGATTCTAAAATCTGGGCAGAACAGGAAAGAAGGAGAAGGGACCAGAAGATAGAGAACTTCTGCTTCTTCTCATTTGTTATTCTATTTCTGTTGATACTTGCTTCAATTACTATAAGTAGCTCTCTGGCTTTTAGAGAATCTTCATGTATTTTCCCACCTTCACATCCAGGGACTCCAAGTTTCAGTTTAAGAAATCCTGGAGTAGTTGGTGGTATTCTACCCAGTCTATGAAATAAAGTAAGCAGGCTACACGTGAAATTTCTACCCACAGAAAAACTTTACAACAGCCTCTTTGGAAACATTCTTTGGGGAGTATGTCATTTACTAGGAAGCCGATTCTGGATAATGCCATAAAAAGGCTTACCTTAGCTCATATGCCAAATCCTTAATCAAATAACAACGTATAGCTGGAGCCTGCCAAGACTTGCTGGATAAAAGCCACCATGGGCCGGGCGCGGTGGCTCACGCCTGTAATCCCAGCACTTTGGGAGGCCGAGGCGGGTGGATCATGAGGTCAGGAGATCGAGACCATCCCGGCTAAAACGGTGAAACCCCGTCTCTACTAAAAATACAAAAAATTAGCCGGGCGTGGTGCGGGCGCCTGTAGTCCCAGCTACTCGGGAGGCTGAGGCAGGAGAATGGCGTGAACCCGGGAAGCGGAGCTTGCAGTGAGCCGAGATTGCGCCACTGCAGTCCGCAATCCGGCCTGGGCGACAGAGCGAGACTCCGTCTCAAAAAAAAAAAAAAAAAAAAAAAAAAAAAAGCCACCATGATTCCTCCCTACAGGACTATAAGAAGATGGAATCCAGTGCATTCTACACAATATGAATGAATAAGAGAGTGAGGAAAGTTCCTCAGTGAATCTGCTACAAGTACCTTAGATGATAAAAAGGCTGTTTCTTCCTATTTTTATTGCAAAGAGGTCTTTGCCAATTGGCGGAGCTTGCTGCTTGAATGAACAAATGTCATTCTAACTTTGAATGCTGCTGCTTTTAAAAAAGCCCATGCACATGTTCTCTGAACCAATCACAGACCAGTCATAAATGGTGTTAAACAGGCAGAGTCAGGCAACATGTCTAACTATGCCAGAGGGAAGAAAAAATGGAGAAAAATTGTACTTTCCTCATGAAAATAATATCTAAAACTCAAGATGCTAATAAAACCTAATGAAACTAAATTTCAAATTAGATTTTTCAGATTTTTCTGAATAGAAAAGGCAAAGGTTGCATAAGATTTATTATTTGATTTTTTCTTCCAATACCTCTATATTTATGAGAAAATGATCTAAATGGTTTAGCTTTTGCCTGAGTAGTTTAAATTTTTCAATATGGCTCCTTAGAATATTGGCAAGGGAGCACAGTTGACCATTTGGAAGGCCACCTGATCTAAATTCTAAGCACCTGAAGGATCATATCCAAAGGTACGAAATGATGCTGAGGTTTCTAGGGTTCTTCTGATGAGTAGGTATAGAGGCTGGAAGACCAGAATCCATCTATCTATTCACCCACCATCCGTCTATCCATTCATCCTAACATCCAATTATTCATTTATTAATCATTAAGAGAAGGGGTTGAGGGAAGGATATCTTTGAATTGGTCTTAGAAAACTGTGTTCTATAGGAAGTTACAAGTGACTCTCTTAAGGAAATAGAACATGACGTATTCATGAAAGAGATGAATTTCAAGGAATTAGGACAAAGACTCCCCAGTCCAACATGACTGCTCAGCATACGATTGATTCATGTGTTGAACATTGAGTCAGAAGCTGGCTTAAAGCTGAAAATAAAAAAGGCTCATGATGTGTGAGCTGTCTGAGCATCAAAGAGAGTGGTCAAGTGTGGGTTTCCCATGAAACTGCCGTATGACCATGAAGAAGGCTTGTGGTAAGGGAAACAAGCTGAAAAAGAAGCCTTTCTCACATCTTCAACCATTGCTTCAGAAGTTGTAAAACTCGAATAATCAGGAGTTTGCCAGCTAGAAAAAAAGGGAAATTTTCAACTTAATAGATCAACCTCTTTGTCAATGTTAACATATATTGTATTTATTAATTTAAGAATAAACTCTATGCCAAAATATTTGATAAGAAACTGTGCACAGAGAAAGAAATACTAGCTGATTCAATTGAGAATTTAATACAAGTAAAATCTATGTCAAACAAGGTAGATTATTCATAAGATAATTAATCACAGCCTTTCGTGTCAATAAGAGTTGGCAAAAGGATTGTTAATTCACTCAACAAATATTTACTCAAAGCAGGAGAACTTTTTCTGTGCTGTATGGAGCACTTCATGCTACTTCACCAAGGCTGATGTCATGTGGAAAATGGCCAGTGATTTTCGTGTCCACCCTGTAGTGTGAAAAGAAACATCAAATCAGGCTAGACCAAAGAAGCCACCCACAAGGAGTCCCTGGATGTGAAGGTGAGAAAATACACAGAGATTCTCTAAAAGCCAGAGAGCTACTTATAGTAATTGAAGCAAGTATCAGCAGAAATAGAAAAACAAATGAGAAGAAGCAGTAGTCCTCTACCGTCTGGTCCCTTCGCCTTCTTTCCTGTTCCGCCCAGATTTTAGAATCAACTGCAGTGATGAGAGGAAGTCTAGAGGGAGCTGATCCCTCTAGGGACAGCTGATGTCTGTGGCAAGGCTGCAAGGCCATTGCCCTTAAGAGTTCTTTATATAAGCTTTGGTGAGGCTCACTGCTGTAAACTATGAAGATGAAATGCCAGTGGCTCAGAATGGAGTTTACTTGTCTGTCATGTGAAAGTCCCAAATGGGCTTTCCTGGTCAGTGACTAGCTCTCCTCTATGCAATTATTCAGACTTTAGCCCTTTCCCTCCTATGGCACCTGGGCTTTCAAGTTCTCCAGGCTCATCTGCAACAAGCCAGAGTGGGAAAGAGCATGAAGGAAGATGTGCAGGAAGTCTACAAGGGCCTGGCTTAGTATCACACATCACTCCCACCCACTTTCCACTGGGAAACACAGCCAAGCCACCTAGATGTGGGGACACATAGTCTAGTGTGTGCCAACGATGGAGAGGAGACATATTTTGATGAATACAGCAGGCTTTGCTTACAGAATATAGCATTTCTTGAAAGCTAACCACGTGTCAAGGCCAGGTGTGGTGGCTCACACCTGTAATCCCAGCACTCTGGGAGGCTGAGGTGGGCAGATCACTTGAGGACAGGAGTTTGAGACCATCCTGGCCAACATAGCACAACTCCATCTCTACCAAAATACAAAACTTAGCTGGGTGTGGTGGTGCACACCTGTAATCCCAGTGACTCAGGAGGCTGAGGCAGGAGAATCACTTGAGCCCCAGAGGTGGAGGTTGCAGTGAGTCGAGATGTCACCACTGCACTCTAGCCTGGCAACAGAGTGAGACTTTGTCTCAAAAAACAAACAAACAAAAAAACAAAATATGTGCCAAGCACTGTTCTTGACATGGCAGGTTTGATTATTGCATTTCACAGAGAGCTAAGTCACTTGTTCCAGCTTCACAGCTGAAGAGTGGCAGAACTGAGTTAGAACAGGGCAGTGTGGTTTCAGATGGACCCTCTTCACCACCATATAGGAGGCTGTGTTCTACACTCTAACCACATCAGAAATTTAGTAGGGATTTTTGCACATTGATTTTGTATCCTGAGACTTTGCTGAAGTTGCTTATCAGCTTAAGGAGTTTTGGGGCTGAGATGATGGGGATTTCTAAATATACAGTCATGTCATCTGCAAAGAGAGACAATTTGACTTCCTCTCTTCTTATTTGAATACCCTTTATTTCTTTCTCTTGCCTAATTGCCCCGGCCAGAACTTCCAATACTATGTTGAATAGGAGTGGTGACAGAGGGAGTCCTTGACTTGTGCCGGTTTTGAAATGGAATGCTTCCAGCTTTTGCCCATTCAGTATGATACTGGCTGTGGGTTTGTCATAAATATCTCTTATTATTTTGAGATATGTTCTATCAATACCTAGTTTATTGTTTTTAGCATGAATAGGTGTTGAATTTTATCGAGGCCTTTTCTGCTTCCATTGAGATAATCATGTGGTTTTTGGCATTGATTCTGTTTATGTGATGGATTATGATTATTGATTTGCATATGTTGAACCAGCCTTGCATCCCAGGGATGAAGCCAACTTGATCGTGGTGGATAAGCTTTTTGATGTGCTGCTGGATTCAGTTTGCCAGTATTTTTTATTGAGGATTTTCACGTCGATGTTCATCAGGGATATTGGACTGCAATTTTTTCTGTGTATGTGTCTCTGCCAGGTTTCAGTATCAGGATGATGCTGGCCTCATACAATGAGTTAGGGAGGAGTCCCTCTTTTTCTATTGTTTGGAATAGTTTCAGAAGGAATGGTACCAGCTCCTCTTGGTACCTCTAATAGAATTCAGCTGTGGATCTGTCTGGTCTTCGGCTTTTTTTGGTTGGTAGGCTATTAGTTACTACCTCAATTTCAGAACTTGTTATTGGTCTATTCAGGGATTCGACTTCTCCCTGGTTTAGTCTTGGGATGGTGTATATGTCCAGGAATTTATCCATCTCTTCTAGATTTTCTAGTTTGTGTAGAGGTGTTTATAGTATTCTCTGAATACTATAGTAGTTTGCATTTCTGTGGCATCAGTGGTAATATCCCTTTATCATTTTTTTATTGTGTCTATTTGATTCTTCTCTCTTTTCTTCTTTATTGTCTGGCTAGCAGCCTATCTGTTTTGTTAATCTTTTCCAGAAAACCAGCTCCTGGATTCATTGATTTTTTAAAGGGTTTTTTGTGTCTTTATCTCCTTCAGTTCTGCTCTGACCTAAGTTATTTCTTGTCTTCTGCTAGCTTTTGAATTTATTTGCTGTTGCTTCCCTAGTTCTTTTAATTGTGATGTTAGGATGTCGATTTTAGATCTTTCCCACTTTCTGATGTGGGCACTTAGTGCTATAAATTTCCCTCTAAACTTTATCTGTGTCCCAAAGCTTCTATTATATTGTGGCTTTGTTCTCATTGGTTTCAAATAACTTATTTATTTCTGCCTTAATTTCGTTATTTACGCAGTAGACATTCAGGAGCAGGTTGTTCAGTTTCCATGTAGTTGTGTGGTTTTGAGTGAGTTTCTTAATCCTGAGTTCTAATTTGATTGCACTGTGGTCTGAGAGACTGTTATGATTTCCACTATTTTGCATTTGCTGAGGAGTGTTTTACTTCCAATTATGTGGTCGGTTTTAGAATAAGTGCAATGTGGTGCTGAGAAGAATGTATATTCTGTTGATTTGGGGTGGAGAGTTCTGTAGATGTCTATTAGGTCCGCTTGGTCCAGAGCTGAGTTCAAGTCCTGAATATCCTTGTTAATTTTCTGTCTCATTGATCTGTCTAATATTGACAGTGGGGTGTTAAAGTCTCCCACTTTTATTGTGTGGGAGTCTAAATCTCTTTGTAGGTCTTTAAGAACTTGCTTTATGAATCTGGGTGCTCTTGTATTGGGTGCATATATATTTAGGATAATTAGCTCTTCTTGTTGCATTGATCCCTTTATCATTATGTAATGCCTTTCTTTGTCTTTTTTTATCTTTGTTGGTTTAAAGTCTCTTTTATCAGAGACTAGGATTGCAACCCCTGCTTTTTGTTTGCTTTCCATTTACTTGGTAAATATAGACAAACAGCCAAATCATGTGTGAACTCCCATTCACAATTGCTACAAAGAGAATAAAATATCTGCGAATACAACTTACAAGGGACGTGAAGGACCTCTTCAAGGATAACTACAAACCGCTGCTCAAGGAAATAAGAGAGGACACAAACAAATGAAAAACGTTACATGCTCATGGATAGGAAGAATCGATATCGTGAAAATGGCCATACTGCCCAAAGTAATTTATAGATTCAATGCTATTCCCATCAAGCTACCATTGACTTTCTTCACAGAATTAGAAAAAAACTACTTTGAATTTCATATGGAACCAAAAAAGAGCCCATACAGCCCAGACAATCCTAAGCAAGAAGAACAAAGCTGGAGGCATCATGCTACCTGACTTCAAACTATATTATAAGGCTACAGTAATGAAAACAGCATGGTACTGGCACCAAAACAGATACATAGACCAATGGAACAGAAAAGAGGCCTCAGAAATAACACCACACATCTACAACCATCTGATCTTGGACAAACTTGACAGAAACAAGCAATGGGTAAAGGATTCCCTATTTAATAAATGATGTTGGGAAAACTGACTAGCCATATGCAGAAAACTGAAACTGGACCCCTTCCTTACACCTTATACACAAATTAACTCAAGATGGATTAAAGACTTAACATAAGACCTAAAACCATAAAAACCCTAGAAGAAAACCTGGGCAATACAATTCAGGACATAGGCAAAGACTTCATGACTAAAACACCAAAAGCAATTGCAACAAAAGCCAAAATTGACAAATGGGATCTAATTAAACAAAAGAGCTTCTGCACAGCAAAATAAATGATCATCAGAGTGAACAGGCAACCTACAGAATGGGAGAAAATTTTTGCAATCTATCCAGCTGACAAAGAGCTAATATCCAGAATCTACAAGGAACTTAAACAAATTTACAAGGAAGAAACAACCTCATCAAAAAGTGGGTAAAGGATATGAACAGACACTTCTCAAAAGAAAACACTTATGCAGCCAACAAACATATGAATAAAAGCTCATCATCACTGGTCATTAGAGAAATGCAAATCAAAACTGCAATGAGATACCATCTCACGCCAGTTAGAATGGCGATCATTAAAAAGTCAGGAAACAACAGATGCTGGAGAGGATGTGGAGAAATAGGAACGCTTTTACACTGTTCGTGGGGGTGTAAATTAGTTCAACCAATGTGGAAGACAGTGTGGTGATTCCTCAAGGATCTAGAACTAGAAATACCATTTGACCCAGCAATTCCATTACTGGGTGGTACATACCCAAAGGATTATAAATCATTCTACTATAAAGACACATGCACATGTATGTTTACTGCAGCACTGTTTACAGTAGCAAAGACTTGGAACCAACCCAAATGCGCATCAATGATAGACTGGGTAAAGAAAATGTGGCACATATACACCATGGAATACTATGCAGCCATAAAAAAGAATGAGTTTGTGTCCTTTGTAGGGACGTGGATGAAGCTGGAAACCATAATTCTCAGCAAACTAACACAGGAACAGAAAACCAAGCACCACATATTCTCACTCAAAAGTGGGAGTTGAACAATGAGAACACATGGACACAGGGAGGGGAACATCACCCACTGGGGCCTGTTGAGGGGTTGGGGAAAAGGCAAGGGATAGCATTAGGAGAAATACCTAATGCATGCAAGGCTTAAAACCTGAGGCAGGCAGATTATGAGGTCAGGAGATTGAGACCATCCTGGCTAACACAGTGAAACCCCGTCTCTACTAAAAATACAAAAAATTAGCCAGGCATGGTGGCAAGCACCTGTAATCTCAGCTACTCAGGAGGTTAAGGCAGGAGAATCACTTGAACCCGGGAGGCAGAGGTTGCAGTGAGCTGAGATCATGCCACTGCACTCCAGTCTGGGTAACAGAGTGAGACTCCATCTCAAAAACAAAAAACAAAAACATAAAAACCTACATGATGGGTTGATGGGTGCAGCAAACCACCATGGCACATGTATACCTATGCAACAAACCACACATTCTGCACATGTATCCCAGAATTTTAAAATATAATAAAAAAAAAGAAGAAAAAAACTACCAGGAATATTTACTAAGAATAGTACCTGACACATAGTAAGCACTCAATAAATATTTGCTATTAAATGAAAAAAAAAACCAATATTCTGTCAAAAAGAAAAGAAATTTAGTAGGGAACTGTTCTCAGTACAGCATGCTACCTCTCTCCCCCAAAGAGCTGGAAATGCCGACATAGCTGCTAGAGTCAGTATTGGGTAGTTGAGGGGGTAATCGTGTCTTAGGTGAGGTTGAGGTCCTTCCCAAATTATCAAGCTGTGTTAAGCAATACATGATTTAGAAAGAACTACTGATGAGAAATAAAACCTTGTCTTTAAAAATCTCCAGTGAAGGCAACATAAGAGCCTTCTTTGCTGATATCTTTGTCCATAACCAGTCAAATTAGGAATTTCCTCTTTCTAGCTCATGCTTCGTTACAGCATAAATTCTAGTTCCCTCTCCACTAAACATGGAAAACAGATGGTTTCCTTCCAACTTATTAGGCATCATATAAGGTTCACTTTTATTACGTTTCTCTCTTTTCACCCCTCCAGACTATGACTATTTCAGTTCTTGCCTCATCTTTCCTCACAGGGTCTCTAGTCTAGAGCTGTAAGCATTTTGAGGATGGTCTTAGAGTTCATCTCCAGTATTGCCGGAGGAGCTGGGATTAGACACAGAGCAGTGACCTAAGACCAGGAGGGCTAGATTCCAGGGCTGCCTCTGACTCTAATCGTGTGACCTTGGACTAGTGACCGAAACTTGTGAATTGGAGTTTCCTTATCTGAAGGAGAAATGAATGAGACAATTGATTCCTAAATTTCTTTGATTCTTAAACTTCTTATGAATCTTAATACTTCTACTCCATTAAAAAAAAAAAACTCTTGGCTTACAGCATACTATTTTACAAAGATTTTTTCTCTTTTCAAGTTCTGAAGGACTATTCATGACTGTTTTGTACTTTTTGGGTACCAGAATCTTGACTGTAATCATCAAAACAGACTCATCCAGTGTAAAAATCTGTATTTGATCACCGTGTGTGTGTGGTGGGGAGTGCCTCAGGGTCTTTTTAAAAAAAAAATTTAGGAGAAATGGTTAATATAATCACATGATTCAAAAGTCAAATATAAAAAGGTATAGATTGAGAAGCCTGATAACCACTCATCTTTTCTTCTACCCTGTTCTCTATCTCCCCATCACTTCTTCCCTGTAGGTAACTACTTCTATTTGCTTCTTGAATATTAGTCCAGTGTTTCTTGATGTAAATATGAGCAGATATATTCTGTCTGCACCTTTCCTTTTCTGCTTGTCTTTGACACCTTTCCACATCCATATTTAAACTGTGTCCTCATTGTTCCTTAACAGCTGCCTAGCATTTCATTACGTATGAGTGTCATAATTTATTAAACCCATCTTCTATAGATGGGTACTTGGGTTGTTTCCAATCTTTTGTTATTACAAAGTGAATCACTTTGTAAATATGACATTCTGTATGTGTGCAGTTACTTCTGTAGGATCAATTCCCAGAAGTAGAATTACCGTGTCAAAGAGTCAGTGAAATTATACTAGATATGCCAAGTTGTCCTGGAAGGTATTTTGTCATTCTGACATTTCCACCCTCATCTATGAGAGTGCTTGTTTTCCCATACCCTCCCCAGAGCCGATTGTCAAATCTTTGGGTTTTGCCAATCTAGTAAGTGAGGAATCTGGTAGGTAACTCTAGTTACTCTGGATTTTATTTTCTCTTATTAAGAATGAGGAAGTCAGGGCCCTTTGAAGACAGCAGAAGGATTTGTTAAGAATGGATAAGTCCACACCACAGCCAGAATTCTCTTTGTTTTAGTACATGTGCTCAAACCTGGAGGTTCCCAACCTAGCTGCACATTGGATTCACCTAGGGAGTGTGTAACAAATATGAGAGCCTCTAGGATACAGGTTCCGCTCAGCGTCTCTCAAACTGAGGCACTCAGATACACATCTGTTTGTTGATTTGTCTTTTTCTAGCTGTCTTTTCCTTATGCCACCTGGGAGCAGCTTGCATCTTTTCCTTTTCCCTAGCCATGGGGAGATGTTTAAAGTCTTTTTCACTTAGCAAGCATTGCTTCTTGCTCGGAAATGAAGCTGCACACACAGATTCTCTGTTGTGTGGCACGTAATGACAAGTCCCTCACAGCATCATTAAATACCTGCTTTGGTGGATTGGCCGTTCAGCCCTTCCTGCCTAGCATGTGCAGGTCCCCATGGCCTATAGTGTAGCAGAATCTGAAGGCTCATGCTCACTCTGTTCCTCTTTTGCTCTCCTTAAACATTTTCAGCTTTGCTAGTGTGTAACTGCTCTGGGTTTTCAGGGACTAAAGTTATTCCAAATGCCAAAAAATTATATTAATAGCATGTGTATATTCAAATACATACGTATTTATATATATATTCCTAGCAATAAAATTGTGAAACTTCCCCTTCACCAATGTCAGAAGCATGTTCTGTAACTGAGAACCATCACTGAGGAATTCAGCAAAGTGACAAAACCTTGGCTGCATCTCTCATACATCTGTCTAAAACTATGGTGGATAGAAGAGCTAAGATTCTGTTTCTTCGATGCCAAGAAAACTTTAAGATTTGATCCAAGTGGTACACAGGGTGTAAGTGGTAAAATGTGTTTGCACTTCTTTCCCATACCCCATAGAAAAAGCCATTCACCTCTTTCTTCTTCAAGCAGGGGAAGTGAATGGGCCTCAGCATGGGGGAGGATCTTGTGGGAGAACAAGACAGAAAGGGGCATGCTATATCTCTCAGAGTGGGAAAGATCTGCCCTTAGTGTCAACTACCTATCCCAGGGGCTTCCCTTGATTCCCTAAGTCAGCTGCTGAACTGCCTGGAGTATTAATAGATATAAGTGGGTGGAGAAGCAGAAGCCCCATGACCCCATGACAACAACACCCACTTCCTGCTCCACAGAGTTTACAGTGGTTACATCATAACTGCAGGAACCTGGTTTCATCCATCTTCAGCCACTCAGATAAAGAATGCTCTTGGAAGGCAAGAAGCAGTGACAATCTGTTCACTTGGTAACATCCTCTGAAGAGATCTGGGTCAGGTAAGCCAGGAATGGTGAGGTTTATCAAATGAACTTGGGGGGAGTAAATGAGAACCGTATTTGCAAATTACTGATCACTTTCCACTCTCTTTCTATTTCATAAATGACTCCAATGTTTTGTTTCTGACCACCTCTACGATGTGGAAGGGTGAAGTGAAGGCCATTAAAATGAGCAAAACTCTCACAGTTACTACCTCCAAGGGTGCAGATTTCACTCCTGTAAGCATAGTAATGTCCTCATTGCAATGAAGAGAATAGCTCTTTCCCTCTCCTCTTATTCTCACCCAAGAGGAATTGTGCTCTCTTTCATGGATGATGCTCAGGGAAGTAAAGTAAGTGTGCAGACAGACTCAGAAACCCAGAGCTCAGGGACATGTGCCATGCTGTAATTGGGTGATGCAGCTGTTGAGGCCACAGAGAACCACCGTACCCAAAATATAGCTCTGGGCCTGGCGTTCTCAGTAGGGCTATTTTCCTTTTGACCAAATACAGCCAGAAATGACGACCACAAATTTCAGTTGGCTGTGCTGTGAATTCAGAAGTTTCTTTAAAAAGTTTCTTTAAGGGAGTATGTGGAGTTGTATCTGGGAGTGATATTGAAAACAAGGGAATTTTTGAAATCAGCATTTTTGAAGCGATGGGATGTGATTTGCTTTTCACCACACAAGGCCTTCAAAAGATGTTCGAAGAAAGACCCAATATATCTCCTTGGCCTGGAGGTAAATTTTTATTCTTTGTGAAGTTTCTGGGGGAAAAAAACACCATAAAAAGCTAGCTGTTTAGCATCACAAATTCAAAACGGTTATAGTCACCAGATTTTAAATTTTTTACCTGATTGTTTGGGCACCCACAATGCCCAAGCCAAACATTTGTCTGGTTTTCTTTTGGGGGTAGCTGAAGAAATTGAGGTTTTTTCCCTTTTTGGCCTCTTCTTGACCTCCCCCTTCCCGGCTTAGTGCTACTTATAAGATGGCAAACCTTTCATTCTGAGTAATTGCTTAGCAGCGCCAGACACTACTGTTTCCCACAGTGTGTCTCCCCTGTCTCTGTGATTATGAGACAAAAAAGCGGGCGGCAGTGCTCAGGAAAGAGCTGGAAAATTAGGATCCCGAGAAGTGGCTGCCCAGCAACCCGAAGGTCTTGGAAGGCGCCAGATCCATTTCCTGCCTGAGCGTTTCCCTTTGCCCAGTCCCCAGAAAGAAACCCCATCTGTGCAGCTTTCTGCATCTCATTCCAATCCACGAAGGTTCTCATTACATTTTCAACATGAAACCTCAGCATTCAAACCTAATCATTTTAGGATGAAAATGAAAAGATAGCAAGGCCCCAGTCAACTGGAGCGATCGGGGGGCCCAGAGTTCCTAACGGAGCCATCTGCCTACCCTCTTCCCTCAGCAGTGAGGAATGGCCCCGAGGCTGGTTTAGACCACACCCTGCCTCTCCTGTCTTCCAGTCCCTGCTCACACCGCCCTCTGTGGGGTCCTGCCTGGAGAGCCCCCTCTCTTTTGTCAGCAGTCCTGATGGGAAACACAGGGGTTTAGAATCTTCAACAGGAAGCTGGCTGAGTCCTGGTCTCTTGGGATTTTTCCAAGAAAAGAACACAGGGAAGATGGCATTCTAACACGGCTCCAGGGCTCTGGCCGCCAAAGAAGTTTGTTCAGGGCTTACATTAAGAGGAATTTCATAGAACTAGGACACCAATAGGTTTTTAAATAAAATGTCTTTCTAGAGAGGGTTGGCCATAATGTGGGGAGACATGCCCTGAGCTTTTTTTGAGAGAAGCCCCCTCTAGACCCAGCCCAGTGGAATCCCAGCTGAAGTCCCCTGCAGAGGCAAAGGCCAGCTTTCAGCTCAGCACAGTGTGCTCGGGAGTTGAACAGTGGTCAAGCAGGTGTTACTTGGTCTAGAATTATCACGACCCTTGCTATTTGCATCATAGTGCACGCTCAACCTCATTTGCTTTTAGTCATTAGAAACCTTATTTCCCAAGGCATCAATTAGTGGAAAAGAGGGGCAGATTTCAGACATGGGAGCTGCAGGAGGTAACTGATCAGCCTGGTCTGCCTGGCCAGGGTACCAGGAAACTCAAGGGTAACCTTGCAAAGGCACTGGAGGAACGGGAGAAAGGTGGGTTAAGGGAAGCTTCCCCGCTGCTCCCAGGAGGCTGCCAGGGCCACCGGAAGTGGGAGTGCACCCCAACCTCAGAAAAGCAGAGCAGAGAGACCACCCTGCCATGCCAGCCCTGCGAGGGACCTGGCCATGGGGGAGGAACAATTCACTCTCAACAGAGGGTGAGGACACGAGAGCCTGTAAGTTGTTTCATGACATTTGCAGACTTGATTTGAACATTGTTTTGAGAATGGAAAGTTTTAAAATCATAGTGAAAAGAAGAATGGCTGTTCCCAAATCCTCCTTATCAGTGTCTGCTAAGCCACCGTGAGCAGATCTGCTCCTGCCCTCAGATCTGGACGTGGTCATGGTCATGGAGGACTCCTTGATCTGTTTCATCATTCCCACCAGAATCAGCCTGCGGGCTGTGAAAGGGCCTTCTCCAGGGGCTCCTCCAAGGAGAGCGAGCCCAGAAGGAAGCCCAAGTTGGAAGCAGCCGTGGGGATAAGCAGGAGCACCATTTATCTATCAGATCCCACCAGCTGTGAGTCTGGCTGAGCCGGGAGACCCTGACAGTCCCCCGCAAGAACATGGTGGCCGTGAGGAGTGGGCTGAATGTCTATATTCTCCTCATGCTAAGGGTTTTCAAACTGTAGATCACGAACCGTTTGTGGTTCATTGAGCGTGTGGTGATGAGCATTTACATAAGTGAATAAATAGAACAGAAAATAACCAAGTGGCTTTTCTGTAGTGAGGCTAGTGTTATTTCATAAAAACTTTATTTCAGTTGTGTGTTTGAATGTACTATGTATCTTAATCCATGACATAAAATGTAGTTCTTACTTTAGGCCAAGATCAGACAGGATTGAAATGGCCCTGTATTGCTAATGGGTTCCCCAGTGAATGTGGCTGAACAACCTTCATCCTGTATGAACCATGAGTGCCAAATTTAGAAAATATCAGACAATGATATGCTAAGCTTGTACAACAACCTTTTTGAACAAATGAAGGGAGAAAGATGACAACAGCCAGAACTTTGCTATTAGTGAAAACAGAAGAGTTTAAAAATTCAGAGCAGAGGAGATGTACTGGTGTCGTCCCACAGCTCCGCCAATGGTGTGGGGGAGCAGGTGTTCTCTCTCTGTTTACTTGAGGCCAGTATCAGTACTATTGTTCTATTGCTGGTCCTCTTGACAGTCTGCTTCCCAACCTTTCCAACCTCTCAATTAATTTAATTCTATTAATTTAATTCAATTAAAGTTGAATAAAATTTTAATTCAGGTGTTTGGTCACATAAGACCAGTGGCTACCACAGTGGACAGTGTAGTACAGAACATCACCACCAGTGCAGAGAGTTCCAGTGGACACAGCTGGTCTAGAGGTTTATACAAGGGGCTCTGTTGTCCCTCCAGAAGGTAGCCTATATCACTTCTGCCACATCCCATTGGCTGGAACCTAGTCCCTTAACCCCAACCTCACTGCTATACAAGTTGGGGTGTGTGGGAGAAGTTGGGAGAAGGCATCTTGAACACATCTCCCCGAATGCCAGAATGTCCAGACTTTCTTCAAACTGTTTCTAGCCCACACCTTTTGTTTAATGTTAGCATTTCCAACAAAATTCTGGAGTGATTTCAATCTCAGTTCCAGACATCAAGGTATAAAATTCTTTATCCTGGACTCCAATAAACTAATCAGCATAGTGTGAAAATAGTTTTGTCTCAGATGGGATTGAACCCTGCATGGGAGAGAGGAGGTGGCCCTTGGCCCCACCTTCAACCCACAATGTGCATCCTTGGCCAATCATCCCCCTTTGGCATTTCTTTTCCTAAGCCACAAACTGAGGCAATGGTTCTACTCTAGTCCATTCCTAACTCCCTTGCCAGTTGCAACCCTTCCTGTCTGTAGTCAAGTTAATTCTTTTTGTGTCTAGGAACAGTAGACTCTAGCTACTTCCTCTTTCTCTTGTGTTTTCCACTTGAGTTTGGTTTAAAATATTGGCTGACTCCTGTCTCAAGATCAAGATAAGCTCTGATGGCAGGTGGTCATGTACCTCTAGTCGGCAACACCCCAAGGTGGAATGTACTACTTTGGGGGTTGAATAAATTGTTGGATTGATTTCACTGAGTTGGAATGAGGGAGGTTGTCTGTATTTATAAATTATTTAGTATTGACGAGCCATTTTTCAACCAACCACTCCACTGTCTCTAAATTTAATTAATTCCATTCAATGTAGATAAAGCTCAAGGCTCTTGGCTGCAAGATATAAAGAGATAAGAACTGAATCAATGCTGTAGAATGTCAGGCTAGGGTCAGTGTTTGCCTCTGACATGGTGCTGGGAGAGGTTTGTTGGGTGAGTCGTAGAGTTTTGCTATCTGACATTGATCTCAAAGGATTCGTGACGACAACCGCAGAATATTTCCAACTTTCCCTTAATAACCTATTAATAATAAGGTCCATTATGCATGAATTGATCTGAATCCACTTAAAATCTATTTATATTTTCCCCTGACATTCTTAGCATAATCTGCTCCATATGTTTACAACTTAGTGTAGTAAACAATATTTCCTCTATTTGTCACCACGACAATCTCTTTCGACTTAAGCTTAGGGTTCCAAGATTTTGAGACTGGCCAGGCCCTTCTCTGACATCTTCCTCCTGAAGTCTCCCAGCCCCTTCTTTTCAGGCAGAGGCATCCACTTGTGTGAGGCCCTCCTGCTGGTGGAAGCTGCTCATTCATGGGACCCTGGGGTCGCTTGCTTCCTTGTCCCTCTCTGGGCTGTTAGACGTTCTTTTTGATGTTTGGAAGTGGAACTATCTACAATATTCTAGAAACAAGCCATGGTTTTCTTGAGACTCCCTTTTTCAAAAATTATAACATCTTTGTGCTTTTTGATTCAGATTTCCTTAACACAAGGATTCAGAGTGATATCTGGGTTATCAATAATACTCATATGAATTCTATTCAAACCAAAATAGGCCTCACAGTTCACCAGAGAGGGCCCCTCGTCTATCTAAATTCATAAAATAATTCCCTGAGAACCTATTGTAAATCTACTCTAAGAGGGCTCGCTACTTATAATAATCTCCTAGTTAGAGAACAAATATATATATATACACACACACAAGAAAAAAGTAGTGAGAAAAACAATAAGAAACATCTATGTAGTGACTTAATTGTGGGATAATTAGAAAACCAGCCTGTAGTCTTATGAAATTCAAATTAATTTGAAACAGGTCAGAGAAGAAAATGTTGTAAGCTTCATGAAGAAGGCAGGGCTATAGCTAGGTCTTCAAAGATAACAGTCAAATAGAAATCCACAATAAAAGAAGATTATACAAAGAACGTTTATTAGGTGCTACCTAAACATCATTACAATACTTGGAGGTAGGAAAGATCATTTCCTTTGGTTAAGATGGGGACCTGAGACGCGGAGAGGCTGAGGATCTGGCTAACGCCTGGTCCCACTCCATGTCTTCTGGCCGCTGCATTCGGAGCTTGCTCTCAGAGGCCCTGGGCTGAGCACAAAGTTCGGCGTGAACCTTTGCCCGGACCTTCTTTGCACCGTGCTTCCTGAATTTCCCCGATTCTCCCGGCTTCTGACATCCTGAATTGCGTTCCCAGTTACGGTATTGCTGCCCCTGTGGCCTGGGGCCTGGTCCTGCCCCCATTGTCTGGCCGTTTGCAAAATTCTCTGTCCCAGCACAGGCTCCACGTGTGGCCACTACATCAGGGCTGCCAGGCCCCGCCCCACCCTGCTGACGGGACCTGACTTTGGTGTCAGGAGGGGATCTCACACCTGCTGGATTTTAAACTCTGTGTTTTTCCCTCCCTGCAGATCCCCTCTGAGAGAAAAGTTAGGGTATCTCTGGTGGGAGAGGAATGGCGGGTGGTCTGTGGCCGTCACTTGGCTTCCGGCACTAACCTTTAGGGACATGTTTGCTGTTCCTCATACACTTTCACAATTTAAACGATGTAGTGGATAAAAATTTCCCAGGATTGGCCGGGCGCGGTGGCTCACGCCCGTAATCCCAGCACTCTGGGAGGC
This sequence comes from Homo sapiens, assembly GCF_000001405.40. Lineage (NCBI taxonomy): Eukaryota > Metazoa > Chordata > Mammalia > Primates > Hominidae > Homo > Homo sapiens. The sequence goes on from NC_000018.10 coordinate 10,267,828, forward strand.
CGAGGCGGGTGGATCACCTGAGGTCAGGAGTTTGAGACCAGCCTGGCCAATATGGTGAAACCCCATCTCTACTAAAAATACAAAAATTAGCCAGATGTGGTGGCGGGCGCTGTAGACCCAGCTACTCGGAAGGCTGAGGTGGGAGAATCTCTTGAACCCTGGAGGCGGAGGTTGCGGTGAGCTGAGATTCCGCCATTGCACTCCAGCCTCGGCAACAGGAGTGAAACTCCCTCTCAAAACAAAACAAAACAAAAACAAAAACAAAAAAAATGCCCAAGATCCATGGAAGTGGAAAAAGTGCTCTATTTCTTTATTTTTTCTGAATCAAATAAAATTGGACTTAATTTTCTACTATGCAAGCTTAGGGAAAAATTCTATTTCAGCCATTGTTCAGGGCTTTCTCCCTCTCCCTCTCCCCTCCTCTCACTCCATCTTTGGATTGTACAAGGAAGGAACTCATTGTATAATTCAGTCAGTCTGTGCTCCTGCGCTCGGCAGTCTGCTCCTCGGTCCGTTTGGAGGTGGGCAGTTTTTGGGTCCCTCCAAGCTGGCCCAGTGAGATTCCCTCAAGGCCCCCTGTGGGGGTGGTTAGAGCCTCACCAATCCCACTCCCTTCTGGGCGGACACACCCCAGCTTACGTAGTGGTGAGGTTGGGTTTAAGGAACTGGGTTCCAGCCAGTGGGATGTGGCAGAAGTGATGAAGGCCACCTCCTGGAAGGGCAATAAAGCCCCCTGTGTAAACCTCCAGGCCAGCTCTGTCCACCACAACTCTCTGCAATGATGAAAATGTTTTATATCTGTGCTGTCCACTGTGGTAGCCACTGGCCTCATGTGACCAAAGACTTGAATTTAAAATTTTATTTAATTTTAATCAATTTAAATTTAATTAGCCACATGTGGCTAGTGGCTACCACGGTGGGCAATACATCTCTTTACTATTAATTCTTTCCTGTTCGACAGTGTCCTTGGAAGTCGTGTGTTCTGCAAGGCATAGCTACAAGATTGAAGCAGCCTGGGGCCTTTGGTAGCCATATGGAGAAGAACTAACCAAGGAAGCTGCTTTAACAGCAGCTTGACTCTCTTTGTATTTCAGAAGTTTCGGAGTGTATCTGTAATGCAGCATAACTTGGCCTATCCTGACTACTAAAGCTCCCAAGGCCTCACAGGTACCCGTACTGCTGTCCCATCTGAGTTCCTTCCCAACCCAGTCATCCAGCCAGCTCGGGTTCCTGGACTGTGGAGCCCACACCTGCCCAGTTCTTTTTCGATTTCTTCTTTAGTCAATCCCTTCTCTCTTCAGCCTTTGAACTACCCAGACTTTATCCACATCTACCCCGCTGGGACAACCTGGCCTAATTATCCTCACTGGGCCTACACCTGGGGGATAAAAAGTCTATTTTGGTTTTTCCTCCTAGGCCCTGCCTAGCAACTTCTCTTTTTTTCAACTCTATTCTTGCCTAATTAGTCTGCCACAGTGAAAAACAAAGCACAAAATCTCTGAATAAGTACTGTACTAAATTATTAATAAATCATCTAGCTTTAACTGCAATTGCAGAGCTCTGGGAGTGGAGATAAGGGAAAAAATTATTTTCCTTTATTCATGCCAAGTTGGCACTTTGGTCAAAGGCCTGAGATCCTGGCATGGGAAGTTCCACGGAAACAGTTTATTCAAAAGTATAACTTAGCTGGGGCAGGGAACTCAGCTCTCACCCCACATCCACCTGGGTCCAAAATCAGCATCCCATAAAATGAATGCATTCCATGGTGTGTTTAGGAAGAAGTACTTATTTTACTGAAATCTTCAGCAAATGAAAAAACAGAGATGAAAGATCCCAGCTCACACCTCTTAGTAAATTAAATTTCCCATCCAACTTTTTTTTTATTCCACTCCCTACTCCTGCTGCCCACATTTTTCTCCCCTGCCAGTGGTGTCTTTTCTCCTCTTACTTACCCCTTGTACAGCCTCTAAGAATTCCTTCTTACATCCTGAGCAACTTAGCTTTCCCCCTCAACTTGTATCCCTCATTCAGCAAAACAAAAGGTCCTGGAGTTAGTGAGACAGTCATGATGTTTCCTCACATGGGTCCCTGGTGAAGTGGGGTCAGCCACCACCCACCACCTCCTAAAGCAGTTTAACAAAAACAAATAATACTATCAACCCTATTGTTAGAGAGGAACGTTAACAGTTTTCGGCCACAGCCTGGCCATCTGCCTTTTTCTTCCTTTCAGATTGTCTCATGTTATCATTCTGCAGGAGGGGACACCTTTCTTTGTTAGTGACTGCAGCTGAAGTCATCTACGTCCTGAGATGTTGTCCTTTGAAGGGTGCCTGCCTTTCTTGACCTGGCCTGTTTGTTCTCCCCCAGTCATAACACAGCTCCTGCCAGTTCTCTGGCCTCCGTGAACTCTCAGCTTTGACTGCAGCTGGATGGCAGGAAGCTTGTTCTGGCCAATGCTCATTGTTCCTAGAGTTTGTTACTACATTAATGGTTCAAAGCAATCATCTTCTTTTGCTCTCATTTTGGAGTCCCGTGTGTTTTCCCCATCCGCCTCTATTATCCCGAGCGCCTTATTTTTCCTCTTGATCCAAACCAAACACTGTTTATCAGTCATAGGAAGGACTTTGCAATGTTTCTGCCCACAGTGCAGCGTGATACACAGGGCTTCCTGTGTAAGCGTGGCCTCACTCCAAGACAATGGAATAAGCCTGCAGGGTAGATCAGAGAGTCCTAGACTGGAATCGCTTGTACTGGGGCCACTGAGACAGATCTGTCCTTTCTCTGCCTGTGTCATTGATCCACAGAGAGGGCCTCAGATGTTAACTTCAAAAGCTAGGGGTGATCGGACCTTTCTCAGGGAGGACCTGGTTTGCATTGAGGGCGGCTCAATAAAGAACAAGAGGAGTGATTCCTGTTGAGCAGCAGAGGTTGTAGAAACGCTTGTACTTCTAAAGCTACTCTGAGCCTGATAAAACTCATGGGGTGCTATCCCCCTGCAGCCCACTGGAGCTGGAGGTGGTTGATAGGGTCGCATCCACTCTCGCTCTTTGGAGACATCTGTAGCTGTGGGCAGACCCCTTGCCTGACTGAGGAGGCCGAAGGAGAGAGACATCCTTCCCATCGCAGAGCCTCTGCTCACCATGCATGTGAATTTGTCAAGCTCCCTCACCTGCCAGGGGCCGTGTTTCTTTATCTGTAACCCAAGGAAGCTGGACTCTTGATCCGTCATCCTGTGCTATTAGGGGGGATTCTGTAAAGTGCTGAGTAGATAGTACAGAATGTGCAGGTGACTTGGCTCATGTATCAAATGATGAACACTCATGGAGTCCCTCCTGGGTGGTAGTAGGAATGGTGCTGGGCACTGGGAATACAAGGACAGCTAAGAGACAGTCTTTGCCCTTGAAAAACTCACAGTCTAGTAAACAACACACGAATAAACAAATAATTGTGATTCAACATGTAAGTGGTATACTCTATGTAGGTGAGTACAGCGTGCTTGTAGGAGCCTAGAGAGGGGCTGCTGCTGCTGCCTGGAGGCCTGAAGTGGCCTTCTAGAGATATTTGATCTTTACCAGGCAGAGAAGAGGCTGCGGGAGGCCCATGAAGAGTGTGTTCCAGTTAGAGGAACAGCCTGAGCACAGTGCGTTGTTCTTGGAAAGTGGCCGTCATCTCCCTACTCATCCGTAGTTGCTGCTCCCCAAAGCCGGCCACATGAGCCCATCTCTGGTTCATGCCTAAGGGGACCGGGGGCAGACATGTGGTTTCAAAGAAGCCAGCTTATAGCTTGTTTAGGGCTCCATGACTTGTGGCCTGGATTGCAGAGATGAGCTAGCCAAGCCAGTCATGGCTCAGGATTTTCACATTGGGAAACAAGGAGACTGTTGCCAGTTGTCTGGGGGAACTGGGGTGACTTTGCATGAAAGGAGAGGCTGAGGCAAATCATGGGGGCTGAACCATGGGTGTGCAGAGTTGTGCTGGAGTGTAAACCATGGAGAGCAGAGCAGCACAGGGATGAGGAGGGAACTGGCCCCATAGCAAGACTTTGTGTTTGCCTCTTCCTGGCCTGGTGGGTTTTGCTGTTTAGCCTTTCTTTTTGGGCTCCTTGCATCACATGTAAAGTCAAAGTTCAGGCTCTGTACACATGCATGCATCATCCTAGGGCTGTCATTTCTACCAGATAATTCCTTTTCCAACCACAGCCTTGGTGAACGGCAAACTTCTTTAGAGCTTACCCTGGTCAACAGATAGAATGTATGCAGTTCTTTTCTCAGCCCTTCAGGATTTTAAGCAGGTAGAGAGGTTCTCACGTCCCTCCGGTGTGGTCTGTTCCTGCTGGATCTCACTCTCCTCCTCAGACAGTAGAGCTTGGACCCCCTGCCATCAGACCCACTTGGTCTGAATTCCTGTTGGGTTTCATCTTTTACCAACTGCTCTGAATGTGAGCTGGCACATGGGGGATTTCTCTCCTAGTTTCAAGTATGTATGGAGACCAAAATGTTATCTTACTGCTTTCCACAGCCATTCCATGTTTTGGGACCAGGACAGGTGTAGTGGGCTCTGTATTCAGCTAAGGCCTGAGCTTGGTGCAACGCTATTGTCTTTCCCAGAGCTCTGGCATTCTTGGGTGAAACTTACCAGTCTTTAAGTTGTACCTTGCAATTAAAAGGGCTCCAACTAGAACAGACATGTTGTGGTCAGGGAAAGACATGATGACGAGGGTAGTGATGAGTAGCTTTATCTTTGGGAGTTCACAAAGTTTTAGGCCAGGTATGATAGAACCTGTGTGTGAGAAGAGCATAGCACCAGAGATTTGAAGGAAAAAGACCCATCTGGGAGTGGGAACGGGGAAGAGAAGGGAGGCAGAGTCATTCTACAGCCGTCACGCTAATCCAGGTGAGAGGTGATGAGGTCTTGAACAGGGGCAGTGTAACAGGGTTATTTACAGAAAAAAAAGAGGCTAACATGTATGAGTATCTGATCTGTCTACACTAGTCCTTTTCCATGTGTTTGCTCATTTAATGTTTATAACACCCCTGAGACCTCCATATTTAATTATTATCCCCATTTTATAGATAAGAAATTACAAGCTCTGAGAGATTAAGTAACTTGATCCAGGTAATATGACTAGGAACTGATTGAGTCAAATTTGAACTTAGGTCTCTGACACCATGGCCATCCATATTCTTTTTTTTTTCTTAGAGACAAGTTCTTGCTCTGTTGCCCAGCCTGGAGCGCAGTGGCGTGATCATGGCTCACTGCAGCCTTAACCTTCTGGGCTTAAGTGATCGTCCTGTCTCAGTCCCCCAAGTAGCTGGGACTACAGGTATGTGCCGCCACACCCAGCTAATTTTTAAAATTTTTGTAGAGACTGTGTCTCGCTATGTTGCCCTGGATGGTCTTGAACTCCTGGGTTCAAGTAATACTCTTGTCTTGGCCTTCCGAAGTGCTGGGATTACAGGTGTGAGCCACTGCACTTGACAATATTCTTTTCTTTACATAAGGACTTATAAAATAAGAATTGGCAATATTTGTATATGGAAGATGAGGAAGAGAGAAGGAGAGAGAAGAACTCTTGAGGTTACTAGCTTGGGTAGCTGTGAATTGGTGATGATGCTAAGTGAGAGAAGGGATACAGGAGGCAGAACATGCTTGGGGAGGAAGGAAATTAGTCCATTTTGTGCAGTGCTTGGAAGTCATCCAGGTAGAGATTTCTAGTGAATAGTTGGAAATATGAGTCTGGAGTCCAGGAGAGAGTTCAGCTGGAGACATCCCTTTTGGTGTCGTTGGTTAACTGTTAGTTATAGAAACCAAGGGAGAGGATGAAATTCTTTAGTGAGTTTGTGAAGTAAGTGGAGAGTCAAGGATGTAACAGGGAGACATCAACATCTAAGGAGAAAGTGCAGAAGGGGCCAGAAGAGGGGGTGAGAAGAGTGGTGAGAAAGGTAAGCACAGAATGCATAGGGAGCAAAATCTCAAATACTAAAAAAGGATATTAAAAAAATAAAGAGGAGGTTTTTAATATTAACAAATGCAAAAGAGATCAAATAGGATATAGACTGAAAAGAAGACCTTGGGTCTGTCATCTAGGAGGTCATCGATGAGCTTTTCAAGGACAAAAAAAGAAGTGATTAATTCTGCCTGGGGCTGGCTAGAGAAAGGTTCTGAAGGAGAGCTGATATTTGAGTTGGACCATTCAACATTGGTGAGATGGTGACAGGCAGAGAAGAGGGGAAAGGCACCTCAGGCAGAAGGAGCAACACAGGAAAAAGCAAAACCCCAAACGAAGAGATCCTTTGGAATTCCATTGCGCTCTTTGGACTTTTACAGGCAGCATCAATCTGGCAGCACGAGTCTATTAGGCCATGTTTTGTTTTCTCCATGTTGGAGAATCTTAAGGTTTCTTTTTCTACTGTAGACATAATAATTGAGATTGGGAAATATAATTGGTGTCTTCCAAAGAGACATATGGTTCAATATTTTATGAAAATAAGAGTTCTAAAAAAACAGAGGAAGTGGGACGACTCTGCAAATCCATCTCATAGAGCATGTCATAATTTGGAAAGGTAATATGTGCTAGCTGTTGTCACAAATGGCTCCCGAACTCTCAGAGGCTTAAAACAATCCAAGTTTAGTTCTCACTCACATGGAGCCTGATGGGGTCCAGCAGCTCTTCTGGGCAGCTCTCCTTCATGTAGTGACTCAGAGATCTGCCCTCCTTCTACATGTGCTCTGCATTCTTGGATCCTTTCAGTCCCAGCCATGTGGACAGGAAAAGAAACCATAGGGAAATCATACCAGATGCCGAGTCTGGAAGGAACATTTCACTGCCGTTCACATTCCATAGACCATATTCGGCAAATGGCCCACCCTACCTAACTGCAGAGGAGACCCGAAAATGTCCATGAGCACATTGGTATGGGTGAGCACTAACGGTATATGCCCACTGATGATTGATTATTAAAATATTGATTATTAAAATTTTATTTGCTTCACCTGAAAAATGTGAATGGATTTAGGCATTGTCCATTTTCTACATTTTGCAGATAGCCTTGCTCCTCTGATTCCTTGGGGCTCAATAGTTCAGACTGTTATTAAAGGCAGATTTTTGTATTATAAGAACTCTGCCCTGAGGCTGTGAGCGACTTGAGTACAGGGTTAAAAACTATAGAATTATGTTTCTAGGGGTTTTCAAAGTGAACTGAGTTCTCAAGGTAAATTCAATTTCGTGGGTTTAAGGTGAATCAGTCGTTGTGGTTGGCATCATGGAGCATGCTACAGCGGAAAAGAAGGTCTTTAAGGAAGATTACATCTACCATGCAGGAATGGGTGGGAATGAAGTGGGAATGGGCATAGGGGTGAAGGAGAATGGGTTTCATGTCATAATGGTGCAATATCAAGACTGTGTTTTGCATATTCAACCAAGTCAATCTTAATTTTGGGCAAATAATATTGTAAAAATGTTTACAGCAATTTTTTTAAAAAAATACACTATTCTTTTTTATTTTTCTATGTTTTCCCGCAGTTTGTCTTCATATGCATGCAAAACCTTCATGTAGCGGGGCTCATCGCATGCATCTTTGATTCTAGCGTTTTCACACATCACACCGTCTACCGTCTCCCACCCCAACTCTACCTATGCTTCTCTCCTTTGGCTCACCCCATTCTGATCACATGGATAATCCCCTTCCTGACCTATCAAGCTCTTTCCTATCTCAACATGTTTGTAGCTGATGTCCTCTGGGATGCTTTTCACTGAGCTCTTCACATGACTGGTTCATTCTTACTTTCAGGTCTTGGCTCAAAGGTCATTCCCCTCAGAGGGAATTTCCCTGAACATCATATGAACAGAACGCCTTCCCATTCTTCTCTATTGCATCATATCACATCATCACGCTTATTCGCATCATGTCATTTTTCACCATCTATAGATATATTTCATTCCTTACTTATGTTTATGTTTGCCTCACTAGAACATAGCTTCTGTAATGAACATTATTATGTATGTAATCTTTCCTCTTCTTTGAATTATTCCTGTGGACTCTTTTCCTGAATAAATTCTCAGGAGTGAGATTATTGAATTGAATATTGTGAACCTTCTTATTGTTTTTGAAATACGGTTGCCATAGCACTCTCCAAAAGTTGTATCGATGTACACTGCCATCAGCGAAATGTCTTTGTACCCATTTTACTACATTATAAATCATTGTCAGTACTGGGTTATACACACACATGTGAAATTTGGCAAAATGACTAGGTGTATTTAAGGATTGATTTATGAATCATTTGAGATTAACAATTACTTGAGCATGAGATAATATCCTGCATACTGAATTCTTCAGGCCAAACTTTCAAGATAATATATTTCTTTATTAGTATTTTTTTAATCAGTTCTCTATCCTGCAAGTAATGAAGCATCCTCTGGAGGAGCATCAAAGCAGAGAGAAAGCACCCAGCCATCCTGAGAACCACATCACTCTCTCCACCAGTCATTCAGCTATGCCTCTCAATCATCAGAGTTACGAGTCTGCAAATTGGAGGCTTCAAATGTCTTTAACTGCTTAGAATATGTGGGTGAGGTATAATTTCGCTTTATTTAGCTTATTTACTATCAAAATAAGCAAGTTAGATTTATAGAAAATAACTAGGATCTCTGAGGCATGAAGCAGGGTATCAAATACAGGCAGACTTCGGAGATGTCGTGGGCTCGGTTCCAGATCACCACAGTAAAGCAATGTCACATGAATTTGTTGGTGTCCCAGTGCATATAAAGTTATGTTGACAATACTGCAGTCTAGTAACTGTGCAATAGCATCATGTCTAAAATAATTTATATAACTTAATTTAAAAATACCTTCTGTTAAAAAATGCTAACGATCATCAGAGCCTTCAGTGACTTTCACTCTTTTTGCTGGTGGAGGGTCTTGTTTTGATGTTGATGGTTGCTGACTGATCAGGGTGTTGGTTATGGCAATTTCCTAAAATAAAACAACGATGAAATTGGCTGCAGTGATTGACTCTTTTTTCTCACAAGAGATTTTTCTGTAGCATAGGATGATGTTTGATAGCATTTTACCCATATTAGAACTTTTATAACTGGAGTCAATAGTCTCACACCCTGTCCCTGATATATCAGCTAAGTTGACATAATATTCTAAATCCTTTGTTGTCATTTCAGCAATGTTCAACAGCATCTACAACAGGAGTCGTTTCCATCCCAAGAAACCACTTTCTTTGCCCATCATAAGAAACAGCTCCTCATCAGTTCATGTTTGATCGTGAGATTGTAGCAATACGGTCACATCTTCAGACTCCACTTCTAATTCCAGTTCCCTTGCTATTTCCACCACCTCTGGAGCTCCTTCCTCCACTCAAGTCTTGAGCCCCTGAAAGTCATTCATGAGGGTTGGAATCAACTTCTTCCAAACTGCTGTTAATGCTGATCTTTTGATCCCCTCCCGTGAATTGCAAATGTTCATAATGACATTTAGAACAGTGATTCTTTTCCAGAAGGTTTTCAATTTACTTTGCCCATATCCATCAGAGGAATCACTATCCATAGAAGCTACACCCTTGCAAAATGGATTTCTTAAATAGTAAGACTTGAAAGTCAGAATTACTCCATGATCCATGGGCTGTAGAGTGGATGTTGTGTTAGCAGATATGAAACATTAATCTCCTTGCACACCTCCATCAGAGCTCTGATGCGCCTTAGACCAGGTGCATTGTCAACGAGCAGTATTTTGAAAGGAATATTTTTGTCTGAGCAGTAGGTATCAACAGTGAGCTTAAAATATTCAGTAAACCATAATATAAATAGATGCACTGTTATCCAGGCTTTGTTCCATTTATAGAGCACATGCAGACTAGATTTAGTATCATTCTTTAGGGCCCTAGAATTTTTAGAATGGCAAATGAGCATCAACTTCAACTTAAAGCCACCAGCTTCATGAGCCCTTAAAAGACAGTCAGCCTGTCCCTTGATGCCTTGAAGCCAGGCATTGACTCCTCCTCTCCAGCTACAAAAAGTCCTAGATGGTATCTTCTTCCAGTAGAAGGCTGTTCCATATTCACTGAAAATCTGCTGTTTGGTGTAGCCACCTTCATCAGTGACCTTAGCCAGATCTTCTAGATAACTTGCTGCAGCTTCTCCATCAGCGCTTGCTGCTTCACCTTATACTTTTATGTTACAGAGATGGCTTCTTTTTTTAAACCTCATAAACCAACCTCTGCTGGCTTCCAAAGTTTCTTCTGCAGCTTTCTCTTCTCAGCCTTCATAGAATTGAAAAGAGGAGCTTGATCTGAGTTAGGCTTTGGCTCAAGGGAATGTTGCAGCTGGTTGCATCTTCTATCCAGACCGCTCAAACTTTCTCCATACCAGCAATAAAGAGTGTTTTACTTTGTTATCATTCATGTATTCACTGAAGTGGCACTTTTAATTTCCTTCAAGAATCTCTCCTTTGCATTTTCAACTTGGCTAACTGGTGCAAAAGGCCTAGCTTTTGGCCTATCTTAGCTTTCAACAAGCCTTCTTCACTCACTGGCTTAATCATTTCTAGTTTTTTCTTTCCTTCCTTCCTTCTCTTTTCTTCCTTGCTTCCTCTTTCTTTCTTCTCCTTTCTTCCTTCCTTCCTTTCTCTCTCTCTCCTTTCTTCCCTCTCTCCCTCCCTCCCTTTCTCCTTCCTTCCTTCCTTCCTTCCTGCCTGCCTGCCTGCCTGCCTGCCTGCCTTCCTGCCTGCCTCTCCCCAAGCTGGACTCCAACTCCTGGGCAAAAGCCATCCTCCCACCTCAGCCTCCTGAGCAGTTGTGACTACATATGTGTGCCACTATGTCTGGCTTATTTTTAGATTTTAATTGCAAATGAGAGACATATGACCCTTTCTCTTGAACACTTAGAGGCCATTGAGGGGTTATCAATTGGCTAATTTCAGTATTGTTGTGTCTTAGGGAATAGGGAGGCCTGAGGAGAGGGGAGAGGTAGAGGAACAGCTGGTTGGTGGAGCAGTCAGAACACACACAACGTTTACTGATTACATTTACTGTATTATATAGAGGAACAGTTTGTGACTCCCTCAAACAATTACAGTAGTAACATCAAAGATCACTGATCACACATCATCATAACATATAATAATAATGAAAAAAATTGAAATATCATGAGAATTACCAAAATGTGACACAGAGACATGGAGCATGTGCTGTTGGCGGCATGGCACCGATAGACTTGCTCGATGCAAGGTTGCCCCAACTCTTCCATTTGGAAAAAAATGCACTCTGCGAAGTGCAATCAAGCAAAGTGTAATAAAACGAGGCGTGCCTGTACAATTCTACAATATTCATAAAGGCCAGAGGATTGTTATTTTACTACTAATAAGAAGTAAAGAGGGCTTCTCTAGTTCCCAAAGAAAAGAATGGGTCAGTAAATGAATTAATAGAGAAATAAATATAATTTGAATGCCTTGCATAGACCCATAGTGATAAAGTGCTAAGAATCGGAAGAGTATGTTTAACACAATCTTTATGCCTGATGTCCAACACAAGCGACAAAATAGAACACAAAAATGGAAACACTGAGGTCCAGGCCCGCTCTGATTTTTCTCAATTTAACCAGTGTTTTTTATTCACATATGTTGTGCTATGGAGGATGACATAAAGATACAGTGATGGTCCTTGAAGTCTTTTTGCTTCCCTGGTTTTCCTACATGCTGGAGCTTAATGAAGGTTCAATAATGCCTTGGTTTCCAACTTCCAGGAGCTGACAGAAATAGAGATGCGATTTTATCAAAATACTCAAGGATGTGGCTTCTTCAAAGCAAAGAGTCTGCAGTGAGAGAAAGGGAGGCCATGTGGGCTGAGGAGAGGCTGGAAGGTGGAGCTTCTCCACCACGCTCAGAGCTCTGCCCTTCCCTTACCTGTGGCCTTGGAAGAAACTGGGCTCCCCTGGGGACTTCGGTTGCTTCTTTTGTGCTATGCGGAGGCTGGACTCAGTTAGTGGGTTTTCAACCTCCTCTGATAAAACCTAAGGTTTTGGAAACACTGAAGATTTAAACTGTCTGAAGAAAGCTGTAATTCTATCTGCTTCATTCGTTCTATAGTTTTACCTTAAAAAAGGTTTTTTTGTTGTGTTGTGTTTGTTTTTTTCATCTCTGGTGATTTGCCTATCTGGTATTTTCTGAGATCAGAAGCACTCTAGCAACGCTCTTGCTCAAACGCATTCACAAAGCCCAGGACCCACAGGGCTCCTTCAGCCTCCCTCCCTTTCTTCTCCATCATGTCTAATTTGGGCTAAATCTGTGTCAGGGCTGGAGGGTGGAGCCTGCAGGTTGCACTGAGCGTGGCTAGCAGAGGCCTTTGAAAACTCAGGGTGTCCCTTGAGGAAGAGAGAAGAGGCATTAATTAACACCCCAAATCAGTCTGTGACAGTGAGTCCTGCCCTTAACAAGAGCAGGACTAAGAGGGTCTAAAATGAATTACAGGGTGAGCATAATGTAAATTTAACATTTCGGGACTATTCTGTCTCAGTGTAACAGCAGACTTCCGTGACAATCTACATTTGCTCAGAAATTCCGCTTGGACAGAGGCTTAATCTTGAGGTCTTAACACTAGTCCCAGAAGGACATTTGGGTGGTACGGACACTGATAAGCACAGATGGAACTTGTGAAGCAAGACTTTCCCACCATTCTGTGTGGGATTTTAAGTTCATTGAGTTCTTTGCTCCAAACACTATGTGAGAGAAAGTGTGCCCAGAAACGTGTAGAGAGCATTTGAATTTATCAAATGCACTTTACTTTTTCTTTCCTTCTCCTTTTTTTTTTTTTTGGGACAGGGTCTTGCTCTGTCGCCCAGGCTGGTGTGCAGTGGTGTGATCTCGGCTCACTGTAACCTCTGCCTCCCTGGTTCAAGGGATTCTCCTGCCTCAGCCTCCCGAGTAGCTGGAACCACAGGCGCCCGCCACCACACCTGGCTAATTTTTTGTATTTTTAGTAGAAATGGGGTTCCGCCATATTAGCCAGGATGGTCTCAATCTTCTGACCTCACGATCTGCCCACCTCGGCCTCCCAAAGTGCTGGGATTACAGGCGTGAGCCACCGCGCCCGGCCATCAGATACACTTTAAAGAGTCTCCTGTGCTGTAGGACGTGCAGTGGTTGGATCCCTCCATAAGCCAGGAGGTTTGGTGTTTTCATCTGCTACACCTGGTGCATAAAACACCCTGGGAAAAACGCAGAGTACAGGCCCCTCAGAGCGCCTCTGGTTTCCCCTTCTTTCAGGGCAGGGCTATTTGCCTGATATGCCCTAGTTTTCATCAGGGGTTTTAGAATCCTCATGGGGCTAATGATAATGAAAGTAGGATTTTTTTTCCTCCCCCACAAAATGCTTAGGTAAAAATTCTGAAGCTCTATCTGTTTCCAGCTGGTTGAAAATAATCTGGGCCCTCTGGATGCTTGGGAGCCTCTTTGCATGACAAGATCTTAAGGGGAGGCTTCCAGGGGGCCCAGTTCAGGTCCTGGAGCCCTGTCCAGCAAAACCTACAGCTCTGCCCCTCTGTCATAGCCAAATAAATATTAATTCACCAGGTCTGAAGATGTATTCTGTCATTCCATATGCTATTGGCATATGAATGTTTCTTTAGTGGAGAGTTTGCATCAATTTGCAGTTGGCATTTTGTAGTGCCCTCAATTTTTTTAAATTTAATTTTATTATTTGATTTTATTTTTTTAGAGATAGGCTTTTGCTGTGTTGCCCAGGCTGGATTTGAACCCCTGGGTTCCAGTGATCCTCATGCCTCAGCCTCCTGAGTAGCTGGGACTACAGGCACACACCACTGTGCCAGAGCCCTTGACTTTTTTTTTCTTTTGAGACAAGGTCTCACTCTGTTGTCAGACTGGAGCGCAGTGGCATGATCATGAATCACTGCAGCCTTGAGGGGGCTCAAGCCATCCTCCTGACTGAGCCTCCCTAATAGTGGGACTACAGGTGCACACCACCATACTTGGTTAATTTTTGTATTCTTCATAGAGATCGTTTCTCACTATATTGCCCAAGCTGGTCTTGAACTCCTGGACCCAAGCCATTCTCCTGCCTTAGCCCCCAAACGTGCTGGGATTATGGGCATGAGCCACCGCACCTGACCGCCCTTTACTTTTGAAAGATCACATTTGACAACTGATGATAATCTGTTTGTTATCCCTGGATCTTATCATAGAAACTCAATTACAGTCAAGTACTATCTGAAGCACAAAAATGCTATTGAAATGAATGGTTTGAACTTTTTTAAAGGTCACATGTGAACCTCATGGAATGTGATTTTGTTGATGTGGGCATTGAACTTTTCCACACTTCTATTCTCCCTTCCTCTTGAAATGCACTGCTTTCCCCAGACAGAAATGGCTAGAAAGTCATTTCATCAAGAGAACACCTTTCCTTTGTTTTTGTGTAGGGCTCCCTTCTGCTGCTAAAGTCTTGGCAGCTGTAATGTTCACTCTCTGTTGTTCAGGGATTTCACTTTGGTTTTTGGTGTTTTAATTAGAATCATTACAACTCTGTACTTGATGGCATCTCTTTGGGGTGGTGTGTGATATGTGATTCTCAGTCTCTACGAGCTACCAGCTCCCTGAGAGGACAGAAGGAAAGAGGCCCACTTTCCAACACTTTTTCTGATGATTAGAACCAGCTTACAACTCCAGCAATGTTCCCCAACACTCTGAACACGAACTCTGTCAGACACGTGTCCATCAATACCTGATTTAACCTCTATAGCCAAGGTATGAAGGCCCACTGTGGACGTCTGGAGCATGGGCTCACAGGGGTAAGAGACTCCCCCTAGAACAAAGCTGTCCTAGGTGAGGGCATCTTCCAGGGAAACAGCTCCTTGGAGGGGTAGGTTCCAAAGGACAGAAAGGCCTGTGTTTGGGAAGTGACTTTTTATTAGCTAGCCTTGCCATTCTGCCAGATGATACTTGCATTTCTTCATCTGCAAAAGGGGATGGTATAACTACTTACAGGGTTCTATGGAGATAACTGTCTATGTCCACACACCTAGAACCAGGCATAGATTCTCAATGATCATTTATTGACTATAGAAAGGTTTTAAATGAAATACACAGGTTAAACATTCTCTTTAAAAAGAGAGCTTGAAGGAAAAGTGCTTAAAGACCTGGCAGATGAAGATCCATATTTCATCTTGCCTACAATTTTCAGTTGTACATTGTTTCAAAATTGAAGCAGGCTTTAAAGCACTAAGTGTTAGTTCATGCACATGTTTCCCTGGAAAAGCATAATTAATGAGCCAGGTGCACATGGAGGAAGCAAGAGAACGGCCAAGCCCCAGCAGCTGGGTGAGGAAAGCAGCGAATGACCAGTCAGTGGAGAGGCAGCAACACTCATGCCTGGGCTGTGGCAGGAAGAGCCATGCCTTTGCAGAGTCAATTCAGAGCACCGTGTGAGTTTGGGTCCATTCTGCCCTTTGGAAGGGAGGACTCTTCTTCATTTCTAAGATGTTGCTAAGGGAGAAGGGGTGAAAAACTGCAGACGTCTCTTTTTTCCTTTTTGCTTCTAACTCTTTCTAATGCTCAGAGAAATCCCCAGTTTATGAACCTCCATGGTAAGCAGAGGTACCTCCCACTCAGAAGCTGAACACGGCAGATCCTCATGTCCCAGCCTTCCTGGAAACAGAGGGCAGAGGCCCCTCCACAGAGGGCAGCAGTGTCAGCAGGCTAGAAATGACAATGGGGCCCCATGCCAGGGTGGGCAGTGGGCAAGTCCCAGCTCGAGTGCCTGGCAGTGAGGGCCACGTGTCCTCTCCGGCCAGGCCTGGGTGGGATTTGAGGTTTAAATAAATTCATCTGCTGCTCAAATAAGTCAGTTGGTTTCTGTCCTTACAATGAATAAGTCTGACTGGGCAATGTCTTATTTAATTAAAGTATTTAATTTTACATCTTTCCTCTTTGTCCTCTGCACACTTCCCATGTAGTCCATGAATTAATTGAAGATGTTGCCTCTTTTGCAAACTCTTGAGCCAACGTATTTTCTACTTCCTTGGGGTACTTGTCTTCTGTTTGAATGAAATGCTACCAGAAATTGTTCATGTTTTGAGATCACCTACACTTATCACCCACTAAGCTCAACTTTCCCTCCTGGAGGAGGCTAGAGGCAGCCTGTCCCCTCCTCTTTCCTGTCTTTTATGCTTCTCAGCACCAGCCAAGGCTCCAGCTAAGACAGGAGCGCTGCTCCAAAGTGGCCAAGGTGGATTTGCATCCTGCCTGTTCTTTGCAGAGCCATTAAGCTGTGCGGGTACCCAGGTGATCACTCTGCCAACCCTTGTGATGTGACATCAGGCAACTACATATCAGGGACTCAAATTCAGCTGCTAATATTTTTCGTGTCCTTGAGTTAACTAAGAGGCTGGGTTGAGAATTTTAAAGTAATTCAAAACAGATTAAAACTCTTCTGTATATTTGTTGTGACTTTACTGGGTTTACCAGGAAGATGGAGAAATACACAAAAAATATGGAGCTCTTACATGTAATGAAAAATTCAAATAATTTTTTCAGTCTCCAAAGTTCAACTGTAGTCTCTAATCTGTCATGAATCAGGCCAGTTTCCCATTACCTTTAGTGAATTCACATGCCATGGCCAGGACAAAAACTTGAACCTGGTCATATTCCTTCTAGGGTGGACCAGGCAATACAGACAGACCCGGCAAGGCAGTTTGAACAATTTGCTTGCACTCAGAAGAGGAATGTGGGCCCCCGGAACACAAGCCTCTACGAGACTTGAAAGCAAATCTGGGTTTTCCCATCGCCTTTATGTTTTATGAGGGTTGGGGAAATGTTGGCTGTTTACTAATTATCAAAGCTGTTTTTATGACTTCCCCAAAGGAAAACAAAAAAGGAAAGGGCCCAAGTGTATTCATTTAGGCCTGGGATGAAAGCTTGACCTTTAGCGCACTTGGGGAACTGGATGGTTTGTAGTGCTGGAAAATAAAACTCGGAATGCATGTTCAGGAAAGCAGGAAGCTTTGAAGTTGAAAAAGCCAAACAGGAACAGCTGTCGTGATTGGTGCGGTGCACATTCGGCCTGACGTGACAGACCTGTCCCATGCACTGTCCCTGTGCCTGAGGGACAGCTGGGGAGCAGCAAGGAGCCTTTCCTTTCATGGGGATTTCTGCTGGTGTCCCTTGGACATACAACTCCTGATTCATGCAGGACACAGAAAACAAGCCCAGAGACCACCGGGGACCTTGAGGTCTGCCCCAGAGGAAATAACGTGGCCATATTCACACAACCAGTCTTGCAGGGAAGCCCCACATACAAGGAAAATAGAAGAGAGCATGCCATTACTGTTGAAAGTTTAATTATAATGATTTAAGGCTATCAATCAAGTTTAACTGGAACACAAACACGTCTGCCTTTTTAGCTTCTGAGACTCTGGAATTGGCGCCCAGTGGAAAAATATTTTCTTCATGGAAATTTTTAGTTTCACATTAGGATCTACATGTTGGGTAAAATGCCATCCATTACCCCCCAAATTAGCATAAAATATTCTTTTCCCCAGAGAGGATGTGAAAAATCTTTGAGGTTGTCAGTTACCATAACCACTGGGTTCCAGTATTTATTTGCGTTCCTACTTTGGTCTCTTTTCAATGGACAGGCCCTTTACGGCTTCCTTCCTCTTTCTACCAGCGGAAATTGAACAGTAAAAATGGTAAATAACTTGGTTCTACCAGTTCCCAAGATCTAGATTCTTTCTTTTATATACTCTCTTAAAAATCAGTTCAGCTATGGCACTTTCTAAAAATAAAATTTAGCCTTGCTTTTATTGTTCTCCTAGCTTTGTGTTAACCTGTTTGAAGAACTTATGACAATGAGCCATTTCCAAGGAACATCGCTGGGTTGACATTCCCAGATGCTTGCGAACTGGGTTTGTAGCACAGATCCACTCTGATTTGAAATGTACACTTTCCTATAAGTGCTCTCCAAATGTACATTTATTAGCAGCGTTCCCTCAAATGTAAATTTTGCATTGGGATTATTTCAGCAGGGCCCCCCTTGTTTTTCTTCACTGCAACTGTGGGGTATCAGTTGCTGTGGTCCTTATCCAGAAGGCAGAAGGAAGAAAATGGCACCAGGGCTTTTAAATTGCAAACAGAGGAGCTGTTGTGTAAAGTGTTCAATGATTACCATTCATCATGCAGCCACAACAACAAAACACACCACAACACCTGAGGGACAATACTGGGCTCCATGGTGTGAACCCAGAAAATCTGAGACAGGTCTCAGTTAATTTAGAAAGTTTATTTTGCCAAGGTTGAGGACACACGCTTGACACAGCCTCAGGATATCCCAACAACATGTGCCCAAGGTGGTCAGAGCACAGTTTGGTTTTATACATTTTAGGGAGACATGAGACATCAATCAACATATGGAAAACGAACATTGGTTCGGGGACCACACAGAAAGGTGGGTCTGGGAGGGAGCTTCTTGGTCCATAGATAGATATGAGACAAACTTTTGCATTCTGTTGAGTTTCTGATTCGCCTCTCCAAAAAAAGGCAATCAGATATGCATTTATCTCAGTGAGCAGAGGGGTGACTTTGAATAGAATGGGAGGCAGGTTTGCCCTAAGCAGTTCCCAGCTTGACTTATCCCTTTAGCTTAGTGATTTTGGGGGCTCAAGATATTTTCCTTTCTCAATGGCTTCAGTTATGAGAATGAGAATTACCTGGTTCAGCACAGACTGCTTAGGAGAGGCCTGGGGCAGAAAGTCTTGGAGTTTAAAAGGATCCGAGTTACTGGAGCCCTAAGCCCCTTGGGCGCTCCTGTCTATCCCTGCAATGACTTTACCCGGCAGCTGATGAGCCCACTTCTCAAAGGAGTCACCTGGATCTTGTAAAAATGCAAATGCGAGTTCAGTGGGTCTGGGTGGGGCTGCATTTCTCAGAAGCTCCTCTGGGCAGGGAGAAGCTCTGGCATCTGCTCTCAGTTCCATCCCTGTGGTTTTGTCCCGAAGGCACTGGGTGAGGCCTCTTCCTGAAGCATCCTGGGTACCTGCGCTGATGCTCCCCTCTGCACTCTGGCCAAAAATAGCCCAAAATGAGGTTTTATTCTAAGCCCTCTGTATGGCCTTACTCTCAAATTCTAGAACCAGCTGTCCCAGGATTTCTCCAGTCAATAAGTATCTACATGCTTTTGTTATTAGCCTAAACATGCAACTCTCTCTCGCACTAAGCCCCTACTTGCTCTCAAGAAATTCCCCTGTGGCAAGATTGTGTTCTTCCTGAATATTTTAGGACTCACCCAGGAGATGTCATACACGTATCCATGGAGCTTTCCTGCTGTCACTCGGCATCTTGGCCAAGGGGTTCCCCAGCGGGTACCAGACCCCATTCTGAAATGGGGTTTGTTCTTCCTTTGACAGGAGATACTGCTGCAGTCACCGCTACTCCAGCGAGCACGCTGATGGCTTTCCCTGAACAGGCTGGTGGGGAGTAAGTGTTTCTCCTCCACATTACACTAGACTGAGGTGGGGTTTCACAGAACTTTGGATTAAGGTGGGAGCTGGTTCCAAATTGTTGGAAAAATTGTCTTGAGGGGAGCTTGGAGTCCTGGAAATAACATGAGCTGTGGAGTCGAACATCACAGCCCAGTGGTAGGTGGCATTTGTGCTGGGCCTGCCCGAGCAGCCTGTCAGGGACAACCTTCAGAGACAGTGTCATAACAGGTGTGCACACCCTGCTACACATTCATCTCAGGGTGAGCTGTCGGACCCTCAGGCTATGGGACTGTTGTGCCCCATGGTCAGGGTGGCATTGGCTCCTCCTCCCCTGGAATGGACAGGGACTGGGGAACCACGTCTGGATTTGTAATTGTCTAATGTGGAAGTCTGCAGCAAAGTTTGCCCCATCTTCTTGTGGTTGGCAAGCATGATGGTATATGTGCATGTGTGCATGTGAGTGTGTGGGGGGTGAACAAAATTGATATCCTAAGCATTTGTCTGTGCCCACTTTGAAGGAGGTCACCTCTGTATTTTGGGAGGGATCCTGCTTCAAAGGCGTGGATCTTTAACGTGGATATTTGAGGCACCATGTGAGAGCAGGAGAGGCCCAGAGTGCCTCAGGTGGGTCCATGTGGAGGATGGGAGGACCTGACTTCCTGGCTCTGACTGCCCAGCAGGCGTTTGTCTGCAGACGCTGCTTCAGCAGGGAGAAGCTACAGAAATGCCACCCCCTGGGTGGGACAGGAGACACTGATCCTGGTGTGAGTGATGGGTGTGTGATCTCTTCTGCCCCGAACCTGGCATAGAAATCCCCTCTCAACAGAATACTCTCAGCAAATCTTGCCTCTCCCTTTGGCACAATGTGGCTTTTCTTTTCAGAAAGTCAAAGGTATGCATATTCATAGCGTAAGATGTCAATAGCACTCCCAGGCTTCCAATGAAAAAGAACAATGGCTCCCCACCTCACAGCCCCACTGCTGATTCCTGCTCTCTGGTGGCAGCGTCTCTCACCTGGCTTGGCAGCGTCTCTTACCTGCCTTGCCTGGATCTCCCTGCATTTGAGTCTACAGATGACCCAGGCGATGTCTTGGTTTTCCATGTGAGCTGGGATCATTGATGGGGAGTTCCCTTTCTCTCAACTCCTCCCACCCCTTCCTCCTTACCTCTACGCCTCTTCCTCTCAGTTCAACATCATGATGTCGCCATTTTGGATGGAGTCAGTATTCCTCATTTACGTTATTTGAACTGTGTTACTTTTATTCGCAGTTGAGTCATAGTATAATATGATTGCTTTTCCTTTTGTACAAGTTTTCCTGCTTTGAATTAATAATTGCCTCTTTCTTGTTGTTTGCTTAGCTTTCTAAATACCTATCACGAATTCCTTCCCAAAATCTTCCACAGAAATGAACATTTCCTTGGAAGAAGTCCGTGCACATTCTATGCTTGGTCAGTTGTATGTAGCCTGTTGCTGTTATTGTCATCAGTGCTGTTACTCTTGTGGTTCCTTGGGTGCCCTGCTGCCACCTGGGCTAGGCTGTTCCCGAAGCCTGTGGCTCAGCTCTCACCCAAGGCCTCCATGATTCTGAATTCATGTCCTCCTTCTCCCATCCTGATTCCCTGTGCTCTTATTTCTTGTCCTCCACTCCTCTAGCTTATGATTGCACTCAACTGCATGTTTCCTGAGGCCTTCCTGAGGAAGAATGCCTGGGAAGAAGCATCCCAAGGCTTCCGCACATGAAGATCCACAACTCCATGCTCACGCTTCATTGACAGGTTAGCTAGGTATAGAATTCTAGGCTGGAAGTCATTTTGCCTTGATTCTGAAAGCATTGCTTCATGGTGTAGCAATTGAGAAGCTGTATGACATTCTGTTCTCCAAGCTTTTATGTGAGGCGTGTTTTATTTTTCCCTCTGGGAAGATTCAGGATGTTTTCTGAAATGTCAACTTGATATGCCCATTGCCACCATAGACAGTGTTGTGGTTGGTGGAGAGATGCCAGCAGTTTCAGTTAAAAACATAAGTAGACAGAGCCTTAGATAATTTCTTGGAATTTCCCACACCCAGTATGGGATGGGAACAGCAGTGACACCCGAATGTCCGAGAGAGGCAGAGAAGGAATGAAGCAATGCACTGGCCCCTAAGGGACTTCATGAACAAGGGACAAGTTATGGTGACACAGCTGGGCCAGTTGTGAAGACCTGGCAAGAATGATGGTTGGCTCAGAAGACGTGAGTGGAGAGAGATAAGGTATGGATGTCTCCTTGCTCAATTTCTTGGCACCATACAAAGCCCCCAGCACTTATCCCCAACCGCAGGAGTAACAGGGAAAAGAACAAATGTATTGGGATTGGTGTGCTACCACTCTGCAAAACTGGGCATTTAAAATATTACTTAAATTTAGTTATAGAAAAAAGTAAGAAATAATATTTCTTGTACATCTAAAATATGAACAGAGATTTCACTTGCTGTGAAATTAAATATACTTATGTCTGTTTCTTCTATAAACTCCTTAAGGGCAAGAAATGGATCTTACTTATTTTTGATAACCTCAGAACTTGCCTCATTTTAGGGGTCAAGGCAATGTTTACTGAATTAAACCAACAAAGAGGATACAAAGGACTCTGGCTACTGGAATCCCATTTGCTTGATGCATTTGGTTCAAATTCACAGGACTCACCCATTTGCCCAGCCTGTCCTGCCCTGTGGGGTGGGCCTGGCGTCCAGGGGCAGGCTGGAAATGCATCTCCCTGTTCTCCCCAGCCTCCCTCCTAGGGCAGGGCCTCAAGCCACGACGCAGGTCTGGTGCAAAAGGGACTTTCTGCCCCAGAAACACAGAGCTGGTCATTTTGCCCAGTTTTCTCCTGGCGGTGTTTCCACTCACCAGCTTATGCCTCTCAAATGACACAGAGATGTTTTCAGAATGCCTTCTCCTTGCAGCTTCACTTGAGCACCCCTAGCTAGGAGCAGGGTGCTCAGTGGCCCCAGAACTTGCTATACTGTTTGGTACAGAGCAGGCTGTTTGCAAATGTTTGTTGGATTAATTACTCGTCTGATGAAACAAGAGAATGCAAGTCATTCCTCCTAAGGAAATGAGCACTGGTCAGCAGGAAATCACCCTGTGCAAGCCCCCGACACTTCTACAAGGCAGATGCTGGGAAGGATGAATGTGCAGAAGTGGAAGAACAGGGGGAGGGAGGAAAGCCTGGGCAGGCTCAAGGCCTCTCTCTTCCCTCCACTCTAGCAGATTGCGAGCATGGGACACCCAGCCCTCCTTGGATATCAGGGGCAGCAGTACATCTTCCTCCTTGCCTGCTGGCTCTCAGAAGCTCAGGCCTCTGTCTGGGGATGTCCAGTGGCCAAGTGCTTCAGTGCTGGGCTTCCCAGAGGACAGTCCTGAGCCAGGCCCATATTCAGGCCAGGTCCCATAGCCATAAAGGGACATCTTCGTTGGTGGGCATGACACAATGGGCTAACCTGGTGGTTTCTCATAAGTTAGCTTCACAAACCAATGAATTTACATTTCCAAGAACATGTCACTGGCCTCCTTACAGGGGACTTAAAAGGAACTAATTGGTCATTTCTGAAACAAAGTGCTAAGTCACATTGTAACGGCCCCATGAAGCTCCCAGAACGCAAAAGAACAGCCCTGTATCCCTAAAATGATCGTGGATGGAGTTCCTCTCCCAGCCATGAGTCAGGGCCCTCAATGTGGTGTGGCTTTCACTGGGAAGCCATGAGCTCAGAGGGAGCAGTGGCCAGCTGACTGGCCCACGTGATCGGTGCCTGCGCTGCTGTCCGGGTGAGCCGCCTGGGCAGGACGACACTGAGAGACACTCTTCCCTGAGCCTGGAAGTTGCACCTCACCTCACCTGGAGATTTGGAAATTGGGGCCTGAATCATCCCCCCGATCTTCATGTCAGCCTGAAGATTTCCATACTGAAGCAGGAAGCTACATTCACGAACACTTCATAACCTCCTTGGGGTCGGAGCAACTTTATGAATACCACCATCCCAGGTGGGAAACATCTTTAGGCAATATTTAGAGATACTGTAAACGATTTTTATTTTTATCATAAATTCCTAGTTTCCTGTGCAATCTCAGTATTTTAAGATGCTTGTTGGACGTAAGTTAAAGCTGGGGATGATGCCATTAATATGGACCACAGTGGACCTTCCATCAAGGGGCTGCTGTCCTCTTGGTGACACCAGGCCCAGGTTCTCGCAGAAAGGCTCGAGAGCAGACCCTCGTGGGCCCAGCTACCCGGCCTCATTCTGCTGGATAGGAGCTGACCCTGGATCCCACCCACTGTTGGGAAAGGGACGCCTCCTGGCCACTGGAGGAAGCCGGCCTTCAGAGATCCAGGACAGAGTCCTTTGCCAGCTCCAAGCACAATGCCCTTTGACTTCACAAATGAATCAGCCCAGACACAGCTCAGCTTTGCCTGGAAAAGAAATCGTATGTTGAAGCATTAAGGCTAAGAAGAGCCTGACTCAATGTGTATTGTGCTCTGTGATTTCTGAGCTCTCGGGCCTGTTTCTGAGCTCCACCCTGCTGGGCAGAGCAGACAAACCAGCGCGGCTCGGCTCACGGACTGCACAGCTTGCTTCGTTTAAACGTAGCCTCCACACAGCCCCCAGCCACGTTCTCATGTGATTTTTATGGGAATTCTCTCATAGAGTTATAGATATGTCCTATAACCCCATTTCCTTCATGTGTTTATACCGCTGCTTCCCACTGTCCCATCTGCGGTGCACCCTGGAAGCCCCTCACTCTGCTCCCCACATCCTGCTCCGTGGGGAGTGGAGGGAAAGCCCAAATGGTCCTCTACCGCTCACTAGGGCTGGGGACTTTGGGAAATGTATTTTATTTTTCTAAGTTTCAATTTCCTCATCTGTAAAATAGGGATAATAATGTACTTACCAAAGCAACATAATCAAAATGAATCTCTTAGTATACCACCTGGCATGTGCTATGTGAGGCCTCCACTTTAACTATTATTATTATTTTCCTACGGGGGCATTTGCAAAGAAAAACACGAGCCCATAGAGTTTTTCAAATGTTTTTGGGAACTCCCCAGGGTGAAACTTTCTCTGCAGATTGTATACAGATCTTACCACCATCTGAAGCAGGGGCCTCAAGACCCATGGACGATCTGTGAGCACCTCGGCACAGGAGAGGGCCTTCCCTCCACTCCCCCAACCCCTCAGTACTCTCCAAGACCTACTTCCAATTTCATTAATTGGATAAACAATGTAACTGCAGATGTGCTTACTAGGAAACACTTGATTAATAAGTCAGATAATATAAAACACAGAAAACAACGCTTTCTTGAGAACATCTATGTGCCAAGCATTATGGCCAATGCTCTCATAGGTTACCTCAAATGCTGTGATTTGAGAAGGATCTTTCTGTGAAAGATCTATCTACCCCCTCTCCAGTGGTCCCGTTATCATTACAGAATGTTAATTAGTCATGTCTTTTAGTGGAGTCCTTGCAGGCCTTTGCTGAAATGCAAATTTTATCTAGAAGGAAAAGTTCAAAGTGCAATTATCGTTGAGCGTAAGCTGAGATTTCACGCTGTCTGTTCATCCCATAGAATGGAGGAATGAGCCTGTGAGTTTTTATGACTAAGAACACCCCAAAGTACAGGCTTGAGGAGCAAGTATGAACATCATAGAGGTGAAATCTCCACCCTGTCTACTTCTCTCCTGCCCTTCCTTAGTATCTTCCTTCCTTCCCTCCTTGTATATGAAGATATTGGCACTACCACCATCCTTTCCTATTGTTAGGAATAATGCTTAAAATCTTAAGGAAATTGAACACTTGAACAAAAGATTTTTAGTAAAGCAATTTTGTTTTTGCACAGAGGGGTGTCTCTTTGGCCAGTTGCCATGAGAGTACACTTGAACAAAGGGCACGAGAGCCATTATTTTTGACACAAGTTCTGCCCCTGTACCCTTTTTTCATTGGCTGGGGTTGGGTCGTACAATCTAAACTAATCTCGGTTGGCTAAACATTTGATATTTTTAGATAAGGTGGGTACATAAAAGAAAAAGAAAGTGATAAGAAAGGGGAAGGGGTGTCTGTAATGAGCTCGAAAATTACTTTTTTGTTTTTTTTTTAGTAAGGAAAGGAATGTAAGTTGGTACTGATAACGGTTGGTACTGAGGCGTGCCTAGGCATCTAACAAAGGCAAAAAGCAAAAAGGAGAAAAAGAAGAAAAGGGGAGGTACTATGAATGAAAGAATAAAAGATGATCGGATTGTTTGAAGAGAAAGCCCATTATATCCCACACTATGGCCAGGGCAGAATCCTAGAGATTAGGGAGAGATAATTGGGGAAAACATCATTGTTGGTTAATGTGGGAGAGCTTTGAAATGGAATCCAGGCGAGGAGCCTGTTGGGACCAGGATGATTAGCTCACAAGAAGTAAAGTCAAAGTTAGTTATATAGGAAGACTAAGACTGTCTTATTCAGACTAGATGGGGGTTTTCAGAAGGAAATTAATTTTTGAGGTAAAAGATGTGCTTGATTCTCAACACTTTGGAAGAAAACAAACTACAATTTGGTGTGGAAGACCCCAACCTTCCCCACTTCCTGCCCCTCCCACCAGGGGACAGAACTCATCAGCTCTCCTTCCCCTGGAGCCGGCGTTCCTGCAGACGGAGACTTTAGAGAGATCCCGGGATCTATAGAGGCTACAGATTCCCAGGGCTCCAGGGCTCAGCACTTTTTGTCAGGAGAGGCTGCGCTTGTGAGAGAGGGGAAGTCTTTGAAGAAGAGGTGAACAATTCAGACAAGGTGGTGTGGGAGAAGGCTATCCCGGCAGAGGTACCCTGGTGAGTCAGGGCAGAGATAGGAAACAGAGAAACAGTGTGGCCCTTGCAAGAAACCGCAGATCAATAGCATCCTGCAAACCACACGCTCTAAGAGGGATGTGGAGGGAGGGGAGAAGAAGTGAAGGAGAAGTGGAGGTAGAGAGGCTACCGGGGTGTTTAGGGCCGCTGGCAGGGCCGCTGGCAAAAATCTGCTTGGGCTTTCAGTCTGGGTGAGGGAGCGAGGGTTGGATGGAGGACTGAGCCAGGGGCCTACCCTGAAGTCTGGATGAGCTGTTGTCATGAGCAGATGGGATGTCACCTGTCAAGATTGCAGTGTCAGGATGCGAGGTCCAGCAGTTTGGGGTTCTGACAACGTCCCACATACACAAAAGTGTGGATGATTGAAGGGCGTGTGAATGAAGACGTAGTAGTCAAGAAACTAGGTTAGGCTTTCTTAAAAAAAAAGTTTAGTTGAAATATAACTCACATACCACGTAATTCACCCATTTGAAGTGATTTTTAGTAAATTCATAGAGTTGTGTGACCACCTCCAAGATCCAATTTTAAAACATTTGTGTATCCCTGAAGGAAAATCCCATCCCCATTAACAGCCACACCCTCTGTCCTCACACTCACACTCGGCTCCCAAGTCCAGGCAGCCCTGAGTCCACTTTCTGTCTCTAGGATTTGCTGGAGGCTCAGTTTTGGGCCCGTCATCTGCAAAGACATGGATGAGGCTCCTCCATGAGGATCCCCATGTGAGAAGTTCCCGTATTCCGTTCACCACTGTATCCTCAGAGCCTAGGCAGGCCTCTGATGGGAAGAAGTCTGTCCCCAGACACTTGCTGAGCAGGGACCAGAACAGGACTGTGACTCACGTTAAGAATCTCAGGAAGTGGCTCTGGGAAAGGATGGCTCTGGGGTGGAGGGAAAGCTAATAGCCATGAGTTTTAGAGCTTTCCGTTTGTCAACGTTGTGTTTTGAGCCCAAGCCAGTCCAGTTAAGTCCAGCTTGACTTGCTTTCGAGGCAGGGCCCCGCAGCAGCAGTGTGAACACATGCTGCAGAACCTGCGGCAACCCAAGTCAGCCTCATGGAAGGAAAGTGTTCCATGTTCTGGGAATAACGTGGGGCACTAGGTGCCACACTCACCTTGTCATCAGAAGAGAAAGGACCATGACTGACCTGCGGTGCTTATGGAAGCAATGCCCTGTCTGAACTCTGGTCTATACTATGAGGTCCTTTCTTCCATGTTCTTTTGCATCTGAGGACAAAATCTGCTTTTAGAACCCTTATTCATGCAGAAGCAAAGCTACGCAATTGCCAGAAATGCCCCTTTTCTGAAAACATGGACCCTCCTCCTTTGTCTCAGCAGGATAACCATGGTTTCCTAACTGTCAGGATGCAAACTCCTTTTTCCTGGTCCCCAGGCTGTGCAGGCATCTGCTGTATCAACCTGCCAGATCCATTAACACTGTGCACACAGGACTTAGCCACCTGCTGCCTGTGTAATTCACCCACTTTGCCTTCCAGAGAGCAAGGTAACACAAGGGCAGTAGGATGCTGGGAAGAGGGGAGGCGGACATTGTTGGTCCAGGGTCAGCTGTGACAATCTACCTCTAGGATGCAGTAGTCTTACAGCCAAGGCAGCCAGTGTCTTTCTTACTTGTGAGTCTGTATTTTGTTCAAGTAGCCACTTGCTGCTGGAATTTAACAATGTGATATAATCTCATGAGAGCCATGGTGGTAGTAGGTGCAAAATGCCGGAGCCTCACTGAGAAGGAAATGGGTGAGTGTGGCTTGG
This sequence comes from Homo sapiens, assembly GCF_000001405.40. NCBI lineage: Eukaryota > Metazoa > Chordata > Mammalia > Primates > Hominidae > Homo > Homo sapiens. The sequence continues at coordinate 10,295,945 of NC_000018.10, forward strand.
GGAAGTGGGGCAGCTTCAACACACAATCTGAATCTTCTGTGCCATTGTGAGGCAGGATAGGAACTTCCAATTCTTCCTTCCCAAAGTGGAGAGTCACAGAAGGGTTCAAAGCATGGAGGAACATGAGTCAATTGCTTTAGGAAGATAATTCTGGTAGAGATAAGAAACTCAGCAGCCGTTGCAGGATGCTGTATTTGTGGACAGGATTTGTGACAAGCACAAACTTCTGGTGAAGGAGGCTGTGATGGAGCTTGCTGGTATTTCTCCATTTCTTCCAGGGTGCTAGATATTTAGCCAGAACGATGGGTCTCAAAATAAAATAATGACTGTGTTTTGTAGCCTCTCTTGAAGGCAGTTGAAGTCATGAAACTGAATTCCAGCCAATAATATATTTAAGCAGAAGAGTTGCGGGAGGTTGCGGGGTGTTTTCCTTAGGAGACAACCAGCGCCTGCCTGTGCCCCATCTCCATGCACCCCTTTCTCCTGCTGCTGACACCGTCCTGAGCTCAGGGTGACCACTGTGCCTCAGGGATGCGGAAGTGTGAGCTGAAGGGAGCCAGGGGCCCCAAGTCTCACAGAACACTGGGTTGTAAACATCAAAGATGTCTACCTGTCTCCATTTTAAGTCACAGTTACTTGGGGGCGGGGGCGGAGGCGGGGGGTTCTGTTATTTGCTCCAGATATAATTCTGAGTAATGAACAGACCGCTTGGGCCCTCTCTTCTGGAACAGTTTCAGAAGTCATGATGTGGCTGTGCGTGGTGACTCACGCCTGTAATCCCAGCACTTTAGGAGGCCGACGCGGGTGGATTACCTGAGGTCAGGAGTTTGAGAGCAGCGTGGCCCACATGGTGAAACCCTGTCTCTACTAAAAATACACAAAAAAATTAGCTGGGCGTGGTGGCGCATGTCTGTAATCCCAATTATTCAGGAGGCTGAGGCAGGAGAATCGCTTGAACCCGGGAGGCAGAGATTGCAGTGAGCTGAGATTGTGCCACTGCACTCCAGCCTGGGCGGCAAGAGCGAGACTCCGTCTCAAAAAAAAAAAAAAGAAGTAATGATGTGCCCAGCTGAAGAGCATCCAAATGCACCGGAGCTCCCAATGCCCTCCTAGCACCAGCCAGCGGGCCCCCACGGTGAGTCCCATCTCAGAGCTCCACATGCGTCCTTTCAACCACGCACGTCTTCATCGTCCTGATGAATGGCAAAGGAAAGCAATCCTCCCAATGAGAAAGAGGATCCCTTCAGTGTTGGGCCACAAAGCTGGCTCTGACACTCAGTCCTTTGTCACAGTCCCTGAGTCGAGTCCCCTTCCTAGAGAGGCTCTATGTGGTCACTGAAGTGGAATGACAGTCAGAGCACACACCTGTGATCAAAGGAGGGCGGCTGTGCACAGCCAGTGCCGTGGTGTGTGGGGGCTCCGTCTCTGTCTCAGCCTGGGCCCTCGGTGATGTGGGGCCCTTTGCAACCCCTAAGGCTCCTTGCAGAACAAAGGAGCTACTGAGGCAGCTGGCTGTGCCTGGCACCTCCCTGCCCCCACCCTACCTCCCATGTGTTTTTTTTTTTTTTAATTTAAGCAGCTTCAGACTGTCATTCCATGTCTGTTGGGTTGAGGAAGGAAAATTGAAAATCTCTTTCAAGGATCTTTAAGATTAAAAGGTAAGAAGAGGCAAGTCCTTGCGGTTGGGCTGAGATGCCCTGCTGGGCAGGGGCTGCCCCATCCCTCCTTCCTGCTTCTCCCCCTCCAGAAGCTGTTCTAGGAGGCCTCTGGACACCTGGTCCCACTTGATCACCTTTGGCAGTGGCCAAGCATCAGACCTTTACTTTCTGTGCATGCTGGAGACCTGTGAGGGGGAAGCAGCCCTGATGATCCTTAGTGGATTTTCACCCTCATTTCTAATAAGTTTCTTTACAGCAATCCACTTGTCAGGGAGCCAGGCCTGGCAGGAGCGAAGGGCAGTCCACTTAGGAGCGGGTTCCCAGGAAACAACCTGTGGCTCTGGGGCCTGCTGTTTCCTGAGAAAGACCCAGCCTCACTCCCCAGGGTGCCCTGCTGTGTGTTTCTGCAGTGACCCTCAGGGTGCACTGGTCAGCACGGCACTGGTATGCAGAGTTCCTGGCCCTGCCTGAACCTCGGTTCTTTCGGTGGGTGACCCTCCACACCATCCACTCTCCCCACTCTACTCCCTCCATCTCTGTTTGCCTCCTTAGCACACCACTCACTAGAGGAGGAGGAAAGAGAGGCCCTGAGGCCTGATCCCTACCTTTTCTCTGGAGCTCCAGCATATCATGCTGTGAAGAAATGTTCCAGAGAATGCAACATGTACTCATGGAATTAAAATCTTTCAAACCCATATATATTCAGACAATGGAGAGGGTATTTACAGAGCTTATAAAAATGAGCTACGTGTGGTGCACCTCTAGGGTTCGCTTTAGCCAAGAGAAACTACTAAGAGCTGACACCGGTGTTCCAGGCTGTGCTGAGGGCTGGATGGGCACTGACCCAGGGCAGAGGGAGAACACAAAACAGATGCCCTCAGCACAGGCTGCGGGGGCTTGCTTCAGTATCTGTTATAGCTGAGTGACCTCGGGCTCAAGTTATTTCCCCTCTCCGAGCCTCGCTTCCTCCTCTGCAGAATGGGAGGTACAATCATATCATTATTTAAATGGGATCAGCCTGTGCCTATTCAGCTGATGCAGTCCCACTTCACATGACTGGAGGGTGGGGGGCTCTTTTTGGGAACTTTGGAGGTGGCAGCAGTGGGCCCTGCCTCATCTGCACAGGTGGTAAATCACGTGCATGTTACTGGGCAGTGAAGACAGGCTCTCTGGTAATGCCAATCCCCTGTGTGTAGCTGTGATTCTCAATGTTTTTCTACTATTCAGCCTATGGCTGACGTTACCCAAAGCCCTAGTTCCGGTTTGGATGCAGGAATCTGTTGTAGATTAATTCACATGTGATCTCCCCTGGATCCTGCAGCCTCTTGGTCCTCCTGCCTTTGTGCCTCAGTTCACTTATTTCCTTGTCAAGGGACACCCTTGTCTGTACTTCCCCATCTACCCCCAGGTGCCATTGCCTCTCAGGGCCACACTCTTCCTTCTGTTCTAGCCAGTGACGGCCTCTGGTCCTTAGCAGCAATCAGAACTTATGGTATACACATGGTACACACACACACACACACACTCATGTCCACACACGCACATGCACACCCACACACGTATACATACATATACACGCATATGCAAGTATGCTCACATATACATATGCACAGGCACACATCAAATGCACAGACACATACACATACGTATAATGTACATGCATGAAAGACTTACAGAAATATCCAGCTTTGTATTGTACCATACCTCACCAACAAACATGGAAGCAACTCTAGGTCAAGGGCCATTTCTCAGACATTGGTAGATATCCATGCAATGACTTGACATATTTCTCATGCATATTTTCTCTTAAATATTCCAAGAAGAAGACTTTTCCTCACATAGAAAACAAGAACTATTGGATAGGAGAGATGAATAGATAGAATTTCTGGAATTTTCCCTACTTAAAAATAATGGGATGTTTTCAACAACACACATTATCTTATAAAACCTTAATTGTTTCTGAATGAGGTGATTTTCCAAATGTTCTACCAAATGATAATCTGAAGTTTGAACTGCAATTTTGAACTGAGGGTAGCCGAGTTTGCTGGAAGGAGGAATTTGAGTCCTTGGGGAATGGAGGAGGGGAGGGAGAAGGCTGGTGAAAATTAATGCCTCTTTTATTTTTAAAAGAGGAAACACATCTGCTTGAATCAAGGCCTGAAGTATGCAAGAGATGGTGTGGGGAGGGGGTTATTTGTACAGTTTGTTTGCAAGGCAGCTGGTGTGTGCGCCGCGGAGATGGGAGCTGGCATGATGGACAGCGTGTCCTTGCCATGTGTCTGTCTAGGCTTCCCCACATGGCCACCATGTGAGCCCCGCAGCACCACCCCCACGCCTTCCAGACTCACTCCACAGTCCTGGGGGCAAACTGTGGTTTACAAACCACATGGCTCTTCCTTTGCAAGGGGTGTATCTACACTGCAGGGTAGGAACTTGAGTTGTTTTCTCTTGGTTATATTTGTGGAACATTCCAGCATCTGCCTGACCAACAACAAAGGGGTGGACAGAGCACTGAAGCAAGAATATCAGAAATAGCCTCCGCAGCTCTGCCATTGTGTGTCCCTGGGGCAGATGGCTTAACCTTTCTGGGCCTCACTTTTCCTGTCTGTAAAATGAGAAGATGAAATATCAGTGATTTTTAAAAACACTCCTTTAAGTGAAGGAGATTCTTTAAAATGAATTATAAATGTTAAGTGTTTCATATGTTAAAAGAAAACATGTTTCATATGTACAAAGAAAAAATTTCACACCTGTCATCCCAGCACTTTGGGAGGCCAAGGCAGGAGGATCACTTGAACCCAGGAGTTCGAGACTAGCCTGGGCAACATGACGAAACCCCGTCTCTACAAAAAGTATAAAAATTAACCAGGCATGGTGATAGGAACCTGCGGTTTCTCAGGAGACTGAGGTGTGAGGTGGGAGGATCACCTGAGTCCAGGAGGTACAGGCTGCAGTGAGCTATGATCCTGTCACTGCACTCCAGCCTGGGCAACAGGTTCTCACTGAACCTGTCATACACACACACAAAAAAAGAAAAAAAAAGAAAATTAAATTTAGATAAATAATTTTAACAAAGCTTAATTGGACAATGAATGATTTGTAAATTAGGCAGCTCCCCCAGTTGGAATAGGTTCAGAACGACTCTAGCACTGCCACATGGTTGAAGAGGATTTATGCTAGAAAAAGGAAAGTGAGGTGCAGAAAACAGGGGGAGGCGCAGAAACAGCCATGTTGATTACAGCTCCGCGTTTGCCTGATTTGAACACAGTTTGCACAGTTGGCCACATCTGATTGGCTGAAACTCGATGATTGGCACAGAGTAGGTTACATCTATTTACCTTTCCAGTTAGGTTGCTTTTCACTGTGCACAGAGAAACCTTTGGACTGAACTTAAAATATGTAGAGAGGCAGCTTTAGGCTAAACCTCATTCAACACATAAATAGAGGACCCTTATGGACAGCAGATCAAAGCTCGGCTTCTGGGGTTGTGGGCTGTAGGACAGCTCAACCGTTTGGCTCCTTCACCCCTGAGATGGCCCGCAAGGCACTCCAGGGATCAGGAGAGTCTGAGAATCAGTGAACTAGCTAATAATAATATCTATGTTGCATTCATTTCTTGTGCAGATCGGTTCATGTTCACGGGGACCCTGGGAAGTGGGTGGTGGGGCTGGCATCAGTATCTCCATGTCCCGGTGAGGAGAGGGGCTCAGAGGCTTGAGTGGCTCACCCAGGCAGCAGGCTGTTAAGAGGCAGATCATTGACTGGAACCAAGATCTTCTTACTCCTAAGTCCCTTCTAGGATCTTGTGATTCTAAAACGTCGTGTGTGTTTTGCAACAGGAAAACATCTAAGTCTAAGACAAAACACTGCAAACTGTAAGTGCAACTGGTTCTTGTTGTTCTCCAGGCCCTGAAACCTGGGAATGAGGTGGCCACAGTGAACAGCATCTTGGGTTCAGGAAGGTGAAATATAAAGCCACTGAGATGGTTAGCAACAGCCCAGGTGGCTTCAAGGGACTCTTCATATGGAAATGGGCAAGGATTTGAATATGACTCTGCTAATTTTGGATACTAGAAATACTGCCCTTTTATATCCATAGTCTTGCCTTCACCATTCTCCCTCTCTGAGTTTTCGCCTCTCCTTCTTTTCACCACATTCTATTTTGAGACCTTGGAATTCTCCATTTTCTCCAAAACACAGTGATCTCCCTTCACTGTTTTGGACTTTTTGTACCTGGAAAGTTTCTACTCATTTTGCATTTGCTGTGCATTGCCTTTTTGTTAGTTGTTTTGTTTGTTTTAATGTGTACACACCTCATATTCCAGTCTGACTGTGTACTTATTGAAAGCAGGATAAGATCTTCTAAGTGACTCGTCAAGATGGGGCTAGCTGTCACGTGTACAGTGCCTTATGAGCTAAAGCACTTCTGCTCTTGTTTGGTCCTCACTAAGGGCAGATGGTACAAGGACCATGGAGCTCATTTGGAGAAGAGGAGTCGAAGCTGTGACAGCTGCTGGTTTTACTCATCTCGGTATCCCTGAGCTGAGTGTATTGTGTGTTCTAATGCAGGCACCTGCTATGGTTATTTAATAAATGAAGGAATAAAACCTAATGCACACTTTGGCCAAGACCATCCAGCCAGTGAGTGATGAGTCAGGGCTCAGCTGGGTTTTTTGGACCACAGGTCCTGCTCTCTCCTCAGGGACGAGGTGGCTGGGCCAGGGGATGCTTAGTTTACTTGTAGTTTGATCTTTTTTGGTTTTTGAATCTTACACCATGTTTCTATCAGTATCAAACAAAGTGGGCTTGCAACTGACATATTCTTTCTCACAAACAAATGATGGTTCATGGAAAAACAACATGGCTTTTGTTGAATAAAAACACAAGGATATTCAGAAGCCCCAGTACTCAGTCCATTGTGCAATTCCCATCTCAACTGCAAACATGCTTGGGGGCAGACCCCCATGATGGGTGGTGGTAGTTGCAGAAGGGGTGCCAGGCAGAGCCAAGGTGGAGGGCTGGGGGTACTCCACTACCCCTGACCAAAACCGCCTGGCTCCTTCCCCTCAGAATAGCTCCCTGATGACCAAGTTCTTCCCATTAGATTAGCAAAGGTTTAAGCCTTCCCTTCTTAAAACCAACCAACCAACCAACCAACCAACCAAACTCATTGATGAGACTTTCCCCTCCAAGCGGAAAGTGCAACTCCCACAGATCAGAGCCAGTTTCTCGAAGGAGTTGTGCATCTGCCCACTGTCTGCCTTTTCTTACCTCCCCTTCTCCCAGCCCCCTCCAGTCCACCTGTCACCCCATCATTCTGCTGAAAGTGCCTTGGTGAAGGCCAAGAGCACTAAATTCCACAGGCCATTATTTTATTTGACCTCTCAGCAGGAATTGACACAACTATTGACTAATAGTTGACGTGCTCTTCTCTGGTCTTCTGGATTCCACCCTCCCTCAGTTCTTCTCATCTCTCTGGCTGTGTCTTAGTCTCCTCTGCTGACTCTCCCCTTCCTCTCAAGCATTAATTTCCTCTTGAAGAATATCTTAGTCTATGTTATCTCCCTGAGACCACCAGTTTATGCCCCCTTCAATGACTCAGACCTCCACCTGGCCTCTCACTTGCATTTGAGATGCATGGATCCAATCTGACATCAACACTGTAGCCACCTGCAACTCGATATAACCAAAATTCACCATTCTCTCCCCTCTCCCCTATGGCCAGCCTAGACCTCTTCCAGTGTTTACTATTGAATGACATCATCAACATCCAATTGCACATGCCAGAAAGTCTCCACTTTCCTTCTAAGTGTCTCTAAGATCTGCCCATTTCTCTCTACTTCTGCAGCCCCACTGATCGTTCCCTACCTAAACCACTGAAGTGAGTGTCATCTGTTCTCTCTCTGCATCTATCCTGAGTCTTCTAATTCTGTCTCCACAAGGCAATCAGAGCAGACTTTCCAAAGACTCATCTGATCATGCCCATCTTCATCTTTAAAGTCTTCTAGGGCTCCTTGTGGCTTCTTAGGGAAAGCCGGAGTCCTTAATAAGCCTGTGGTCTCTTATGATCTGGCCCTGCCTAAATTCACACCACGCTTTTACACTCACTGCAGACCCACTCTCAGCCTTCCAGCCATGTAGGCAGAGCGACATGTTCTTTCAGCCCCAGAAAGGCTGCTAGAGTCTCCCCTTCCAATTCACATATAAATAGTAGTGTGGGCAAGTAGAATTGACCGAGCTCTCACTACGTTCTCTCTGCTGCACCAAGTACTAAGCATTCCATGTGCTCTATCTCACTTGACCCCTACAACAACCCCTGAGATAAAGATTATCATCATTTTGACTTGATATACTAGATACTTGAGTATCAGAGAGGTTGAAGGACTTGTCCGGAGTTGCATGCTTGTGTAAGCATCAGAGCCAAGATTTGAACCTAGTTCCAGACTCCTGCTGTCCCCTAAAGCCTAGTGAGGCATCTCTGATGAGGTCTCTTTGTATGCCTGAGGGTCTCCTTGTACGCATCTTCTAATGAGGAATGCTCTGTTTGCTAGGTCAAATTGGCTGATTTGCAGGTCTATTTTCAGGCAAAGCTTTTTTTTTGTTTGGCTCAAATCTTTGTCTGAGTAGCTTCTACCAAATCATTCTGGTTCTTCCCCCTGAAGCAAATAAAGCATAGTCCTATGTTTTGTTACAAATATTTGAGCATAGCTCATAACTTCAGTCTCTTTAGGTTTGGAGTCTGATCGCTTGGATTCTGGCAGGTTACAAGGTCCTTTAAGGTCATAGGGCTAGAATTGACAGGGAGAGTGGAGAGTGGGGCCTGTTCATCTTCTAGGGTTGAGGGTGCCTGCTACAGAGAAGGGAAATGATTTGGCCCAGCTCACACGTGCACCAACAGGAGAGTCATGGCTGAAACTCAGTGTTCCCCCACCTCTGTTCTGCTCTGACCAGTGGACTGACCTTTTGGGGAGTTAATTAAAATGAGAAAGTCCAGTTTTCATGAGTCTCTGTTGCTCAGTTAAGAATGCAAATAGCTTCAGGGAGGAAATGAAGACTAATCCATGCAATGAGACAGAAATCATAAAAAGATGTCCAAGTCCCAAAGCTCTAGTTTCTGAAGGTCTTAAAATCCATAGGAAAGACCCATTTAAGCTGCTGTGAACTTGTAGTAACAACTCTTATATAAGAGCTTGACCAGCACAGATTGTGCTGTCTGTCCCCAGGGAGCTCTCCACCCAGTGGCAAGTTCCAGGGAAAACCAGCAGGAAGGAGCCCCCAGGCTCCCTGGGCCCAGCCCCCAAACTTTGAAATTCATGCAGAACCACAGATACCCAAGGAAAGAGGACTAGGGGTCCTGCTTGTATGAGCTGGTGCTCATGATTCATTCCTACAACAAATGGTCCATGACTAATTTGGCACAGCACATGAGAAGAACTAATTTTGCAATGTTTGATGTCCTTTGTGTCTACTGTCTTTCACATGGCTTGCCATTTCACATCGTGCGAGCATGTTGCATAAGCAACATCTGGCTGGGCACACAAAGTCACTTTTCCACACAAGAGGCAAAAGTAACCCTGAATGCCTTCCAGGGCCTCCATCCTGCCCTGAACCACGGGGAACAGATGGGGCACACAATGAGCATATGTCATGAACAGCACACTTCCCTCTTCCATGAGAAAGTACAGGAAAGGAGAAAGTACCTGTGTTGTGAATTTGGAGTACATTGAACGAAAATTCATTTATGATGCAGCCACTGTGAACAGGCACTACAGATGCAATGGTGAACAAAACTCACGTCCTGCCTTCTTGGCACTTGTAATTTTGCAGAGAACCTATGGGAAGCCTGATTCTGGTCCTTTGTTCTGATCATGTACAGCCCTCAGTTGGATGGCTCAGGGCTCTCAGGCCCCAAAGCCTGGTGCTGAGGCCTCGAACTGCCTCCCATCTCCTGTCCCTGAAGATTACCTGCCTAGCAGCCTCTGCTCCACTCGTACTTTAAAGTCTTTATCTTCCCAAGTGGCTGTGGCCCAGTGCTTCTCTTGAGCTTGGGTACATTAAACTCACATGTCCATTTGCTTGCTAGAAAGTAATGTCCTGCAAAAATCTGAGGTAGTAGCATGCCTTCTTTGTTTTTTTAAAGTGAACTTTTTGAGAGATAACAAAGAAAAGTGACCAATTCATAAATGTACAACCTGATGAGTTTTCACACATGAAAACACCCATATAACTGATACCTAGAGGGTTGGTGACTCCTTTCTGTCACAAACCCTCTCCCCCAACAGTACTGCTTTTTCAATTCCCTTTTGCAATTTGGCACTAATCGAAGCACATTAAAATTTACTCCTATGTTTTCTTCTAAGAGTTATATATTTTAGCTTTTAAATTTAGGCCTATAATCCATTTTGAGTTAATTTTTATACATGGTGTAAACTGGGGGTTCAATTTCATTTTTTTGCATGTCAATATTCACTTGTCCCAGCATGAGTTGTTATAAAGACTATTCTTTTTCCATTGAATCATCTCATTTAATGGAATTGTCAAAAATGAACTGACCATAAATGTAAGGGTGTCTTTCTGAACTCTCAAGTCTACTCCATTGATCTACATGTCTATCATTATACCAATATCACAAGTCTTGATTACTGTAGCTTTGGATTAAGTTTTGAAATCAAGAAGTATGTATCTTCTAAGTTTGTTATCCCCTTTTTCCCATCAAATTACCTTGACTATTTGGGTTTCTTTACGTTTTCATGTAAATTTTAGTATTATAAAATTACAATTTGTCAATTTTTGCAAAAGAAAAACAAAGCAGCTGGTATTTTGATAGAGACTTGTTGAATCTGTGGATCCCTTTGATGACTACTGCCATTTTAACAATATTGTTTCAATCCATGGAAAGATTCATGGAAAGATGTCTTTCCAGTTATTTAGGTTTTCTTTAATTTCTTTCAATGACGTACAAATGAGTATACAAATCTTGCATTTGTTTTACTATATTTATTCCTATTTTAGTCTGCCTTCTTAGGTTTCTTTCTCAGATTCTTAGGTTTTCCTTCAGAATACCTAGTGCTAGAAATTAAACCTGGACACATTTCTTTGTTCTTATTTGAGTAGCCTTTGAGGCTTCAAATCTTTACTGCCCTTTTCTATATTTAAATGGGACATTTTTTTCTGAGTCTGTGATTCTCCAAGTCCTGTGGTCAATATAAGTAAAACAGTAACTGCTTCTTTGACTGGTAGAGTTATTACATTGGTCTGTCACCGTAGAAATCTAGAAGCCTAACTTAGTGAATGAGATGGTGAAGTGGAAATATGATTGTGAAGTTCAGGCTGTCCTTCACTGCTGCCTGTTTGGTTGACATATTTATTCACATGAGATAATCCATTAACTGAAACTAACTGTGAGCAGGAAAGTAATGCCTAACTGCACCAAAATTCAATATGTAGAAATGTAGCAATTACGTGCCAGGGAGTTGTATCAATATGCAGTATCTGAGAGTTGATCTTATGAAATTAAAAAATTATCCTAGCTGTGTAAATAAATGCACTCTCTTTCCTCATTATTTCATTGCTATGGTTTGAATGTTCCCTCCAAAATTCACATTGGAATTTAATTGCTATTGTGATGCTATTAAGAAGTGGGACAAGGTGGAAACTTTAAGAGGAGATTAGGTTATGAGGGTTTTGCCCTTATGAATGGATTATTCTATTCATAAGTTAATGGATTAATGGGTTATCATGGGAATGGGTTAGCTATCCCGAGAGGGGATCTGTTATAAAAGCCAGTTTGGCTTTCTCTCATGTACTCTTCTCTCCCTGGTGTGACTTCTGCCATGTTATGACACAGCAAGAAGGCCCTCACCAGATGCAGTCCCTTTACCTTGGAGTTCTCAGCCTCCAAACTACAGGAAACAAATTTCTTTTTATTATAAATTACCCAGCCTGTGGTATTGTTTTACAGCAACATGAAATGAACTAAGTCATTCATGTAGTGCTAGTCTATTCAGTGCATTTTTAATGACCACCTTCAATGTACTAATCTTTTGTACCAGATCCTGAGGACACAAATATGAGTAAGATAGTATTTGCCCTCACAGGGTATAAAACCTAATAAAAGAGAAAGACAGGTACACAAAACTGTGATATGAGAAATGAAACTAGATATAATGAAATCTGAGTGTGAAAGAGTGAGAGATTTATTTATATTGATATGGCCCAAAAAGTCTTCACAAAAATGGAAGTATTTGAATTGCATCTTAAAAAAAGAGATGAATTTGGGCAGGTAGAGTTGAAATTAGGAGTGGAGAAGTGCATCTTCAAAAGAAGGAGTGAATGAAGAAAGGGAGAGGCATGAGACTCTACTGTGCATTGAAAAACATCAGAACAGCCCAGTGAGGCTGGAGCATAAAGTGAGAGATGAGACAGAAGAGGCTGACTGCTTTCCAGAAAACGTGCTCCATATTAAGTTCACTCATGGATACACACTGATTCCAAGAGTTCATTGTAGCTAGTATCATCTCTTCCAAATCAATCTGTAGTTAAAGTGTTGAGTCCATGTAATCAAAGACATCTTCCTAAAATCTTAGCATATAATCTTACTTGTAGAGATTACTTATTTACTGAGTTACTGTTCTGCACAAAGTATTAAATTATATTGTTTCCTGCTAAAATTATGTGATTCCCAGCCTCCCTCACAGCTAAATGTGGCCACATGACTAAGATTTGGGCAATGACCTGTGGGAGGAAGTATTGTGTGGTACTTACAGGCAGTCTTTCTAAGGGAAGGTGTTTGCCTTTTTTGCTGTTTCCTCCTTTGCGCTGACTGGAATGTGGATGTAGCTGGGGCTCTAGCAGCCATCTTCAGCCTTTAGGATGAAGGTCGGATCTTAGAGAGTGTCATGGAGAGTGGCAAGTGGTCTGGCTTGTTAATGACTTTGTGAAGCCTTAAACTGCCTTCCTTTGGGTTTCTCTCTGAAAGAAAAATAAACTCTTATCTTGTTTCTGCCTTTGTTCTTCAGAGACTCTTTCTTATAGGCAGCTAAACTTAATTCTAGTTAATAACAGTGATGTAGCCAAGATTTAACCTAGGTATTGTGACATCAGACCTCTTGAGTTCGCCTACTACAGTAACAAATTTTAATAAGTATGTGTATAACATTTTCTATATTTTAATTCATGTTTTAAATAATTACTTGGGCATATAAGAAATTACTTTATCTAAATTTGGGAAGAAGTGCAGTCCTATTAAAAATCATAATCATAGTCTTTTGAGCAGGTAGTTGCTTATAAGCGTATGGGGATATGAGTATGAGTGTTTGGCTGAATATCTCTTTTAAAAATGGAGTAAAAGGTAAGATAATACTTTCATGCAATGGCATTTGAAAAATATCTCTAAGCGGTTGAACTCTAACTTCTAAACCTGGATGACTCATAATAAGTTTTATATTAATAGATGCTACATTTTTCTGTTTATATAAAAAAACAAACATAAGGCATCAATCACACTAACATCAAGAGTACTGAAGAGCTTAGATCATTTTCTGGGGTTGTTGACTTGAAGGAGTTTAGATATAGTTAGATAACCAGATTGCCACTTTGAAAACTAATTTATATTCTGCGGTGGCATAGAGACCTGTGTCATTGGCACGAGATGCATAGACTTGGGCTCTGTTGTTGATTTGCTGGCTAGAGGATGAAGATAATTTGATAACAGTAATGATGTGGCTCCAAGATCACATTCCCTCTTATTTTTTCTTAATACTTTTTTTAAACGATGAGCTTTATGAAAAATACAAATATTTCAATATAGCCTTTGGTGTAGGGACAGCATTGAGGTAGATATTGGACATGAATGGACCAATTAGAAAATCTCTTAGGTACATGTACTGAAGGGGGAATCGATTTTATAATATTACAAAGGAAGGGTCTCATGCTGTGTAATTGAGGGGAGGAGGGACAGTTCCTTGACTGCTAGAGCTTCAAGTGACCTTTGCATTCTAATAGCACATGGAGTACACAAATTGGTAGAGTGCGTATTAGACCAAGAAAATGGACACAGAACTCTCTGGCTAGAGTTAGGAAGCTGCAGTATCGTGCAACCATGACAACAATCAGACAACCACCATTTTCATTCACTTTTGTTTTATTCCTCAAATGCTTAGGTGAGGACACCATGGCAAACAAACCACAGGGACAACTGGAGGGAAATAATTCCTTCTGTGAAAAGGCATTAAGGAGCACTCAGTTCCTAAAGATTGTGCTTTCTGCAAGTTCATACCCGGCAATTGGCTTTCTATGATTAACAGTAGGGGATCCTAGAGCAGCGAGTAGATATTTTTGCATTCTGTATGGAGCCAGAATTAACTGATGAGGTACAGACATAAGAAGAAAAAGTCCCCAGGACCTGGAAGACAAAGATGGGATCCGGAATGATTCTCTTGGCCATGA